>NC_000012.12:128302253-128603877 GCF_000001405.40 Homo sapiens | reverse complement strand
GTCTTTGTTTCTAGCTTTGTTTCTCAGGGCCTCCAATTTGCCTCCTGCTGCTTGTGGACACTCTAGTTTGCACAGTTTTATATGATGCTATGAAATATTAACCAGGCAGTTTTCCTTACTGGTGACTAACTGAGCTTCTTTACCGCACCCTGAGTCCTGGAAGGTAGTGAGGAGGCTGCTGTTGCCCTCAGAAAAGCCAGCACAGTGGAAGAAAAGAGATGTAACATTTAGGGCTCCTGAGTAAAAAAGTAAATATATAAAGTAATCTGTAGACTGGCTCTAAGTGAAGAAAATATTCGGGAAGAATACTCACCAAGCCCTCCGCCCAGCATCCACTCCTGGCCAGACTAAACACAGGCATGGAGGGCCTGCTGGAGGGGAGAGGCACAAGTGGGTGCAGGTCCTTTCGAGGGCTGAGCTCAGTCCTCACTTTGAGCCAGTTTCCTGTGCTCTCATTCCCTCTGTTGTAACTGCTAAAAGCAGCATCTGTTCTCTTGGTTAGACCCTGTGGTAAGTTATTAAATGGTCTCAGATGCTACCCACCCCAGTATGCACACCCCTCTGCAAGGGGACTCTGTTGTGCTGTCCATCAAGAGGAGCATCTGTCTCCTCACCCGCCTGAATCTAGCCTGGCCCTGTGATTCATTTCAGCCCCTGCAAGGCTGCAGAACTGATAATGCAAAATTTCCAGGGCCTTTGGGAGCCTTCTAGCTGCTTTTTTCACTCTCTCCGTGCACTGCTCTGAAGCCAATGTGTCATGAAGACCCCTAGATGCAGAATCCTGTGGAGAGGGGAGAAGCCTGGCCAACCCAGCCCCAAGTGACTGCCTCAGATGGATACAGCTCCAACAGAGGAACTGCCCAGAAAATTCCAACTTATAGTGAGAAATATCAAATATTTGTTTGGAGCCAGTAACCTTGGGCCACCTTGTCAAGCAGCAATAGATGAAGGTTCTGATTGCTAGAGTTCTCTTGCTCATTCCCAAGTGATCATAAAGTCTCCTCTGCACTTTGCTGGCAGCATGTGGCAGAGGTAGATCAGGATTAGCTTGGGATGCCCAGGCAGAGAGGAACTCAGAGGAAGCCACCCTAATCCCCAGGACGTTAAAGCCCTGAATGGTATGGAAAGCAGTGGGACATTGGCCTAATTCCAGGATGGGTCACTGAAGTTAGCTGAGGTGAGAACGGAGGCAAGTCTGAACCTGGCCTCAGTTTCTTGCAGGAAGAATGGGTGGAGCAGTGAGGATGGCACAGACCATGTACTTGGAGACCAGGTAGAAACATGGATGCCTTGGTGAATTTCAGGGCTAAACGATGGAATCGTACACCCCTGTGAAGGAAGCCACAAGAGGGTGAATACCTGAAGACCTAACATTTCCCCCACAGGGCAGTGCCATGACGAGCTTGCCCTCCTGGGTCAATCTTGGGCAGATCAGGCAGAGCTCGAGAGGTTGAATCAACCAAGTTTCAACTGGAAATTCCTTATCAGACCTGGAATGAGCAAGATGAAGTTTTCTGCCACCAGATAGAATGTGGGGAGACACCAAGTGCAATGCCTGTTGAAGAAATAGGGCTGCACAGATTGTTTTGCACGCTGGAGCTTGTAGATTGGAAATACACTCATGCGTTGGTAAGCTGAAGTGGATTGTGGTTTAAAAACCTTTCTTATTTTAGAGACACGGTCTTGCTCTGTCCGGGCTGCAGCACACTGGTGCCATCGTGGCTCATTGCAGCCTCGACTTCCTGGGCTCAAGTGATCCTCCTACCTCCTGAGTAGCTTAGGCTACAGGTACTGACCACCATGCCCAACTAATTTTCTTAATTTTAAATTTTTTATAGAGAGAGGGTCTCGGTACATTGCTCAGGCTTGTTTCCTGGCCTCGAGCAATCCTCCTGCCTTAGCCTCCCAAAGTGCTGGGATCACAGAAAAGAAAACTGTGAATATCAGGAAACTCTGCTCCCAGAGCAAGCAATCGGTCACCATACTCAGCCACAAAATGCTTATCAAATGACGATTCTGAGCCTGGCCTCAGGATCTGCAATGCTTTTACCTCCCAAATCCTGATACTAGGTTGGCACAAAAGTTATTTCCATTAAAAGGCAATTACTTTCTCACAAGCCTAATAATAAGCTGTCCCTCCACCGCCACTGCACTGATCCCCTTCCCTACCCTCTTACCAGGTCCTTCCACCTTAGGACGACTCCAACCCGCCAAGCGCCCTCCACCTCAGTGCCCCTGCCTGTGCTTTTCCCCAGGGCTCGCCCATCTTGGCATTCACCCCTGCCATCCATGGCTCACTTATTCATGACATCCACCCTGGTTACACGGGACTCACTTGGCCACTTTATGTATACAGCCTCGGTGCAGGATGCATTTCTATGCATTTCGTGTTCACCATCTTCCTCCTCCTTTCTCTGTCATGAGTCCCATGGCAGCAAGGACACCGTTCTACTCCCCGTGATCGCCTCGTGATACATCACAGCACTGACTCGTAGAAAGTGCACAGCAAATGTTTGCGGAGTGAAGAATGACTGGGTGATTGCGCCAGGAGCCGAGTGCCCCGACAGTCACACTTTTCTTTCCTTCCACAAGTCAGGTTGGTATTCATTTTTACTCAAGAAGGGAGTAGGCCTCTCTGCATAGCTGGAGAGGAGGACAGACGCATCCTTTGAAGCTATCAGCCTTTCCAGAAGGGTTGAGCCCATTCCAAGAGAGAAGCGAGATGCAGAGCTCATTGGAGACCTTCCAGGAAAGACACGCTCCAAGGTCCACTCCTAAAACTTTGCATTTTCAAAATATCACAGACGACAGAAACTGGATTTGCTCCAAAGCTTGCTATTGAATTTTATGCCTGCTGAGCGCTACTAAACACAGAATGAAGAGGCTGAATTAACTATGCAAAAGGATAATTTACAGTTAATTTTCGTAATTGATGGGTTGAGGGTCTCTGTGGTAGCACTAACTGCTAAGACTAGAAGGCCCTGGGGGGATATAGTTTTTACATTTAAAACAGAAGGCTTTCTCTACTCAGCATCCAACTCATTCATCCATTTGTCCATCCATCAAGCATTCACCAGGCACCAGATTTGTGCCAGGCACAGTGGGAGAGGTGCAGAAGCGCATCATTGTGGTCCATGGTGGGCCCCAGACTGCCAGAGGGAGTTCCCTCACACCTGTGATCAGGGCCCCATCCATTTGGCTAAAGACACGCGAGGAGACTGACCAGAGTGCATTGGAAGGCAGCAAGTCTTGGGGCTGCTCTGCTCTTGTCCCTCCATGCCCCCTGTGGTGCCCAGCTGCAAAGGTGTTTCCCAAGCAGGCATGGGTCCACTCCACTTGAGAAAGCCATCCAATTCTCGCTGCAGCACTTCCCTTTGTATTAGGGGTATGAGTCTGTATTAATAAAGACATACCCAAGACTGGGTAATTTATAAAGGAAAGAGGCTTAATTGCTCACAGTTCAGCATGGCTGGGGAGGCCTCAGGAAACTTACAATCATGGTGGAAGGAGAAGTAAACATGTCCTTCACATGGCAGCAGCAAGGAGAAGTGCTGAGCAAAAAAGGGGAAAAGCCCCTTATAAAACCATCAGGTCTTGGCCCGGTGCGGTGGCTCACACCTGTAATACCAGCACTTTGGGAGGCCGAGGTGGGCAGATCACAAGGTCAGGAGATCTAGACCATCCTGGCTAACACGGTGAAACCTCGTCTCTACTAAAAATACAAAAAATTAGCCGGGCGCAGTGGCGGGCGTCTGTAGTCCCAGCTACTCAGGAGGCTGAGGCAGGAGAATGGCGTGAACCCGGGAGGCGGAGCTTGCAGTGAGCCGAGATCGCGCCACTGCACTCCAGCCTGGGTGACAGCCAGACTCTGTCTCAAAAAAACACAAAAACAAAAAACAAAAAACAAAAAACCATCAGGTCTTGTGAGAACTCACTCCCTGTCACGAGAACAGCAGCATGGGGGTAACGGCTCCCATGATTCAATTACCTCCCACCAGGTCCTTCCTATGACACGTGGGTATTATGGGAACTAGAATTCAAGATGAGATTTGGGTGATGACACAGCCAAACCATATCAGGGTCTGTATTATACTCATTCTGGAATAATTTACACTAACAATCTCTGTCCTCTTGTTCAAGGTCCTCAACCTTGGCTGCATGATAGAATCACTTGGTGAACTTCAGAAGAACACTCTTGCTTTTTAAAAAACCTTCCTTTTCTCTTTCTCCTTTGCAGATTCAGCTTATCTATGGCGAGCATGGGTATCACTTTTCATTTTGGTAAAGCTTCCTGGGGTATCCCTATGTGCAGCCACAGTTAAAAAGGATTTTTTAAGGGAATAGTTTCAAATATGGAGATCCTATTTCTGTATGAAAGTAGCAGCAGCAAGGCAACCGTCTCCTCCGGAGCAACATGTCAGAGGCCCAGGTGCCCTGGCCATCATCGCTGCCCCAGGTTTCCCAGTGCCACAGGAAGGTCCTGTCCCCCAGTACCTGGAAGGGCTCGGTCACTGGGTACTTCTTATTCTTTGCTCATCAGGCAGGAAAACCAAGCCCATCCTAGGCAGTTCTGCAGCAGAGATTTAATTCTGGTTATAAAGGTGTAGAAGGAGCAGACAAGTTAGGTAACCTGAGATTATCAACGAGAGGAAGATGCTTCCACCTTCAGGGTCAAGGGACAAACGCTGGGGGTGATGACCCCAGGGGTGAATTCACTGGATAAGAGCTGGGTCTACACTGAGAGTTTCCCTGTGGGAGCTGCAGCCGCAGAGGAACGGGAGCCACTGCCTGTGACACCATCAGAAGCAGAGGGCAAAAAACACCCAGGCTTCTTTTTTCCTTCCCACTGTCAACTGCCCACCAGGGCCTCCTGCTGGCTACATGTAGCCAAAATCCAGTTGGCAAGGGGTCCGGAAAATGTAGTTTGCAGGGATCACTCAACGAAGGAAGGGCAGGAAATGGATTGAAACTAGACAAGCCACTGTGGAACACACTCCCACCCAAACCCCACCCCAAACCCCACCCCAGCCCCACCCCAGCCCCACCTCCAGCTCAGCAGCGCATGGTCCCAGCATTACAGTAAAATGTGGCGAGGGCTATGATATGAAGAAAGCCTGGCACAATCCCTAAAATTGGGGCAACTAAACCCAGGGGGTTAGAGGGTTCCCCGAGACAGGGCCTTTGAGCTGAAAGCTGAACAATAAGTGAGAGAAAGCCAGGAGGAACAGGCAGGGGTATTTTAGGAAGAGGGGCCATTGGGAGTGAAGAGACTTTGAGGAACTGAAAGAAGATCACTGGTCTGGGGGTGCAATGTGCAGAGGCCCAGACACATTCTCACATCGGGGAGCAAGGCTGGGGTGGGATCCTGCATCATTGCTGGGTGGTGGAAGGGGGGCTGGGGAGCTGTCTTCCACACTCATTCCTCTGACTTTTTTTTTCTTTGAGACCATGTCTCACTCTGTTGCTCTGGCTGGAGTGCAGGGGCCTGATCTTGGCTCACTGCAATCTCCGCCTCCCAGGTTCAAGCGATTCTCCTGCCTCAGCCTACCAAGTAGCTGGGATTACAGGTGTGTGCCACCACATCCAGCTATTTTTTGTATCATTATTATTGTTATTATTTTTTAGTAGAGTTGGGGTTCCGCCATGTTGGCCAGGCTGGTCTCTAACTCCTGGCCTCAAACCATCTGCCTGCCTTGGCCTCCCAAACTACTGGGATTACAGGCATGAACCACCGTGCCCAGCCTCCTCCAACAGTTTTAAAAACATAGTTTTAATAACTGCCAGGTCAACATTTTATCTTTAAAAAAGAAACAGTCTTTGAGAAGCTGTCACGTTAGGAGGACGTGCTCTGGGGAGCCCCTGAAATCTTTTACTTGGATGCATCCTCTCCCTCTGATCTCAGCCTTTGCTTTCCCTCCTTGATCACTACGCTCCAGCTACCCTGGGACCTCTGCCTGCTCCACAGACACACCACATCTGCATTTGCTCTCCCTCCAGCTACTCTCTGCATGTTTGCTCCCTATAGAAGTCAACACCCTCAAACACTTAAACACCCGCCTCAGGCAGACACCTTAAGGCCTGCAGCTCCAGAAACTATCACATTGCTAGGCTGTCGCTGTTGCCCTTAACACCATTGGAAATCTTGTTTGGTTTTCCTTTGTTCATTTTCTATCTTCTCTGGTAAGATGTAAGCACCTCTAGATGAGAAACTGTGTTGGCCACTGTTGTATCCCCAAGGTTTAGAATACTACCTGGAAGTATAGGAGGGGATGAACACATCTATATTAGTTAATAATAAGATAATGAATCTATGTTCCTTTGTTCTAGCTTCCAGCTTAATCCATCCATCCTTCCTTCCTTCCTTCCTTCCTTCCTTCCTTCTTTCCTTCCTTCCTTCCTTCCTCTCTCTCGCTCTCTCTTTCTGCAGGCTGGAGTACAGTGGCACTATCTCAGCTCACTGCAACCTCCACCTCCCAGGTTCAAGTGATTCTCCTACCTCAGGCTCCCAAGTCGCTGGGATCACTGGTGTGTGCCACCATACCCGGTTAATTTTTTTTTTTAGTAGAGATGGGGTTTCACCATGTTGGCCAGGCTGGTCTCAAACTCCTGACCTCAAGTGATCCACCCACCTCAGCCTCCCAAAGTGCTGGGATTACAGACGTGACCCACTGTGCATGTCCCCAGCTTAATTTTCTTTGGGGACAGCATGGCTATTTGCATTAACCAACGCTCCTATAAACTTACTGGCAACATTGCAGAAGGGTATATAGCCAACTGGTTAAGCTGATTTGGAGAAGCAAAAGTAAATTGAGGAAAAGGTGGAGAGAAGGAAACTCACTTCTAGGGGGGCACTGTTGAAAGGCCGAGCTACTTAGCATCCGCAGTTTTGGAAAAGCCATTATGGAACGCCTTGAAAGCATCCTTAACAGAAAACAGATGAGCTGAAAAGAATGACCTCCCCGGAAGACAGTGGTCTTCAGTCATTCAAGTTGCTTGTCCCATGGAGATGATAAAGCACTTGACAAAATTAATATTAACAAACAGTCTTCAGTGGGAAGAGCCCTGCGTGGTGGGGTTTCAGTCTGCTGGGGCTGCTGTGCGTGGTGACGGGAAGGCAGGTTCTTTAAGCCCTGCCACCTCTGTACCAGGACCTGCGAAAGGGGCAGCCCAGTGTGATGGACAGAACAGGGATCAGTGAAGCCCTGCTGCCTCTGTACCAGGACCTGCGAAAGGGGCAGCCCAGTGTGATGGAGAGGACATGGGATCAGTGAAGCCCTGGTGCCTCTGTACCAGGACCTGCAAAAGGGGCAGCCCAGTGCGATGGACAGAACAGGGATCAGTGAAGCCCTGCCGCCTCTGTACCAGGACCTGCAAAAGGGGCAGCCCAGTGTGACGGAGAGAACATGGGATCAGTGAAGCCCTGCCACCTCTGTACCAAGACCTGCGAAAGGGGCAGCCCACTGTGATGGAGAAAACACGGGATCAGTCAAGCCCTGCCCACTCTGTACCAGGACCTGCGAAAGGGGCAGCCCAGTGTGATGGAGAGAACACAGGATCAGTCAAGCCCTGCCGCCTCTGTACCAGGACCTGCGAAAGGGGCAGCCCAGTGTGATGGACAGAACATGGGATCAGTGAAGCCCTGCCGCCTCTGTACCAGGACCTGCGAAAGGGGCAGCCCAGTGTGATGGAGAGAACACGGGATCAGTCAAGCCGTGCCACCTCTGTACCAGGACCTGCGAAAGGGGCAGCCCAGTGTGATGGACAGAAAACGGGATCAGTGAAGCCCTGCTGCCTCTGTACCAGGACCTGCAAAAGGGGCAGCCCAGTGTGATGGACAGAACATGGGATCAGGAATGGGGAAGTGGGCGGCTGGCCCTGATAGAGTGGATGTTCTCACTGCAGAGCTTCCCCGCATCCACCTGACTTAACGGCATGGTGGGCATGGCAGTTTTTTCCTGGGAAATTGCCCTTCTCCTACTGTATGGAGCTGTGATGGGAGGCTACGTTCTGGGGGATGCTCCTCTGTTTTAAAGCTGAAGCGGCTGATTCCTCTTTCCCATTCTGTACGGTCAGTGTGACGTCACCAGGTGGATTTCCCTTCTAGGTCCTTGCCATTAAGTGTTGCAAAGAAGAAAGAAAAGAGAAAAGGGCTGCATTTGTCAGTGCCACGGGTGATGCTGGCTGACCCCTCTGCCTGAGGCCCTGGCAAAGGCAGCTGCTGCCTGGCCTCTGGTCTCACTGGGTCAGGCTCACCCCCACGTGCCTCCTGCTGCCTCTTACAATCCCGTGGCCTCCTCCTCTTCACCGCATGGGTCCCTTTGGCTTAGGTTAGCCAGATTTAGTTCTGTTGTTTTGCAACTGATACACCTGGCTTGGCAATTACCCTTGCCCCTCCCTGGGCCCAGCTTCCCCCCTTAGTGAACAGCGGGTATGGTAAGATGGCCAGATGATCTCCCTGCTGTGCCTTAACACCCTGGACTCTAGTAGTATTTGGCACCAACACTTTGGGAAGCCAGGGCCTGGAGAGAAGTCGCTTCAGATGACAAAATCCTACCTTCCTCAGGTTACCTGAGAATCATGTCAAACTCTTTCATCTCTAAATAGTTCCTTGTATTATGACACCAAGGTGGTCTGGCTTGAAATGCAGGCAGACGCTGTGAACAAATGTCTCCTCTGTGAGCCATCTCCAGAGACAGTAAGAGAGTCAGATACCAGAAAAAATGCAGTGGATAGAAAAATAAATGGAGGATCAAAACAAGACTTCCCTGCACTGTTCTCCGGAGAGCAGTGTTTCCTTCCAGCTTCACCGATGGCGGTGACCCATCCTAAGAAGGGAATGCTGGCCGGCGAGCATCTCACCCTCCTCGGATGTGAGGGATGCAGTCACCACCGAAGCTCGTTCCCTTCAGCAGCCGGGACGGACAGCTAGGGGCATTTTTCAAATCACAGGCACTGAGGCCGTAGCTGTTCTACTGAAGCAATCCGAGGGGACCTCCAATTTAGAAAAAGCCATTCTTAGGAGTCTTGGAAGCTGCCTGCATGGAGAGTGAAGATGCTGAAATGAATGGCATCCTCTGAGAAATCAGTTTAAAGGCTGCAATTTCGTCTTAGAGTAAACTGTTTAGGTGGGATCCCTGGACTGAGGGCTGTGGGGAATTGAATAACACTGTGTTCACGCTGGAAATGGAAAACATCATCCTTGTTGAAAAATAGTTTTAGTCCCAGAAGCCTCCCTGTGCTGAAGTGTTACAAAGCAACCGTGACAGCTGTTCTTTCACTTTCTCCAATTCCGAGCCTTGCTTGGGAGGGAGGGTGGCTCCGGGTTCACCAGGTGCAGGGGTGGGAGGTCCCTGGCTACCTCCATTTGCACCGTGCAATGTGCATTCTTTCAAGAAACACCCACCAAGCACCTGCAATATGCAAGGCAGTTCTTAAAAAATGGGGGGCACAGCAGCCACAAAACAAAGACCCCATGTCCCGTGGAGCTTTCATTCCAGTGTGTGTGGGGTTGGGGGGCAGGGGATGGGGGGAGAGTTACAGTGGCTCTCTGTGGTGAATATGCAGCCCATAGCACGTGGCTCAGCACTGAGTGATGCTCCCGAGATGTCAGCTGTCACGGACTCATAACGGGCACATCCCCTTTTATGTGGCGCCCCCCTGGGGTGGGGACACTGCCCAGAGTCTGTGTCAAGCTGTGCAGGGCGAAGGACTCAGTGCTGACCCAGGAGCAAATGATTCTCAGACTCCACAGAGTTCAGGGACGCCTGCGGTGGAGGTGGGGGCTCTCCCTTGGCTGATTTCTTTGTTCCCTCTTGTTTCCTCAGTGGGTGGTGGGGGAGGGGCGGTGGGTGGGCCGGCATTGAGAGCAGGTCTTATGTTGGGGTACAGAAGGAGCCCCATTGCTCTCTAACTCAGGAGAGCCAGAGGTTGGAGCTCAGGCTCCTACCACACCTGCCAGCATTCTTTCCATGATTTGGTAGGCAAGCAGGAAGCCTTAGGCTGTGACGAGATGAGAGAGAGATGGAAACTAAAATGCACTGGAGGTTTGAAGCTGTACAGGAGAGGGAAAGAGTCTGCATTGGCCCCTGTACTATGTCTCTCATCTTCAGAATTGTTCAAGGGATTGGAACCTGGTGGAATGAGTGGAGAAAGAGATGGGGACCCGTAATTAGGGTGCAGATGCCCTGAGCTGGGTGTCGAATGTGCCTCAGCTCACACAGTCCTCAAAACAATGCCGTAAAGTAGGCACCGGCCTCCTGCAGAATCAGGACCTGCCCCAGTGCACAGAGCTGCTGGAGCAGGACCGGAACCCAGACCAACTCAACTCCAATTCCCATGCAGGAATCAGGCATATCCAGGTCAAAGCCTGAGCTCCATGGATTGGCTGTGTGAGTGTCTCCACATCGCAATCTGCAGAGTGGGAGTGAGGTCACACTCGTCATGGGCTTGCCTGGAGAGTGGAAAGGACCAGCTCCAGCTCCACTGAGGGAGAGATCTGTTTCTTACTTTAATTTGAGGAGAGAGAGAGAGAAAGAGAGGGAAGGAGAGAGGAGAGAGGGAAGAGGGAGGAGAGAGAGAGGGAAAAGGAAAATGGAGACAGAAGAAAGAGAGAGAGGTAAGAGAGAAGATAAGAAAGGACAGAAAGAGAAGAGAGAGAGAAGAAAGAAAGAAAAGAAAGAAGGAAGGTGAGAGAGGGGAAGAGAGAGAAAGAGAGGGAAGGAGAGAGGAGAGAGGGAAGAAGGTGGAGAGAGAGAGGAAAGGAAGATGGAGAGAGAAGAAAGAGAGGTAAGAGAGAAGGAAGATGAGAAAGGAAAGAAAGAGAAGACAGAGAGAAAAGAAAGGAAGAAAAGAGAGAAGGAAGGTGAGAGAAGGGAAGAGAGAGAGAAAGAAAGAGAGAGCAGAGAGAAGAACCATGAGAATTTGGATGACTGTGGCTGTGGCTTCAGGGAACCCCACTGCAGAGCCAGGCTGGCTACAGAGGGAAACGTGGCCCTAGGATCCCAAAGGCAGCGGCTCACCCTGAGAAGGGCCCAGGCCTCCTGATTCTCAAAGAATGGAGACAATGACAGGGCCAGGACCCTGCAGTTAAATGGCCCATAAGAAAAGGGAATCTGGGAGCCTGGGGGTCCTCGCTATGGGGGAATCCCTGGAGGTCACCCATCTTCTCTCCCCATCCCCTAAGCCCGTGTCCCCTCCGTGGCTGTTCTGACAGGCCATCCCTCAGCCTCAGCAAGTTTCCAGCCAGGGCAGGGAGCTTAGCATCTCTTAAAACTGCCAATTCCATTGTCACAGCCTGGCTGCCAGGAAGTCGTTCTTTATCTGGAGTGGAAATCTATGGGGATAACTTCCTGCTGTTAGTCCCAAGTCAGCTTTGGAGGATAATGAACTTCACTCATTCATCCATTGCATCACTCATCTGGTCCTTCCATCATTTGTCCATCCACTGAACACACATTCCTGAGAACTTGCCATTCAGAAACTGGGAGGAGTGTGTGGTCATTGGGGAAGATGCAAACACGGGAGCTTCTGTTCCCCTGGGGTTAGGAGTCCCATTCTCAAATGTCCAAGAGTGCCAGTGAGTAGGAGATAAAAATAAGTGAAGCGATACAGGCGTGTAAAAACTAAACAGCAGCAGCATGGTGCTGTGTGATGACCTTAGGCGCAGCCTCCGTGTCAGGGTAGGATGATGACCTGGAGCCTGCCTGGCCCAGTTAAAGGGGCAGCTGCTAGCTACAGGGACCTTCAGCTTTTCCAGTAAGGCCAAGAATCTGAGTATTTATGTAAAGCCTCTCGGCTGTGTCTGTTTTTTTTTTTTTTTCTTTTTTTTTTTTTGAGTCTCACTCTGTCGCCCAGGTTGGAGTGCAGTGACACAATCTCAGCTCACTGCAACATCCGCCTCTCGGGTTCAAGCGATTCTCCTGCCTCAGCCTCCTGAGTAGCTGGGACTACAGACATGTGCCACCATGCCTGGCTAATTTTTGTATTTTTAGTAGAGATGGGGTTTCATCACATTGGCCAGGCTGGTCTTGAACTTCTGACCTCAAGTGATCCACCTGCCTCGGCCTCCCAAAGTGCTGGGATTACAGGCATGAGCCACCGTGCCTGGCTGTCAGTTTTTTTAACTTGGCAAATACTTCAATAAAAGATGTAAAGAGACAAATGGGGCAGGCTGGTGGGAATGTAAAATGGTGCAGCCACTTTGGAAGACAGCCAATCAGTTCTTTAAAGAGTTGAAAATAGAGCTCCCATATGATCCAGAAATTCTACTCCTAAGTGTACATATCATATGGAAACATATCTCTGCATAAAAACCTCTACAAGGATGTTTCTAGCAGCATTTATTCATAAAAGCCCAGGAGGAGAAACCCAAAAGTCCATCAGCTGACAAACGGTTGAACAAAATGTGGTCTATCCACACGCTGGGATGTTACTCCGCCATACAAAGGAAGGAGGCATGGACGACCCCTCAGACCATGACGCTGAGTGGAAGACACCAGTAACAAAAGGCTACACACTATGATTCCACTGACACGAAACGCCCAGAACAGGCAAATCCACAGAGACAGAAAGCAGATGAGTTGTTGCCGGGGGCTGGGGGAGGCGGGGAGGGGTGTGACTGCAAATGAATGGGTATAGGATTTCTTTTTGGGATGAAGAGAATGTTCTAAAATTGATTGTGGTGATAGTTCTGCAATTCTGCAGATACACTAAAAACCATTGAATTGTACATTTTAAATGGGCAAACTGTGTAGTATGCATTTATAGTAATAAAAGTGTTATATTAGAAACAATAAAGCGTGGCTGCAGTGGCTCATGACTATAATCCCAGGACTTTGGGAGGCTGAGGCAGGAGGATCACTTGAGGCTAGGAGTCTGAGAGCAGCCTGGGCAACATAGTGAGGCCCCTTCTCTACAAATCATAAAATTATAAAAACTAGCTGGGTGTGGCAGTGCATACCTGTGGTCCCAGTTCCTCAGGAGGCTGAGATGGGAGGATGGCTTGAGCCCAGGAATTCAGGGCTGCAATGAGCTGTGATGGTGCCACTGTACTCCAGCCTGGTGACAGAGCGAGGCCCTGTCTTTAAAAACAAAAACAAGGCTGAAGAACATATGTCTGCCTGAGCCAGCCTCAGCCTGCCTGCATGCAGCTTCCAGTCCAGCATGTCTACACCCCTTGCCCCTGGACAGCCTGAACCTCCTGCGTCTCCTTATGTGATGTGACTCAACACCATTCTCCTTAATCTGGCAGGAGAATAACAGTCTAAAAGGGAGTTGCCAAGACTGAGGTGCTGTTCTTGCTCTGGCCAGAGGAATCGGGTGGCAGTGGGGGAGACCCGGAGTCCCTCGTTGGGAACCTGGACCTTGACTCACACAGCCTTGGCTCTGACTGTGCAGCTACGTTACGCCACAGTTTGCCAACTGTCATTTTCTAAGCATTGAGAATTTGCAACCTTTTCTTTTTCTCCACCTGCACAGTTTCTGAATTACATGTTTCTCATCCTGTTTTCCTGAGTGGTTTATTTTCTGACCCAGTTGCTAACTTTCGAGTATACATCTCTGTTAAGCTCTGCCGTCTGCTGTGAGGACATCATAACAGGCAGTAGTAAGCTCTTGGATCTGGATCCTGTCATCCCGAGTCTCAAGCAGGCCTCCTTGTCCCAGATCCCTTGTGAATGCACTAACTCTGACTTCCACATTGCCCTCCAACGGGTACACGTGTGCTTCAGCCTGTGGCCAGAGTGTCCTGGCCCTAGCCCAGCCCAGGAGAGCCCATGGGTAGGCCTTCGTCAATCTCCCAAAGCCTCCATATCCCAGAGAAGTAATTTCTTTTTGGGTTATAATGGTTCATTCAATGAACAACCTCCACTGTTTATTTTTCTTCCTCTTGAGGAAGGCACAGTAATGATTCATGAAACTTTGTTGCTTCAAACGTAACAACAACGATGATGATGAATAAGAGTGATTCTAAGCACTGCACGTGCAGTGACCATTTAGTACTCATAATAACCCCGGGAGGTAAGTACGCTTTATTCCCACTTTACAGGTGAGAAAACTGAGGCATAGAAAGCATAAGTACCTTGCCCAAGGCTGCACTGCTGATAAGAGGGGAAAAAAAAGGAATTCAAATCCAGGCTTATTCCAATCCAGCCTCTTTCAGGTATCAAATAGGTGCTACAGGCCCTGGAAAGTGAATGCTGAGCAAAACTTCTACTGCCTCTGTGCTGGGAGATCATTCTGGTATTTCTGCATGTTTTATGACAGCTTTTCATGCTAAAATAGATAATAAAGAATCAGGGAAATCTACTACTATACGATGCGTCACGACGCTATCGAGAGAAGGTAACTTATAAGGGGGTGGGGGGCTGTGGGGAGGGGGAGGTGCAGGCTGTGGATTTTTATACTAAAACCTGGAAGATGAACAGAGGCCAGTGCACAGTGGGCGGACGGGCAGTGTGGGTTGGGAGGGAGGCAGGCGGGGTGAGAGGGACGGTGGGAGCCAGGTGAGCATGGAGGGAGGTCTGGGCGGAGGGATGCAGGCTGCAGAAAAGTCTGATCTTGGTCCTGAGGGCAAGGGGAGGCCCTTGCAGGGCTGCATGCTGGATAGCTTGCTGTGGGGTGGCTGGTGGAGGGGCCTCACGTTCTGCACTAACGCTTGTTCCTTGTGCGCCTTGCCTTCGTGTCCTGCATCGGGAGAGCTGTGCATGACTCCTTTCCAGCCGGGAGTCTGTGGATCCCTCTCCATATGTAGGGAACCGACATGACAACCTGGTTCTCACCCTGGAGCCTGACACACCCTGCAATCTGGGCTGTGGTCGTTGGTCATACTGCTTTCAGGCTCGCTGACTGTCCTCCAGTCCCAAATGCTCCCAAGGCAGCTCCAGTCTGCAGCCCTTCCATAGACTGTCTCATAAAATCAGCAGCGGCATTGCACGGTGTCATGAGTTTGCAAACACAGTCCCTGACTTTCTCTTCTTACACCAGGTATCTTGGCTGGTGGGCTGCTATAATAAAATCTCACAGACTGGGTGACTTATCAACCACAGAAACATACTGCTCACAGTTCTGCAGGCCGAAGCCCAGGGTGAAGTCAGTTTTGGTGTCTGACGAGGGTCCTTCTCCTGGTTCATAGATGCTGTGTCCTCACTTGGTGGAAGGAAAGAGGGAGCTCTCTGTGGCCTCTTTTATTAAGGCGTGAATCGCATCCCTGAAGGCTTCATAGTCCCCACTCCCTAATACCACCACATTGAGAGTTACATTTTAATATATGAATTTTGTGAGTGGGGGGGACACAAACACTCAGTCCATAGCACTGAGGCAAGGCTTGGATTCAAGCAACCCATGGCGATTCCCAACTAAAAGACTCCAACTACGTACAAAAGAACGGATGAATGAATGAACACACACACATATTGGAAACAGATTTTTTTTAATTAAAAATTTTGTTTTTGAGTCAGCTTCTTGCTGTCACCCAGGCTGGAGTGTAGTGGTGTGATCTTGGCTCACTGAAGCCTCAACCTCCCTGGCTCAAGCAATCCATCTGCCTCAGCCTCCTGAGTAGCTGAGATTACAGGCACATGCCACCACACCTAACTTTTAAAAATTTTTTGTAGAGATGGGGTTTCACCATATTGCCCAGGCTTATCTCGAACCCCTGAGCTTAAGTGATCCACCTGCCTTGGCTTCCTAAAGTGCTGAGATGACAGGTGTGAGCCACTGCACCCAGCCAGAAAGAGACATGAAAGTCATCTTGTGACCAATGTCTTCTGTACTCTGGAAATTTGAATCATTTCCTCATCTTAAAATGAGGGTACACCAAAGTGCCTCTGTCCTAGGGTGTTACAAGAATTCAATATGCTTTGCACAGAGTCTGACCCGGATTGAGTGCTATTTAAGAGTTGGATGCTGCCACTGTTATTTTTATTACTATTATCCTTAAGCTCTGGTCTCCAAACTTCATATTTGGAATGCATATCGCCTGCATCATGTTTTCCTCATTCGAGGTAACTATTGTTCTGTTACTTACTTTGTGTTTTCTCTGTAAATCGACTCACTTTTTTTCCTCAAACTTACACACATTTATTTAACAGAGAACTGTATATCAATGCATCACTTTGAAAGTGAGATTCCCTTGCCAATATAAAATCAATAAAGTGAGTGCCTCATTAGCTCTTCCTGCAGGAGAAAGTCCTGAGCTTGAAGGCTGATCCCCAACAGGACTCATTGGGAGAATCTGAGAGTGCAATAGATGCAATCACATTCTCACTTTGTGATTTGATTGGCTTAATGCCATTGTGTACATGATCCACATAAAGTCATCTGCTACGGTCTGAATGTTTGTGCCTTCACTGTCCCCCGGATAAATCCAGATGCTGAAATCTAAGCCCCCGAGGTGATTGTGTGAGGAGGTGAGGTTTTAGCGAGGTGATTAGGTCATGAGGGTGGGGCCTTCCATGACTTGGCTTAGTGACATTACCAGTGAAGTCCCAGAGAGCTCCCTTGCCCCTCTGGCCAGATGAGATTCGAGAGAGAGGATGGCTGTCTAGGAGGAAGGGAGCCCTCACCGGATACAGAATGTCCTGGCACTTTGCTCTTGAACTTCCCAGCCTGCAGAACTGTGAGCTCCATTCCTGCTCTTCATAAGCCACCCAGGCCATGGCACTTCATTATAACAGCCTGGATGAACTAAGATACCATCTTATGTAATACTTTGGGCAATAAGGCCTATTTGGCCAGTGCTATCCACTGCTGCCAACACCCACTGGAAACAGCACCACAAGAACGCATTCCCTGAATGGAGCTGTACATGATGCATCCCCACACTGGGCAATTCCCTTTCCATTCTCCTTCCGCCTTTATGGCCCAACGTATCTGTGAATATGGCTCTAAGTGAAAACGGAAGAGCAGTCACTGAAAAGCAGGGTTTCCAGGTCCTTGGCTCTGTTTTTTCCCATGTCCTGTGACCTCTGCACCGCCAGAGGAGAGCAGGTGCTGCCCAGGAAGGCTCTCAGGGAGGCAGGAATTGTCCCAGGCAGCAGGGAGGGCTTTTGCTGAGTCTGAGCACAGTGCTCCCCACAGCATGAGCCAGACGTGGCTTCAGGGATGAGGCAAGGATGAGAGTAGTTTAAATCGGCTTTATGTAAGACAAACATCTTCCTTCCCGTGCTGGCTTAGCTTCCTGTTTAATATTTGCCACAATTTTCTTTCCACAAAAGGCACAGTTGTTTTGAGAGACAGAGAGAGAGAGAACAAAACAAGGAAGATACAGAGGAAAAGTCTCACACATCATTAAGGAATATTTAAATAAAGGCAGCAGCTTGGCAGTTTTATTTGCTTATGTAATAGTGGAAAAATACAAGCCCAAATCCCATTTCCCCCTGTAGTTAATAATCCTTCTAACCATAACAGAGGAGAATTCTAGTCTTGCAAAGTAGGTCACAGATTGCTAAATATATACGGCTAAATAGATCTTTATAATATATATTATATATTTATAAAAACACAATATATTAATAGATGCCTATACTATAAGTCACATACAAGCATATATTATGTATTTATAATAATATATAATGATAAAGTATGTTTGGCTATGGTCATTGTTTAACTTTTTTGACACTTAAAATAGACATTTTAAATGGGACCCATGCATGCAGTGGCAGACTTTCAAACATAACAAAAATTATGCAAAAATTTAGGTTTTCTCCCATCCCTGACCCTTAATTCCTCAAATCCCCTCCCACTGTAGAGCTTCCCAGAGATCCGCTATGCATTGATACATATATTCCCGTTTTATTTGTTCTTTTGCATTGTGGTAAGGTGCACATAACATAAAATTTGCGATCTGCACCGTTTTTAGGGGTACAGTCCTCAGCATGAAGCACATTCATGTTGTTGTGCAGCCGTCACCACCATCCATCTCCAGAACAACTTTCATCTTGTAAAACTAAACCTCTGTCCCCATTACACACGAACTCCCCACTTCCCCCTCATCCCAGCCCCTGGCACCCGCCCTTGTATTTTCCGTCTCTATGAACTTGACCACTCTAATTATCTCTGCTAAGTGGAATTCTACAGTATTCATCCTTCAGCGACGGGCCGATTTCATGGAGCATAATGTCCTCAAGGTTCTTCCATGCCGTGGCCTCCCTTTCATTTTCTTTTTAACCTCAAATAGTAGCACACCGCACACGCTGCTTGCTGCTTTGACTTTGCGGTATTTCTTAGAGAATGTTCCAGATCATTGGGTACACATGTGACTCATTTTAAATGGCTATACAATATTTCAGTTAAGGGAAGTCCCAGAACTTATCTGACCATTCCCCAATGCCATGATAGATGTCTCAGTGCCTTTGTGCACCTCTCCTGCAGGACACAGTCCTGCAAGAACAGTTGGGTCATAGCCTTTGGGCATTTAACATCTGTCACTGCAGAACACACTCCTGCAAGAATGGTTGGGTCTTAGCCTTTGGGCATTTAACATCTCCTGTCACTCCAGGACACACTCCTGCAAGAATGGCTGGGTCATAGCCTTTGGGCATTTAACATCTCCTGTCACTCCAGGACACACTCCTGCAAGAATGGTTGGGTCTTAGCCTTTGGGCATTTAACATCTCCTATCACCAAACCACTATCCAGAGATGGCATTAGATTACAGGCTCAATAACAATATCCCCAAATATACATTTTTTCACGTGTGTGGTGATTTGGCATCAAGAACATAGTGTTCAAAAAAGTAGCCACGGCCTGTACGTGTAGAGACGTTTCACGGCTGCAAGTGTGAAGACGGTCCATCAGTTGCTGATGCATTCATTGTAGCCCCCAGTGAAGCATGCCTCCTGGACTCAAGCCTTTCCTAACTGTTACCCTGGAATCTAGGCTGGCCCTGTGAAAGGGTTTTCCAAAGACAATTGGCAGACATGATGCTGCACCAGATGGGGACCTAAGTCTTGAGGTGTCGTGGCACCTTCTGCTGTGTGCTCTGGGGAAAGCCAGCTTCTAACTGCCCCGAGGCCACCATGGTGGGAGGAGTGGAAGCTGCCTGTGGGGACAGCCATGTGGAGGACAGCAAAGACCCCCCGGCCCTCGCCCAGTGGAGCACCCAGCTGACAATAGCTGACACCCATTCGCCAGCTGCACAGATGGGGCCATGTGGACTTTCTGGACCCAGTTGAGGTGGCCTCAATGGGTGCCACATGGATCAGTGTGAGCACCTGCTGGGTCTCACCAAAATCATGCACATGTGAAGAGCAGCAGAAAGACGGCAGTGAAAAACTGCACGTTGGGGATGCCTGTTACACAGCAATTATTAACCCTACAGACCATTCGCAGCACAGTGGGATATACACAAAAGGTAGGAAACCAACCCCAGACCCTAACAGTGTCAGTGTTTAGGTAGGGAGAGACCCAAAAACGAGTACTTACACTAGAATATGCTAAGGGCAAAAATACAGTGTGTGCAAAGTGCTATGGTTCAAGAAGGATGAGAACGACTAACTTTACCAGCTGACAGAATTGAAGGGGGGCTTCCTGGAGGAGGTGACATGTGCTCTGGGTCCTCCAGTGATATTGCAACTTTCATGCATAGAACTCCAGAAAGTTTCTCATTAATTCCAGTGGTCTCCTGCTTCCAAGGAACTATTTCCTGTAGAGGCCAACAAAGGTCAGGGGACTTTCTCTGAAATGTTCTCCAGCTGGGGCAGAGATGGTGACTGAGAACTAAAACCATGTGAGAAATATCTCCAATGCCAGCAAGAAGATTGCCTCAACAGTGGATCATCTGCCTCTTTCAGTTTGGATTAAGAAATATGCCTTGGCAGGAGCTGTCTTCATCCTGCTACAAAATACCTGAAATGCACAGCCAGCACCCTGGCTGGAGCTTTCTTTTTGCCTCTTGAAGAGCAGAAATGCTCGGTTAGGTCTTCTCCTACTCATTTTCTCCCAGAGCTCCAAGAGCCCCACAGAGCCATTCAGCAGAGACACCCTGGGGAAGACTCCTCATTCAGCTTTTTCTCTGCAGGAGTGAAACCACGGATGAAGACGTTTGAATGCTGCTCTTTCTGCCAAGGAGGCCAGCTTCATGCACAGCTTCTTCAGCCCTCGCTGGTGTAACTTGTGGTTGGGGTGGGGCGGGGGGCGGCTGCTGTGTGGCCACTGGGCCTCCATCTGGGGGTGCTCGGGAATACTCAGCACACGTTGAGAGAGGGAACCAAGGAGCAGTAGTTCCCCTCCTGTCCTCTAGGGTCCAGCCATTCCCAGCTGTTGACGGAGCTCTCTCAATCTTCCCTGTTCCCAGCATCAGGGCCTGGAGTCTTCCCTGTTCCCAGCATCAGGTAGGACCAGTGAGGTCCAATCAACACCAGTCTGATTTAAGGTGAGCCTTTCTAGAGATGATTGCTGTAGGCGGAGAACTCTTTTCCACCTGCAGAGCAACTTTTCTTCAGTACTTAGCTCAAAATTCTTTTTTGTAAAGCTTTTTTTTTTTTTTGACCAATATTCTGCATAAGGGAGACTTAGAATCTCATCACTGAAATAATTCCCCCCAGTGCATTGCATGCCTTTGCATTTTCAAAAAACTCTTACTTATGTATATGTTGTATAGTGTACGATGTTGGCACACAAGTGCATCTATTTAACCTGATACAGTCATACCTATTAATGAATTGCATGCTCAAAAATTACTTATAATTAGGAGTATAAGATCAAAGATGTTTGGAAACTAATGATATATATTGATTTAATTAGCCATGTCCCTATTGATAAACTTTTGGGTTGTTTTCAGTGTTTTTCTCTTATAAATAATACTGCAGTGAGTAAAACCTTGATGCCTTTTTCTGAGTTCTCTTCTCAGCCACTACAAATGGAACTGCTGTTCCATAAAGTGTAAACATTTATGAATTGAATGGAAAATTCCAAATTGCTTTCCAAAGTGTCTGTACAGGGCTGGGCACCATGGCTCATGCTTATAATCTCAGCACTTTGGGAGGCCGAGGTGGGAGGATCGCTTGAGCCCAGGAGTTTGAGGCTGCAGTGAGCTAAGATTTTTGCTACTGCACTCCAGCCTGGGTATATCAGTCTGTTTTCATGCTGCTGATAAAGACATACCTGAGACTGGGAAGAAAAAGAGGTTTAATTGGACTTACAGTTCCAGATGGCTAGGGAGGCCTCGGAATCATGATGGGAGTCAAAAGGCACTTTTTACATGGCGGTGGCAAGAGAAAATGAGGAAGATGCAACAGCAGAAACCCCTGATAAACCCATCAGATCTTGTGAGACTTATTCACTACCATGAGAACAGTATGGGGGAAACTGCCCCCATGATTCAGTTATCTCCCACCAAGTCCCTCCCACAACACATGGGAATTATGGGAGCACAATTCAAGATGAGATTTGGGTGGGGACACAGAGCCAAACCATATCACTGGGTGACAGAGTGAGACCCTGTCTCAAAAAAAAAAAAAAAAAAGCAGCATCTATATCAATGTATACTCCCACACAGAGTGTGTAAGAGTCTGTTTTCCCTGCATCCCCATTCACCTGTGAGATTATGAAATGCTTGAATTGACACTGACCTGAAATGAAATCTTATTGTTGTTTTCATGTGCATTTCCTTAATTCCCAGTGGTATGAATATCTTTTCCCAGGTTTAATGGCAATTTTTATTTCCTTTCCAGTGAATTGCCTGTTCATAGTGCTTGCCTATTTTCCATTGGGTTATATTTATCTTTTTCTTATTCTCGATACTATTCCTTGTCTGTTACATGGGTTGCAAATATTTTCAACTTCCTCTTCTATGGTGGTCTCCTCGAGAAGTCCATGCAGTCACTGAAGCCTGGGATCCTGTCGTTGGAATCTCTGACCCTCTGATATCTGGCCCCTCGTCTGCCACAGAGTTGGGTGTGGCATTTGCTGAGGAAATGTAGGAAGGATTCGCGGAGCTGAAGCCACTTGTTTGGCTCTTCTAAGCTGGAGTCTGGCAGCCTGCACCCCCTCAGTACACAACTCAATTTTTCTCAACCTTTTCTCAATGGCATAAAACCATAAGCTATACATCACCCCCAATACATCTCTTCGGGGAATCTGAATAAAACATCTGCTTTCTCCATTTCCTCATAACTTTGTTCCTTTATGACTTGGCACTGCTTAGATCGCCCTGAACCAGAGCCCCCTCGAGCTAATGCAGTAAAAAGAGAAGATGAGAAGTCAGGCAAATCGACATCAGCTGCCTGGCTCTGAAACGCACTCCAGCTGGGTCTCAAATGTGTCTAATATCCTGGTTGGTCATTATCATGGCGAACTTTGCATTTTAAAGACTGGAAAGAGGTTCAGATTCAAGGAGCCCAGGATTTGTGGTAACTGCTGTGATGAGAATCCATCCTTTTCAAAGGAAAGTCAAAGTGAGCTGTGAAATACTGCGAAACCCACAGATGGAATGTGTCCTTTGCAGATGCAATAAAGGGTGTTTCCCCTCCCCTCCGGTGGAAGCAGGAGTCTGCAAGGGGCCTCACCACAGACATATGCTGCACATTTGTTCAAGGACTGACTGGGTTTTGGAACTCACTGTGATTTGCAAATTAAACATTTCTTTTGTTAGTGTTTAAAAGGAAAAATTAAAAAAAAAAAAAGATTCCCGGAATGGGGATTCCAACAGCGTTTTGATATGGTCTGAGCACTCCGTCTGAGCCCACACATATCCGCATTAATCAGTGGCAGTGACTTTATATCTGCTCCCTGATCTGGTGCAAACTTCCCTCTGACTCTCTAGAGCCCTCATGATCTTCCTGCAGCTCTAGCTCCCTTTTCTTCATAATAAGACCCTCAGCTTCTGGAGGGTGGGAGGTTTGGTGTTGTAAACTAGTGGTTCTCAACCAAGGGCAATTTTTCCCCCCGCAGGACATTTTTCATTGTCACAATTGGGATAGAGGAGGGTGTGCAGTTGGCATCTAGTGGGAAGGGCCATGAATGCCACTAAATATCCTAGCAGGCACCTGAAAGCCCCCATCACGAAGAATTACTGGCCTAAAGTGTCAACAGAGCCAAAGCTGAGAAGCCCTGGTGAAAATGCAGATGCCTATGGGGTGGGGTAAGTCATATCACTGAGGGTAGCAAGCTGGCGCGAGCGGGCAGTGTAAGTTTAGTCTCAGGGAGCGGTGGGGACTGTCGCTATAAGAAAAATCATACTCCTTCTCCATCCTGATCAATGCCATGTGCAATGCACCTCTGTCCTTTGCAAGAGAATTCAGAAATTCAGGTTTTTAGATAAAATGTGTTGATTTTAAAATCACTGCATGGAGTGAAAAAAATATATCTACTTTGGTCATCCAATTTCCCACGTTGGACCGTGACCTTGGACTCCCTCTAACCAGGCTGCAGTGAGGTAAGATTTATTAATACCTGCCAGGCTATTTCATGGGTTATGTTTGTTTGCTTTTATTTTTATTTTATTTTATTTCATTTTTTGAGATGGAGTCTGGCTCTGTCGCCCAGGCTGGAATGCAGTGGCGCGATCTCTGCTCACTGCAAGCTCCACCTCCCAGGTTCATGCCATTCTCCTGCCTCAGCTTCCCGAGTAGCTGGGACTACAGGCGCCCGCCACCACGTCCGGCTAATTTTTTGTATTTTTTTTTTAGTAGAGATGGGGTTTCACCGTGTTAGCCAGGATGGTCTCGATCTATCTGCCAGGCTATTTTCATGGGTTATTTTTATTTGCTTGTTTTTTAATCCTTCCAACAATTCACAGTATTATTCCCACTTTACAGATGGGGGAACTGAGGCTTGGAGAGATTACGTTGTCTGACCCAGGTCCCCCAGGCAGTACACATGGTGGGTTTGAACCTGTGTCTTTCTGGATCTCTCCTCACTGCCTGCGAACACGTGTGTCACAGTCTCTTTGCTGAACTGTTCCCTTTCTTTGAACCTCCCATCCTCTTTACTTAAATTTTAGTCACCTATCCAGGTCCAGAGCAGTTCAAACTTCTCCAAAGAGCCTTCTTGACCACATACAGCCCACTCTTATCTCTCTCTGGATTCATACAGCAAAGTGGATCAAGACATTTATCCTGGCTCATCTGGGTCAGTATCAATCAGCCCATCTCTCCAGCTTGAAGGCAGGGACTCAGTTAATCATTCTTCTCCTCTGCTTCCCTCTCTCCTGCCCAGCACAGAGGTAGGCACTCAGCAAAGAGCACGTGCATCATTTCTCTAAGTGGGCTCTGTGGGCCTTTTGTAGATCACCCCTGCAGGGAGAGGTTCTGCCATCCAACATATTTGGGAAGCAAGAAGTTTCCTTCCTGCAGGACTTATCAGTGCCTTTCCTACTATGTAATGTGCATTGGGATGCTCCAACAAAGAGAATATAAATTGCATTATCTTCCAAATGTATTTGAGAAGAGAAGCTGGGGGCCAGACGTTTGTTGGGAGGAGGGGTGGGTAATGCAAGAGGCATGTTCATGTTCTCCTTGCCCCAACACATATTCACAAAGTGACAGTTTTTCAGCAATTTTAAAGTAGTATGTTGACATGACAACTGATACATTCTTAATGGAAGACATTAGAGTAGAAACGATTTATTGATACAAGCCAGTATGTTGGACGTGTGAACAAAGCTGGGCTACGAGGCAGTGAGATATGTAGGGAGGGCAGAGCAAGGGCCTTCTTCATGTGTCTCCTTCCCCATCAACTGTGGCACTGAGGCCCGTGCATGGGCTAAGGAGGCTCCTTCAGGTGCTCGCCCCCAGGCTATAAGATGGCGCCACTGGCCACTCCACGAATGGAGCTTCGTTTTCCTTGGCAGCATTCGCTTGTGTGTGGTGCTAGCATTCCACTGAACAGGCTTCAGGAAGTTGGTTCAATTGTTGCAAGGCAGGGCTGGCATAGATAATCCCCTAAAAATAAAACTCCCCTAGTCACCTCTATTTGGAGTCATGTTTTTACGATCTCCCAAATTATAACTGTGTTTATCTATTACTAAAAAAAAAACTTTCGGCTGGGCATGGTGGCTCACGCCTCTAATCCCAGCACTTTGGGAGGAAGAGGCGGGCAGATCACTTGAAGTCAGGAGTTCAAGACCAGCCTGACGAACATGGCGAAACCCCATCTCTACTAAAAATACAAAAATTAGCAGGGTGCGGTGGCAGGTACCTGTGATCCCAGCTACTTGGGAGTCCGAGGCAAGAGAATCGCTTGAGCCCAGGAGGCGGAGATTGCAGTGAGCCGAGATCATGCCACCGCACTCCAGTCTGGGTGACAGAGCAAGACTCTGTCTCAACAATAACAACAACAACAACAACAAAAACCTCTTTAATTTTCCATTCTCAGGTAAGTTTAATAGGAGGAAAGGATCTACTTGGAAAGTCATTTGCATCTGATAATGGATAATAAGGCGACAAGTAGACTTTGAAGGTACAAACGAATTCAGATGGATACTCAAGTAAAAGGGTGTTATTGGTGGGCAGAACAGAAAAAGCAAAGCTGGGAGTGGGTACCCGGGGAGCTCAGACGGAGGTGAGGGAGGGCTGGTGAAGGAGGAATTGAGAATCCATGTTGACATACAGGCTGCGACCAGTGTGGGAGGTGGGGCCGGCAGCCTGCCTCGCTTCCAGGCATGACCTATATTCTAATTTCAAATGCATCCTTCTGTTCATACAAAAGAGGATTAAGATGAAAGCTCTCTTGGGGCATTTGGAGGAAAGAAGGGAGCCATTTAGGCTCACTCAGCTCCACTGGCGTGGAGGGAAGCGGGCCCAAGGCCAAGAATTTAACTGCATTTATTTTTATGGTTGGCTTTTATTTATGGCAAATGATACAGTTTTTTCATACTCGGTAATGACATAAAGTTTTCTCTTGAAATATATTTAAGAAGAAAAAAATGAGTTAATTTGAATATACAAGACAAACTAAATAATAATAGTATGTACTAATGACCTGCGGATATGGCAAACATGGTGAATGGTGTTTAGGAAACTCTTCCATGGCTACCTGAAGGCACTGCAGAGTCCTCATTTGAGGGGAGCCGCGAAGAAGGTGGTATTTCAAGCCTTCTAATAAGGCATCAAGGGCAGGACTAAAAGGGCAGGTACCTGCTTAACTGGAAGTGAGGAGGAGAGACTCATCCCAGGCCCTGGGGGGAGTTAAAGGCCACTGCTCTCTTTGTGACCCCAAGATGAGACCATAAAACTTTTAAAAGATCAATAGCCACTTCAGGAGGGCAAGGCTGGAGCGGAGAGCTGAGTTAATAAAAGCAGAGTGCACCGGTGGCGAGAGGCACAGTTCAATCCCTTGATGGGCCAATTAGTTTCCGAAAGGAACATTTTCAAGGCTTGGGGACAGAACGCTCAGCCACTGTCACAGTCAGAGATCTCACAGAAGCACAGCTTTGGTTCCAAAGCAGCCTGGAAAAGCGAGTGTCACCGGGGCTTGGGGAAGGTTTGTCTCCCAGGTTCTCCTATCCCAAGGGGGGCCATGGCCAGAACCTCTGGGAACAAAATGATGATACATCCCCACTCTTAATGTACCAATTTTTCTCCCAACCGTGAAAAGAGACAGTAACAAATGGGACTAAGAGCACAGGTCCCTGTGGTGTACCCATACAATGGAATATTCTCCAGACATAAAAAGAAATGAACTACTGATACATGCTATCATATGAATAAACCATGAAAACATGATGCTAAGTGAAGGAGGTCCATCACAAAAGACCACATATTTTATGATTCCATGTACATAAAATGTCCAGAATAGGCAAGTCCATAGAGACAGAGAGCAGATTAGTGGTTGATGGGGGCTGTGGGGAGGGAAGAAGGTCAAATGCCTGCTAGTGGATATGGGGTTGCCTTTTGAGGTGATGAAAATGTTTAAGAATTAAACAGTGGTGATGGTTGCAGAAGTATGTAAATACACTAAAAACCATTGGATGGTACACTTTAAAAGGGTGAATTTTAAATATGTGAATTGTATCTCAATAAAATGTACCATGAGAAACAAAAACTAAGAGAGTGATTAATTTTAAGCACATTTGAAGTTTTCTGAACAGCTTTCTGCCAGCAAAATGAAAAAGATTTTCCAACATCATCATCATCGTCAACAACAACAACAACAATGTCGACAACCAAAGCATGGGCCTGGGAGTCAGAATCCTGCCTTCAAAACTCTGCCACCCCTTAGGTGTGCGATCACGGACAAATGGCTTAACCTGTCTCAATTTTCACATGTGTAACACAGAAATAATTGCAGAGGATGGATGTGACGATTAAGAGATGCATACCAAGTGCCAGCAAAGGCTGGCAAATAGAAAGTGTACAAGCATGTCGCTATTATCATTGATTACAAGCCATTAGTCACTCTATCCTAGTTACTGATCCAAGGGAAAGTCTCATGCCAAGGAAGATTAACTCAAAAGATAGGAACCATTGAACAAAGAGAAGCTGCCCACTCACGGGCTGTTTTAATTAACTGAGTACATATATAACTCAACTTCAAGCTGCAGAGGTGATCAGCCTCCCCTTTGCAATGGTTTGCTCTTTTCTGTTTCAATTTTAAGGGCTTCGGGAGAGAAGGCTTTGACTCTACCCTCACAGATACTGGGAGGCCACTGACTCCCCTCCCCTCCCCTCCCCTCCCCTTCTAATCTTTTTCAGAGTCTCGCTCTGTACCCAGGCTGGAGTGCAGTGGCGTGATCTCAGCTCACTGCAAACTCCCCCTTCTGGTTCAGGTGATTCTCCTGCCTCACCCTCCCGAGTAGCTGGGATTACAGACATGCACCACCAAGCCCAGCTAATTTTTGTATTATTAGTGGAGAGGAGGGTTCACCATGTTGGCCAGGCTGGTCTCGAACTCCTGACCTCAGGTGAGCCACTCGCTTCAGCCTCCCAAAGTGCCATTCACTTTTCAGTTTAGGTCCTGACCATGAATTGTACCACAGGGACATTCATGATGCCCAAGAAAGGTGCAAGATATCAGCTGCAGATAACTTAGTGGCCACATATTGTAGGAAATACTCTGACAGGCTTCGAAGTGGACCAAAAGACTACTGAGTGTCATGAATGGTAAACTGTGCCACGTTTGGAACACATCTTTCCTGTTATTTGATTCTATGATGTTTGTATAGTGCGTCGTCCTTGACCTATTTTACAATTCCATAACTTTTAAATAAATGATAGCAATGGAAACAATTCTTGTCAATAGACATACAAATAAATTATGTTCAGTGGAGGGGCAATTGTTGCCCTCCACACCCATGTATAAAAGTCAGCTTTTCACCCACTTATAAATTTATCTCATGGTCTGTATATTTCTCTGCCTTTCATTGATAAAATTTCCTTTGAAATCCTACATTTTATAGACTCATGAATCGTTAAGTAAAATATTTGACACATGTCCTTTTTTTTCTTTTTTTTTTCTTTTTGAGACGGAGTCTCACTCTGTCGCCCAGGCTGGAGTGCAATGGCGCCATCTTGGCCCACTGCAACCTCCACCTCCTGGGTTCAAGCAATTGTCCTGCCTCAGTCTCCCCAGTAGCTGGGACTATAGGTGCACATCATCATGTCCAGCTAATTTTTGTATTTTCAGTAGAGATGGGGTTTCACCATGGTGGCCAGGATGGACTCGATCTCTTGACCTCGTGATCCGCCTGCCTTGGCCCCCCCAAAGTGTTGGGATTATAGGCATGACTCACCATGTCCGGCCTCTCTTTATATTTATAAGGTATGATGACTTTGCTGTGTTTAAAAAAATTATCCTGTAACAATGTAAATGCTGGTCAAAGGTATTATTCCATAATCCTACTGCCGAGAAAGATAAAGCATAGGACTGTCCACATTACAAAGAAAGACACAGCGAGGAATTGTAGTGCATATAGCGGGAGGCACAGATGAGAGAGGAACTTGCATGGTTTTTATTTTATTACCTGTTATCTCTGCTATAGCCTGTTTTGCACCTACTGACCCCTAGAAAAGGGGCCGCAAATACAAATGTCTTCAGAGACCAGTCAGATAATGGAAATATGTGAAGAGGCTGGACCTAAAGTAATGAGGAGTGGCAAGGACAACTGGAGAATGCATTCTCTGCCTGCACTGGCCAAATTCAGTGAAGAAACTCAAAGCACCAGGCCCTTTCTTTATGAGGGCCAAGGAATCAGTCCCTGGTGCCCCAAGGTAGCATGGTTTTTCCACTTGGAACCACCCAAGCCCATCAATCTAGATCTTATGGAACAATCCAGTCTACACGGAAACACTGCCAATTTACCGGAACTGAAGTCTCTCGCCTGCCCTCCAGAAGGGGGCCACTGGGAAGGACAATTGAACTTGGCCAAAGAAACAGAGTGACAGCATGCCTAGGAGCAAGGGCTTCAGATCAGTCAAATTCAGGTGGGGCAGCAGTGCCGCCACGACGGAACAAGAAGTCATGTGCAAAAGTGGCTTCACCTGCTCCAGCCTTGGTTTCCTCATCTGTAAACAGGAGATAATAACGGTTTCTCTATGGTAGGGATGCTGTGAAGATTAAATGATAGCAGCGAAGCGCTTCAGCCAGTACCCGGCATGTAGCTGGTGCTTGAGAGACATTAGCTATTATCATACAAATGGTGCTCCAAATATTAGCATTGGAATGAGCCGTAACTAATAAGTATTGATTAGCACCATGCATAGACAGGATGCTCTGAGCGATATAAAAGTGAGTGAGGAAGAATGCACAATGGAGCAGGGAAATAGAAGTGTCCAGCTCAGATCTGCCAGGAGCAAGGAAGTGGCGTTCTGGCCCAGGGCCCAGCTGTGGAGAGCATGTGGGTTCCAAATGGGGCAGGCTCCTCTGGACTGTGTGGAAAGTGCCCTCGGTAGTGGACATCTGTTCAGTCTGCCCATCAAGCATGTATTCTGTTTTTCCAATAACAGCATCCAGTTTTCCTTGGGGAAACCTCTCCACTCCTCTTTGGTACTAAGGGCTCTGCAAATGGAGTCCTATTTTCACCACTCTCTTTTTTTTTTTTTTGATTGCAAAAAAGTAAAATAAATTTATTGTAGTAAAATATGCATAGTAGATTTACCATTTAACCATTTAAGGGTACAGTTCAGTGGCAGTAAGTCCATTCAAATTGTGCAACCATCACCACCATCTGCCTCAAGAACTTTTTCATCCTCCCAAACTGAAACTCTGTCCCCATTGAACATTAATTCCCCAATCCTCCCTCCTCCAGCCTCTGGCATCCACCATTCTACTTTCTGTCCCATGAATTGGACTGTTATGGCTTCTTTTTTTTTTAATCTTTTTTAAAATTTTTAAAAAATTATTATACTTTAAGCTCTAGGGTACATGTGCACAACATGCAGGTTTGTTACATATGTATACATGTGCCATGTTGGTATGCTGCACCCATTAACTCATCATTTACATTAGGTATATCTCCTAATGCTATCCCTCCCCACTCCCCCCACCCCACGACAGGCCCCGGTGTGTGATGTTCCCCGTCCTATGTCCAAGTGTTCTCATTGTTCAATTCCCACCTATGAGTGAGAACATGCAGTGTTTGGTTTTCTGTCCTTGTGATAGTTTGCTCAGAATGATGGTTTCCAGCTTCATCCATGTCCCTACAAAGGACATGAACTCATCATTTTTTATGGCTGCATAGTATTCCATGGTGTATATGTGCCACATTTTCTTAATCCAGTCTATCATTGATAGACATTTGGGTTGGTTCCAAGTCTTTGCTATTGTGAGTAGTGCCACAATAAACATATATGTGCATGTGTCTTTATAGCAGCATGATTTATAATCCTTTGGGTATATACCCAGTAATGGGATGGCTGGGTCAAATGGTATTTCTAGTTCTAGATCCTTGAGGAATCGCCACACTGTCTTCCACAATGGTTGAACTAGTTTACAGTCCCACCAACAATGTAAAAGTGTTCCCATTTCTCCACATCCTCTCCAGCACCTGTTGTTTCCTGACTTTTTAATGATCGCCATTCTAACTGGTGTGAGATGGTATCTCATTGTGGTTTTGATTTGCATTTCTCTGGTATCTTCACCACTTTTAAACCCTATGTTTCTAGTGGGACCAAGTCACTGGCTTCAAGAAGTGGGCATGTGACCCAGGCCTGGCCAATCGGAGGCCAGCAGAGGCCACAGTGGGCATGTGACCCAGGCCCAGCCAGTTAGAGGCCAACAGAGGCCACAGTGAGCATGTGACAGGTCTGGCCAATCAGAGGCCAGCAGAGGCCACAGTGGGCATGTGACCCAGGTCTGGTCAATCAGCAGAGGCCACAACTTGTCATGTGACCCAGGTCTGGGCATGTGACACAGGTCTGACCAATCCAAAATCAGCAGACGCCACAAGTAAGCATGTGACCCAGGCCCGGCCAATCAGAGGCCAGCAGAGGCCACAGTGGCCATGTGACGCAGGCCCAGCCAATCAGAGGTCAGCAGAGGCCACAGTGGTCATGCGACCCAGGCCCAGCCAATCAGAGGCCAGCACCAGCCACAGTTGGTATGTGACCCAGGTCTGACTAATCAGAGATCAGCAGAGGCCACAAGTAGTCATGTGACCCAGGTCTGGGCATGTGACACAGGTCTGGCCAATCTGAGATCAGCAGAGGCCACAGTACGCATGTGACCCAGGCCTGACCAGAGACCAGCAGAGACCACAGTGGGCCTGTGACCCAGGCCTGGCCAACCAGAGGCCAGCAGTGTGGCACAGTGGGCATGTGACCTAGGCCTGGCTAATCAGAGATCAGCAGAGGCCACAATGGGCGTGTGACACAGGCCTAGCTAACCAGAGATTAGCAGAGGCCACAGTGGGCATGTGACACAGGCCTGGCCAATCAGAGACTAGCAGAGGCCACAGTAGGAATGTGACCCAGGTCTGGCCAATCAGAGGCCAGCAGAGACATATGATTGGTTCAGGGATAAGCAGGTGACTCAATCACAGCCAGTAATTCTCTACCCTGGAATGTTTTGTGTGAACAGTGGAGGAGCAGTCATGGCTTTTTCACTTGATTTATATCTAAGAAGATGAAGACCTGGTACGGGGGAAAGGAAAATCTGCCTCTAAGTGGAGTCAGCACAGAAAATATACCTACTGCAAGACAAGAAGGCACCTCTTAATGGAATAGATCTGAGTTCCTGCATCCAACCGTGCCTAACTGGATTCTCTTGTGGACTCTGCAACAGATTTCAGTTAGATTTTCTGTCTCCTATAACCATGAAAGCCCTTATTAAAATACTCCCTTTAAAGGACAAACACTGTGTGATTCCTCTTACACGAGGTGCTTAGATGAGTCAAATTCATAGAGACAGAAAATAGAACCATTACCAGGGGCTGCGGGGAGGGGGAGTGGGGAATTAGTGTTTAATGGGTACGGAGCTTCCGTTGAAGATAAAACAACATTTTGGAGGTGGATGGTGGTGATGGTTGCTCAACAGTTTCATTGTATTTGATGTCACTGAACTGTATGCTTAAATGTGGTTAAAATGGTCAATTTTATGTTATGTATATTTTACCACAATAAAAATATTCATTAAAAAACATTCTCCTTTGTAGAAGACTGTGTCAGTTACAATATTTTGACTGAACACTCTAGAAACCTAAACTCAGACTGGATTAAATGATAGTGAGATGTACCTTTTCAGCAAATAAAAAAGGGTAGAAGGCAGGCAATAAGGGTTGGTTAATTCGGTGACTCCGCAATGTCATCAAGGACACAGAGAGTTTCCAAGTTTCTGTTCTACCATCCTCAGAACACTGGCTTTTTATTTTTTTGGCCTTGTCTGGTATAGTTTCAAGGTAGCTAGAGCAACTCCAAGCCATTAAACCTCCACATGACTACATCCAAAAGCCCAAAGAAAGCATGTCCCTCCTGTCTCCTGGGCCAGCCACTGTTGGTTGCTTCCCTGACATCCATCCTTTTCTTCTTTCTTGCTAACAAAGCCCTGATCTTTTCAGGGTGGTAACGTGCCAAAGTGAAAATAGTAACTTCCCCAGACTTCCTTATTGCTAGGAGTGGCTCTACGGGTCCCATTCAGCCATGAGATATAAGCAGATGTCTACTGGCTGAACTTGCAAGGAAGCTATTGTTTTTCTTATCCAAAGAGGCAAACAGCGCCAGCCTTCACCTACTTATTGCCTTAGCCATACATCTTCCTCCATTTGCTCTACCTGGAACACAATAAGATGCCTGTGGGTATAGCTGTCATCCTGTGAGCATGAGAAAAGCCACCACATGCCATAGATGGCAGAGCAGAAAGAGAAAAGGAGCCTGGGTCCCCTGGCGTTGTGGAGACACTGAGCCAGCCACAGCCTAACCCTAGCCTCTGAACTTCATGCTGAGTCAAAGGAAAAAAAAAAGCCGTGTTTCGTTAGGCCTCTGCAATCTAGTTTCTGTTCATGGCATCAGTAAAAACACCCATTAGGGGAGTGACACGTAAAAAAGAAGGCAAAACCAAGCAAATTCTGGAATGAAGTCTAACCCAAGACCCATTCATCAGAGCAGTTTTTCTCTGACGTGCATGTCAAAACAAGATTTGTAAAGGCCCATGAATGCACTCACGTGTTGTGAATTACTTGGAAAAGAAACTGACAAGAGAAAGCACATCCCCAGTGGCTGTGCTTCACCTAAGTGTCAGAATGCGTCTTGCATCTTTTCTCAATGTGACCACAGTGTGAGTGTGTGGGGGGTGCGGGGGTGGGGAGGTGTAGATATTTTTCAGCCCTTGAATTTTCTTTCTTTCACCTTTCCACTCCTCTCTGGTGCTAAGGAGCCTAAGACGAGAAGATAACCCCAGTTGTATTCACGGTGGGTTATATGCTTTTTCATATTTTTCCTAATATGGACAGTGTTTATTCTCCATCTCTCCTTTCACTTCTCACGTTAACGGCAATGATAATAAAAGAGCATCGAAAGTGATCAAAGAAAATATAGTGAAGAAAGAAAGAATCCAGGGGCTTGGAGACCAGAAGAGACTTCAATGTATCTGAGGTTGGTTTTTTATTTTATTTAATTTCTTCTTTTTCAGTATTTTGTGATTTTGGCAAAAGATGGAATGCGATCAGGGCTCTATCTGAGGCAGCTGTGTAAGCAATCCTCATTTAACTGGAGACAATGAAAAATTAATCCAAGCCCAGTGTGGCTAAGTTTTCACAGAACCAATGCAACCCCTTGAATATTATCATCCTCAACAGATGTTTGCTGACTGTCTTGATTTACCAAATTACCTGTCAGGTTTTACTACTCTCTCCACAAGCCGCTCTAGTGTGGGCTCTGTCTTCATGTCACCTGGTTAATAAAAAGCTGATGGTATAAATGGAAAATGTAAATTGTGCTTTCTTTTCTTTTACTTTCTTCCCCTCCCCTCCCTTCCTCTACTCTTCACTCCTTGGTTAAAAAATCTGTCCACTATGTATATATTTGCTGTAGTAGGTGAAAGACTTTTTCTTTTTTCACCATTTAAGAGCTCATTAGTGCTTTTAACATCTGTCTTTGTAAGAAAGGCAGAGTAAAAAATATACTTGGGCCTGATTTTTGCTGCAGGAAGGAGACCGAAGAAGGCCTGTCAGACCCAGATATGTTTGTCCTGATTAAAAAAATCATAACTGGCCCCTGCTTCTCTCTCTGACCTTAACCACCACCTTATCCCCTCAGGGGGCCTGCTCCAGCCCTGCTGGACACTGTGGAGACTCCCAATTCGGTCCCAAACTCAGCTCACTGTGCCCTCTGCCTGTGCTCACACCCTTCCTATTCCAGTGTCAAACATCACCTCCTCAGAGAACTGGGTTGACCGCTCCAACTCAGCACGCCCCCGCTCACCTGCTTCAGTATCTCTCATGGAATGTGTCCTCAACTGGCAGGTCACATGTCTACCTGTGTCCTCTCCTCTCTAGATTAAAAGCCATGAGAGAGCAGGGTCTCAGTCTCTTCCGTCACTCAGTCCTAGAAGAGTGAGTGCCCAGCGCAGAGAAGGATCTCAGTAAATATTTTTAAATGAAGTAAAGATTGCATAAAGAACCCATGGTAACAATCCTTTTCTGGCTTCACATTGACTGTGGTTTTCACTGGGCAGATTGTTTCTGAGAGATGGGCACTTTGGATCTTGTTAGTAGAAAGCTGAGGGACACGGGGCTCGGGGTTTCATGACGCCTGTTTTGTGCGTCCACCTCACACCTGGCTTCACCTCACTTTCCCACCTTCATTCTCTCCTTGTCAGTATCAGGAGAGGTTAAGAACATAGATTCTGAGCTAGTTGAAATCCCCACTCTGCCACTTGCCAGCTGTGTGACCTTGGAGCATTTCTTAAACGCTCTGGGCTTCAGTTTCAGCATCTGTAAACCAGAGCTGATAACCACACCCACCTCGTAGGGATGTGGAGATTAAATAAGTCTGCATAAAGTGCTTAGAATAATGCCCAGTCCACGGCAAGTACAGGGTAAGTATTTGCTATGATTATTTATTTGAAATGTGTTTTGGCTTCCTATATTGGAGACAGTATTGTAAATTGTCTAAAATCCTTTGTGGAACAAGGTATGAGCATAAATAATAAAGCTGTTGGAGTGAAGCCAGGAGAATGCATCCTTGCTGCTATGAAAATCTATGATTCTTTTTTCCAGTTTCATATCCTCTGGCTGCCCCTGAAGGTCTTCATCATTAAGGGGCACCATGAAAAGCGTTTGGTCTGTAAGTAAGAGAGAACTGCTCCCTTCTTTAATGGCAAGATGACATTGTTAAGAGGTGTTTTTGAAAAGAAACGAAGCAATCACACTGTTTAGTAAATGTACTCCTGGCATCATTTGTTCCCTAAATCACAAACCCATTCTGCACACCGAGGCACTGTGGAGGAGGCCAGCAGTAAATGTCTCTGCATGAGGTCCACCCCTCAGGAAGGGCTGTGTAATGGACATTGGCTCCTGCGTCATGTAACTTAGGGGGTCCTTTCATCTCTATCTCTAGGCCACGTGGCTGAGATGGGGCTCCCACGGTGCAGCACATGGCACAGGCTTAGCAAATCGAATCAGCACAGCCCATGCACAAGGCATTGGATCTTGTTCAGAGACAGGCATTGTAGCCTAGAACCTTCACATCAGACTGGTCGTCAGAACTCTGGCATGGCCACAGGAACAGAGCTGCTTTCTGCCCTGCTGGACTCGAGCTTGGAAAGGTCAGTGGGGTGGAGACGATATGCCTATCATCCTGCCACGTGAAGCATGAGAATGACTCCAGTGGAGGAGAGCAGAAAGAAATCAAAACACCTTAAAGTGGAGGAGGCCACTTTCTAGTGACATATTCTTTTCCTCAGCTTTATAGAGATATAATTGACAAAGACAAATTATATTAATTCAAGGCATACAACATGATGACTGGATATACATACTCACTGTGAAACGATTACCGTAGTCACCTCTATCACTTTCCATAGTTACCAGTTGTGTGTGTGTGTGTGTGTGTGTGTGTGTGTGTGTGTGTGTGTGTGTCTATGGGTATGTGGACACTTATGATCTCTCTTAGCAACTTTCAAAGTAAACAACACAGTATTATTAACTACAGTCATCGGGTGACATACATTGAACTACTAAATCCCCTTGTGTAGAATTCAAGCTTACTCCTAGTTTGCTAGGTTCTTTTTTTCAATTGAGTTTGGGTTGGCACTTCTTTCTCTTGCATTGAAACAGCCTTTTTGGATAAAGATAGGTCTGTGTGAAACACTCCTTGAAGGAGACATTATGATGTTCTGATTTGGATGGGGTCTTAGAAGACTGGCTATCCTTGAGTGGTCCTGGAAAACTTGAAAGTGGGTTGGGATGTTTTCTAAAGGGTCAATAAGCTGAATTTGCTCTTCAAAATGATGCATCCCTTTGGTATTTTGTTCCCAAGTTTCTAGAAGTGAGGATCCCTGAAACATCTAAAAGCAACACAATAACCACAACTATACCAACATTAAGCACAATGATAATGCTTCATGTTTCCCAGGAGCCTTTAGAAGCACATTAATTTAATTTTCAAAGTAACTGTAGGTGGTGGATGCTATTAATGTCATCACTATTTTAAAGACGAGGAAACCTAGACATAGAGTTTAGTAACTTGTTAAATTTCAGTTACTAAGTTGAATGTTGGAACCCGAACCCTGGCAGTCTTTTCTGAGTCTAAGCTCTGAGGCACCATACAGTACGAACTACGTGATGTGGCAGTGCAGCTGGGAATGTGGCTATTTATCCACCCATTACTCCTCTGATGGAAGATTCAATCAAAGAGATCAATCTCATGTAAGGATGGCGTCACTCTGCCATTCAAACTCAGAAGTAATTTCATGGGCGTTTTATGTCAGTTTGATATGCTCTAGAAACAAACAAAGCAAATACCAACAGCCAGGATCTTTCCCTCTATGGTGTGGCTGCAATCAATATAGGGCCAAACACAATGTTTCACATTTTCAGGTAATGGTTGAACCAACCCAATACATTTAAATAAAACGAGCAAAGAAATAACATTCTCAGGTCCAAAAAGTCAATAGGTTCTTTAGGAAAACCTCCCCCAAACAATATAGGTTTCAGAAATATGCACACAAAATGTCAATCATTTTTTTTCTATATTAGACCTATGTTCATCCTCATGTTATCCTCTTTAGTAGCATTCTTTAATCTGAAAGCCTAGAATGCAAGGGACTCTGAAAGCTCAGAGACAGCTATTGATTAAAACTTTTTTTTTTTTTTTTTTGGTTAGGCTTGGTGTCTCATGCCTATAATCCTAGCACTTTGGGAAGCTGAGGCAGGTGGATCACTTGAGGCCAGGAGTTCAGGACCAGCCTGGCCATCATGGCGAAACCCCATTTCTGCTAAAAATACAAAAACTATCTGGGCATGGTGGCACACGCCTGTAATCCCAGCTACTCGGAAGGCTGAGGCAGGAGAATTGCTTGAATCCAGGTGGCGGAGGTTGCAGTGAGCCAAGATTGTACCATTGTACTCCAGCCTGGGTGACAGAGTAAGACTTTGTCTCAAATTCTTTTTCTTTTTTCTTTTTTTTTTTTTCACCTATTTAGATTATATTATGTTACTGACCTTCATGCAGTTCTTAAGAGTCAAACTATGGAATTTATGCTGAATTTTGGAAAAAGGGATCCCCAAATAGATGGTGAATTTCTTGGAAAGAATATAGCATTTTGGAGATAGAATACCATTTGTTTCTTCTACTCTGCTAGGTGGTTTTGGATGAGTTACTTTTAATGCCCTTAAATATCAGTTTCTTCACCTGTGACATGAATTCCCACTACCCCGTCCAGCTCTCAAAGGTTTATTGTGATGATCAAATGAAATGATATCCATGGAGATGCTTTTTGCAAATTATAAAGTTCCATAAAGACATGAAGAACTTCTTATATTTACATTTTCCTATTGACTATTTTTTAATACCAAGAGTTTATACAAGCAATTCTAGGTCATCTGTAAGAACACTGTGAGTTATGCATTGCTGCGAAAGTTTACCCTAAAATCTGTGGTTTAAAACAACTCACATTTATCATCTCAAAGTTTCTGTGGCTTAAGAATCCTGAAAAGCTTAGTTCTGTCCTCTGCCTCAGGGTCTCTCAAGGCTGAAATCCAGGTGGTAGGAGAGGCCGGGGTCTTATATGAAGGCATAGTTGGAGAAGGATCTGCTTCCAAGATCATGTCGTTGTTGAGAGAATTCTGCTCACCATGGGCTATTGGGCTGGCAGCTTCAGTTCCTTGTTGACTGTTGGCTACAGACCACCTTCAGTTCTCTGCCAGGCGGGCTCTGCCAGCACACAGGCCAAGAAGACAATGGAGTCTGCTAGCAACACATAAACCCCAGGCTTTGCCACCTAATCATGGGAGTGGCATATCACTATTGGTTAGTTAGATATCCCATAATATTTTTGTTAATTAGTTATAATAATTATTATCTTTCTCAGACCATTCTCCATAACAATATCCCATAATATTGGTTAAAAACATTGCCAGTCTAGCCCGTGGAAGAGGACAGGATTGTTTAAAGGCATGACTACCAGGAAGGGGGGATCCCTGGAGACCATGTCAGAAGCTGCCTCCCACAAACAAGAATCCCTGGCTTTCCTAATATCAGCAGCTCTCATTTTGGGCCAAGCATGTGGCACTTGTCAAATTATTTGCTCTTGAGGGCAATCTCATGAGGTGAGAAATACAAGTTCCCTTTTAGAGATAAGGAAACTGAGGCCCAGAGAAGTGTCTTCCCTGAGTTGTACGAGATGTAAGTGGCAGAACTGATTTTAAATGGCAGATGTTATCTCTCAACCCCGTCACTGCACTTACATTGTTTTCTGGAATATGGGACCCATCGTACCCATATCTCAGGGTTGATGTAAGAATCAGAAAACATCATGGTTGAACTGGAATTCCTGCAAAGAAGCAGCACGGGGTGGGCATAAAGCACTGCTGGACAGTGCTGGCCTTGACGCTCCCCAGGCCAGGCGGCACAGTTTGTACTTGAATCTCATGCTGGCTTGCGGGGCACTGCTGGAGATGATGCTGTGATGGCTGAAGCCTCTCCTCACTGACTGCAAAGCCGTGAGAAATAATAATTACTATTTCTCAACACAAAGGTGTTGTGACCCGCATATCTGTGCCCCCCTAAAATTCATATGTTGAAACCCTAACCCCCAATGCAATTGTACTGAGAGGTGAGGCCTTTCAGAGCTGAGTTAAGTTTAGATGAGATCTTGAGCATAGAGCCTCCACAATAGGACTCACGTCCTTATGAGGAGATAAAGAGCCCGGAATGCTCTCTCTGCCATGTGAGGCGCAAGGAGACAGCAGCCTACTGCAATCCCAGAAGCAGCCCTCCTCAGACAACAGGTCTGCGGTGCCTTTATGCCTTTATCTTGGGCTTCACAGCCTCCAGAACTTTGAGAAATAAAGGTTTAGCCATTTATGCCTAGTGTTCCATTATTGGAACACTAAGCATGTGGGAGTTATTTACATCCTATTGCTCAAGGTCATCGCCAAGGTCTGAGTGCAAAAATTCAAAAAATTGCAACCTCAGGCATAAATGGGTTAAGCCGACCAATCTGTGGTATTTTTGTTTGAGCAGCCCAAATGAACTAAGACAAGAGATAATATTTATTGAGGATTTGCTAAGCGTCAAGCACAGTTCTAAGCTTGTCACATTTTTACATTACTTGTCATCCCCATAACAATCTTATGAGATCCCCATTTTATGTGTGAGAAATCTGAGGTCTGAAGAGTCATTCTTCCGGGAATGTACACTGCCCAAATTCAATCACATCAGACCCAGACTTGCCCGAGAGCGCATGGCACAGTGCTAGGATAACAGCAGCAGCTCTACTAATGGGGGACATTAGATGATTGTATCATCATTATCATTATCACTCCAAGGAGCAAACAGGAGTCCTTGGCTTGTGGCAATGGTCGCCTTAAATATTAAAGTCTCTCTTTCTGCCGAGCAGCCCTCTGTGTTGTGCTGGTTCTTGCTCATGTGATTGAAAACTTTTACAAGCCCACTTCTGTCCTTTGCAGTTGAGCCCTCACCTTGCTGTCCAGATGACCTCCTTCCAGAATGGCCTCCAGGACCTGCCAAGGCTCTGGACCTCCTGTCTGACTCCCAGAAGTTCCTCTACTTCAGAGGACTCATGTTGGATTTCTTTCAACATTCATTCTCTGAGTATTTTCAGATTTGTACTTGAATTTGAGTAGAGACTATCAGCTGTCCCCTTCTTCCTCTGTGCCCTTTGGGCATGGCACATGGTTCACCAGGATACAAGATGACATTTCCTTGCTTCCCTTGCAGCTAGGCACAGCTGGTATGTCTGTTCTGTCATGGGACATGACACAGAGCTTCTGGGTCAAGAGCTTCTGGGTCCTGCACTTAAAAGAAGGCAGCAGGCTCCTGGCTTACCCTTTGTCCCTCTCCCTGGCTGGAGTTCATGGTGGTGATGAGCTATCTTGGATTGCACTGACTGTAGCAACATTTTGGGGTGATGGAGCCACAAGCTGGCAGGAGTCTGGGTACCTGCCACCTTTGCAGAGTGGAAGCTGCTACAAGAACTCAAACACACAAACAAGAGAGAAATCTGCTCTATCTTGATGAACCAGGGATTTGGGGGCTGCTGTCACAGAAGCTGATCCCTTTATCCTACTCAATCTACACCCACCATGGTTACAGGGGTGACCACTGTGGTTTTAAGATGGTCGCTTGCCCTTGTCTGCTCCACGGGAGGAAGGCGAGGCATGCAGAGCCTCAGCCCAGGCAGCCGGTGAAGTATTAAGGTGATTTGCTTTCATCCTACACTTAAGCTGCAGTGCTTCCTTCTAAGGTGGGGAAATTAAAGACATGATGAATGAGGCGTCTTTGCCATTTAGCCGGCCTAGTTTACACACCCCTGGTGAGAAAATACTGCATTGGAGATGGAACAAGCAGGGAATAATAAGGACCACTTATGAAGAATTAATGTGATGCTGAAAACAGAAAGAAAAAAAACTTATTAGGTTACCCAGGAAAGGCATGGAGAACAGCCTTACGGAACAACCTGTCATGATGTCTTTGAGAAAAGAAGTAAGAGGTCTGAAGGGCCAATTTAAAGTTATTAAGATAATCTCTCTATGTTAAGAGACTGTCTCTTTTCGTACCGCTTTTAAAAAATAGGTGTTGCTACGTTTTCTCCTGAACCACAACCTCAAATATTTTGCCAACTTAAGAGGCTTGGGTGTCATTTCAGAATGCTTGGCGCCAAGCCACATGGGCTTGTGCAAAGTGACAGAGGAGAGAGAGATGCGGTTTCCAGTTTTGCGGAGGCTGTAGTTTGGGGTAGATGGTGGTGGGAAGGTAGACGCGCATTGGATCCTTATTTGGGGTTATTGGGATAGTCTAACTGGTTGACGGTATCTTCCTGGATCACTCCCCCCAACACCCCACCCATCTCTTCTCTGCCCCACTGCCCTCCCTCGCTCTCCATCCTCCCATTGGCTGGGCTTGCAAGTACTAGCACACCATCTTGAATCATATCAACAAGGGCAGCCTCTAGTGCCAGGAGAAAAGAGACTGGGCTTCTGATGGCATTGCAGAGCAGAGGCACCAAACCACTTTGGATCTCTATGGAACAGAAAAAATTACGTTTTTGAAATTCATACCACTTTAAACAAAGTCTCTTTTGCAAGCAATTGGCCCATATCCTAAGTCATACACTTCTTTATGTGGGTTCCTTAACACTGCACACCTCTTCTTTATAGCATTTGCCATAGTTGCAACTGAATACTTTTTGGCATGCATCTTTTCTAACCAACAATGACGTCCACACGGTCATCGTCCAGACCTAATGAACCCTAATATGCCCACTGCTTAGAAGGCACTTAATAATTATTTGACTGATGAATATAAATACAGAAGTTCAGGTGCTTCCTCTAAGACCTTCCAATCAGGCTGCTGTAGTCAGAGGTCCCTAACTGGGAGGGTTTAACAGGCATGCAGAAGGCAGCGTGTGAAGACTCTTCCGTTTTCAAGCTTTTAGGGGAACAGCCTGAGCTTTCCTGCTCCCTGCAAGTCTCTGATTTCTGAGAGGCAGCCTGGCATGAAAAAATAAAGATGAAGAAGCTCTATATTTCCTTATGATTAGCAAATTTCAAGCTTGGGCAAAGCCATGAAGTTCTTGCCAACTGGAATGACATCTTAACAAAATGTCTATATGTCCAGCAGTGCCTAGTACAACATTGACATAAAAACTTTGCTTCATAAATCCCTCACTGCATGAAGAATAAATCCTCCCCCTGCCTTTATCACAGCTGTTGAGAGGAGGAGAGCTGGCAGGGAGGTCTGGGGGAAGGAAAGAAGCCATGGGGCATGACAGTAGCTTTGGTTTTTGCTTGCATTTCCCTTCCAAAACCTTGCGGCTCCATCATTGACTCCTAGGGCGCCCTTCTTTCAGCACATAGAGACTGTCTGAGCCTCTTCCTTTATCTGTACGGTGGGACAACAGGCTCTAATTCAATATATCATGACAAGCATCATTCATTTATCTAGTCATTCAGCATTCATACTCTCAACACGAGGGCTCTCTGATCCCATTTCTTCATCTGTAAACTAGAGACAAGATAACTCAACATATTGTTACAAAGATCTTTCACTCAGCAATACATGTATTCATGCAGCAAATATTTCCATCCCTTCCCTGTGCCAGGAACTGAGTTAAGCCCTAAACACACAGACGTGAGGGCGATAGGCACTTCCCTGCCATGGTGAAATCTGCATTCTCATGGAGAGACAGATGGCAAACAAAGAAACAAGGTGATTCCATACAGGTGAGTTCTAGAAATAAGATGAAGCAGGTGATCACCATGGTGGTCACAGATAGCCTCTTGGAGAATATTTAAGCTAAGATGTAGAAATTAGAATAATCTGGTCATGCAAAGAGTCCAATCAGAGGGAATGGCAGATCCAAGAGCCCTGGGGTAGAAACACGCTTAGCTCATCAGGGTCAGGTCTCCTGGAAGGCCACTGTGGGAGATGAGTTGCAAGTGATGGGAGAAGCATGGGGTAAGGTCCAGAGTGGGCAGGGGCCAGATCACTCAGGATCTTGCAGGCCACAACCAAGCTTGGGGATTTATCAGAAAGAAATGCAAAGATTGAGCCAACAGGAAGTTCCCTGATCTGACTGAGACAGAATCTCCCTCTGTTGCCCAGGCTGGAGTGCAATGGCACCATCAGGGCTTACTGCAGCTTCTGTCGCCTGGGCTGAAGTGATTCTCCTGCCTCAGCCTCTCCACTAGCTGGGACTACAGGCATGTGCCACCATGCCTGGCTAACTTTTGTATTTTTGTAGAGACAGGGTCTCACTATGTTGCCCAGACTGCTCTCAAACTCCTGGGCTCAAGCGATCCACCTGCCTCAGCCTCCCAAAGTGCTGGGATTATAGGCATGAGCCACCATGCCCAGCCTGATTTATGTTTTAAAGAGAACACTTTGGTCATTTTGAAAAGAAAGATGGTGCTGGCATTGGTGGAAAGAGTGGAACTAGAGAGCCCAGGTTAAGTGAGAATTTAGAGAAGACACAAGGTACAGCCTGCACATGGTCCCTGTTCATACATAGTAGCTGTCCCTGCAGCAGATCCAAGGGGGATGCACCAGTGACTCAGTGGATCCCAGGCTCACAAATACCATGCTAGAGCTTCCCAGGAGTCACGGGGCTGGCTCTGGCACAAAATCCTAAAAATCCATAGCACGATTTCCACGGTGAGTGGTAATCTCAGGCCACTCAATAGCCAAGTCATTTCTGAGTACATAAAATATGAGTCTCAAAGGATCAAACAGCTTATGAGGAACGTGTGGGTAAAGATGGTGGTGGTGTGAATGGGTGCCGTCTCTGTGCAGGGTAACATGCTAATATGCAATGTGTAAATGCCCACACCATTTTACTCAGCTAGTCCACTGCTGGAGTTTATTTCACGAATATGATCACAGAAGTACAAAACAGTCTTTGCATAAGGTTATTCAAAGCAGTACTTCCAGGCAAAAAAAACCCCAAAAAACCTGAGAATAACCTAAATGTCAGTTCATATGGGGGTTGGTTTATATAATTTACACTATATGCCATAATATACAGATGTTTGGAAAAAAAGAATAAAGAACTTTATGTACTAACATGGAAAAAATACAAGATATATTGTTAGATAAAAAAAATTGTTTGAAGTTGCAGTGGGAGAGGAAATGTGTGTGTGTGTGTGTCTGTGTGTGTGTTTGTGTGTGTATGTGTTTGTGTGTGTGTCTGTGTGTGTCTGTGTGTGTGTTTGTGTGTGTGTGTGTGTGTTTGCATATGCATGAAATATTTTCGGAAAGGTATGTGTTAAACTGCAAATGTTGATCACCTCTGGGGGCTTGCACTGGGTGGCTGGAGGCAGAAGTAGATATTTGTATATAAGTCTGTATACTTTTTGAGTTTGGAACTATGTAAATGTATTACATTTTACCCCCAAATAAATCAAGATTATAAAAATAACAAAAGTAGGAACAAGGGGGAATATACCTTAGGAAAGTGACAAATTGCAACAAGCCTAGGACCTTTAGTGTTGGCTTATAAATAGTCAAAGCAAAGAATAGTCAATCACCAGGTGCCCTCTGACTGGGCACTGCCCTCTCTTTTACCTACAGGTTGCCCTGAGGGTGGGAGTAAAGGCCAGAGCCAACCAGCCACTGAAAGGAAGAGGGAGGTGGACAGGATAGAGCTTCCAGTGGGAATTTGGAGTGGATCAAAGTCAGCAGGGCAGTATAGCTCAGTGGTTGGCATGTGCCACTGTATTAGTCTATTCTCATGCTGCTAGTAAAGACATACCCGAGACTTATGATTTATGAAGGACAGAGGTTTAATTGACTCTCAGTTCAGCATGGTTGGGGAGGCCTCATGATCATGGTGGAAGGCAAAGGAGGAGCAAAGTCACATCTTACATGGTGGCAGGTAAGACAGCATGTGCAGGGGAACTGCCATTTATACAACAATCAGATCTCATGAGACTTATTCACTATCATGAGAACAGCATGGGAAAAGCCCAGCCCCATGATTCAATTCCCTCCCACCGGGTCCCTCCCATGACATGTGGGGATTATGGGAGCTACAATTCAAGGTGAGATTTGGGTGGGGACACAGCCAAATCACATCAGCCACCAAGGGAAAATAGTGCTGTGTCTCTGCCACAATTATAATGCAAGATATTCTGTACCACTGTGTAAAAAATGTCAGGAAGAACTTAAGGAGGCCTTGTTCCATAGAAAACACAACTAACACTCCAGGTGGGCACCCCTCATATACTAACCCACTTAATCCTCACAAGCACTCCTCAGCAAAGGTACTATTATTACTTATCATCTCATTTTCATGTAAGAGCCAAGGAGACTGACTAATGTGCGCGAAACCGCGCGACTTCCACGCAGAAGAGCCAAGATGTGAATCCAAGTTGCCGGGCTGGCTCAAGAGGCCACGTTGTTATTTGTGGCGCCATATTGCTTTGTGGAGTACTTGAAATTTGGGCACGATGTCAGCAAACACTTGACCTCTGATGTAGAAAAAAGATCCATTAAATTAAAAATAAAAAGGCAACTGCTCATTTCTACTGCAGTTTGCCACTGTCTTGTGAAGATCAGCCAGATATGAGAAGGAGCCTCAATAACAAGAGTCTGTGAAATCTGAAGGGTTTTCCAAAGTGGATGAACTTTGCATAGCATGGTGGCTCAGTGGTGGCTGAGAAGACTGTGAATATGTTCTCTGAGACACACAGAGCCTTGGGGATATTAGAAATCTAGTCCCAAAATCCTGCTCTAGTGTCCAGTTTGCTGTCTGAGGACCAGTAACAGAGGCATGGTTTCAGGGGGAGGACCTCACCTGTGCCTCTTGGTAAGGCAGGGTCTCTAAGGCGAGACATTAGTTCTGAAATGCACCTGCTTTATGTCAGAGGCCAGAGTATCAGCTTCCCAGCCTTCCCCTAAAACTAATTACTGGTCTGGCAAGAGCTTGAGAGACTTGTTAACTTGATACAATAAATCATTTCAGGACAGATGCTGAGAGATATATTTGCTTCATACATTTTCAGTTTTGACTGGGGACCACATGTCAGACTATGATGGGAATGAAGAAAGCAGAAACTCCTCATTCTGGCCATGAAATACCTTAAATGAGGCTTGGGTGCCAAAAGAAATAAGCTTCCAGAGGTAATGCTGGGCTGGGAAGTGGGAAGGGTCCCTTGGTGTAAGATGACAAACCCGTCAATATCTCTTTAATTAGGAATCTCTTCCTTGTTGGGGGAGAAGAAGGGGCATTTAGAACCATAAAGAAGAGGACTAAAATATTGACACTGATCTTTAGTAGCTGTTGGGCTTGGCAAGTAGTTGAACTCAGAGGAGTTCCCCTGTTTTTCACTTTCATGTTGCTATGCTACAAATCACCCCAAAACGTAGTGGTATAAAACAAAAGCAATCATTTTATTGTTTTTCATTGTTTCTGTGAATCAAGAGTCCTGGAAGGGCTTAGCTGGGTGTCTTTGGCTTGGGTCTCTCATGCAGTTGCTGTCAGATAGTGGCAGGAGCAGTCAGGGGCAGCTGGACACCATGCTCTATTCACAAGGCTCGGGGGTCCTCCTTTTGGCCTTTCCACATGGGATAGTTGGGCTTCCTCACAGCATGGTGGCTTTGGACAATAGGGCTCCCTCCATGTTGGTGCAGGGCGCTTTTATGATTTAGCTTTGAAAGTTACATAGCATCACTTCTGCTCAGCACTATGAGTCAACCAGTCACTACAGCCCACCCAGTTTCAAGGGGAGAAGACAAAGTTGCCACCTGTTCATGGGAGAGTAGAGAGGTTCCAGAAGAGCCTGTGGGTTGGGGACATGGAGAGTATGTTCCTTGGAATATTTCTGAAAAAAGTACAACCTATAACACAGAGTGTCATAATTTGAAAATGGATCATATTAATACTCACTGTATAGTGGAAATGGGTGATGGTGTGGACAAACTGTCCAACACTGTGCAGGTTCTCATGGGCGCCATGTCCTACACATCAGCTTTCACTGCCCAGCATCTATTCCTCCTCTATAGACACATCCTGACTTCCTTTGGGAAAATTCATTTCCTCCATGGTAGGTAGTCTTGATGGGATGATAAACTGTGGGGCTTGCATTTTGAAACAGAATCAAGCAATGGAGAAGCCCCTTCACCATTTCAAACATCAAATCGAGGCTTGGGATGCCAGATCTGGCCCTTCGGTCTCCAGTAAAATCTTCCTTCAGGCTCTTTCACAGCCTCTCCTCAACTGTTCCTCTCCCCTACTCTCCACCCACCACCCCAATGCCTCCAGCAAATTCTCTTGGAAGAGTTTAGTGTCTACAAATGACAGACAACTTGGGCCAGGCACAGTGGCTCAGGCCTGTAACCTCAGCACTTTGGGAGGCCGAGGTGGGAGGATCACTGAGCCCAAGAGTTTGAGGCCAACCTGGGCAACACAATGAGACCCTTTTTCCACACACAAAAAAACAAAAACTAGCTGGGTGTGGTGGTGCATACATGCAGTCCCAGTCACTCAAGAGACTGATATGGGAGGATCACCTGAACCCAGGAGGTCGAGGCTGCAGTGAGCCATGACCGTGCCACTGCATTCCAGCCTAAGTGACAGAATGAGATCTTGTATCAAAGAAAAAAAAAAAAAAAAGTTAGGCAACAACAATAACCTCAATGATCTTGGGCTTTAACAGTCAACGTTTGCCACAAACCCCTATGGAGTCCAGGAAGCCAAAGGCCTGAAGCCTACTGAAGGTGAAAAGGAGGGACAATTTTATGGAGACCCACACAACTTGTGTATCAATAAATTATCCTGCTGCAGATGCTCACAGAAGCCTGCTATAAGTTTTGCGTGTGTGGAGTGGGAGACGTTTTTAACTTGTTTTAGGAGGGGACCCAAAATGTAAGTTTATGCCATTGGTTGGGAGATTTTAATTTGTGGTAGTTTGCAATCTTCAAATATCTCTTACAGAAGGCAGTTGGTCTGAGCAATTTCCTTTAGGGAAAAGCAGATTATTTTAGCACTTCATTCCTCTAAGCACTGTTGAAAACTGTTTAAGCAGCTATGAGCACGTTCCTGTTCCAGAATTCTCCAAAACAAATAGCCAAGCACAGTTATGTATATAAGGTATGCAACTGAGACTGCTTAAAGGAATACTAATGGGCATTTTATTCACCATTTTCAACGATTTTGGGTTTTGTTTTGTTTTTTGTTTTTTTGGAAAGAGCCTTCTCGTTTTATTACCTGCCTGATTTACTTTTCTCCCCTGCAGCAGAGAGTCCCTGAAGCACGATGCTGGCTCTTGAATTAAGGAGCTTGGGGATGCAGCAGCTGCTTCTGTTCCAGGGAGGGGGAAGAACAGGAGAGGCATCACTCACTGTTCTATGGAAGTGTGTGGATCCCAGTCTCCTCCAAGAACGGATGGGGAACACTGGCCCAGAGACCACCCCATCAAACTAGAAGCTGGGTCACAAGAGGAGCAGGGAGAGAGAACTCCACGCCAGGCACCAGGATCCCAATTAGGGCTGACACTTACAGCCATAAGAACCGGAGCTCAGATGCGTGTTTATAGCATCTGCTGGAAATACAGGAGCGTCTGTGCGATGTGCTCTGTTTAGGAGGGCTCGTGTGGTGAAAATGAGGGGCAGCTGAGTCTTTGAAACAGCTGGCCTTCTTTCTAAGTCCCTCCAAAAGAGGCACAGTCGAGTTCCCAGACAGCTGTTTTGCTGCAAACTCTGTACCTGGACAATACAGGCAATCAACCTCCTAAAGAAAACAGGCATTATTTTGACTCAAACAGGCCACTTTTGCACATGATTTACTTCCTGATGAACAATTTTTCCTGAACAATATACGTTTTGTTTGATTTGCACAGGGATTTTAAACATCCAAGCAAATGTTAAAAAATTGAAAGATTTCTGGATTTTCAGCAGGTCTAGAAAAATCCAGAGATCTGGCAACTGACAGCCGGCATTCCCACCTGGGAAGGCTCTAGAGCCTAAAGAATGGATGTGTCCTCTGAGAGGGTGCAGCCGGCCACCCTCCCCGCCTCTCACAGCCTGCAGGGCATGGTCATTCCACCCGCTTCCTTACCCACCTCCTCCTTTCACCTGTCCCTTGCATTTGCGACTCCTGGTTAAATGGCTCAGAATTTCACATGGATGCCTCTGAGTCCAGCTAGCTTTGCAGCCTCTCAGCATTCAGTCCTACAATTACAAGTGTCAGTGACAGCCCCTCTAGGGGACTGATGAAGTATCCCAGGAAAGGTTTCCAAAAGGCAACGTGCATCCCTTGAGTAAGGTTGAATCACGTGGACAGAAAGTGTTTCCTTTTTAGATTCTTTTAGAAGTTTTGAGGTTAAAGTGAAAGTCTCCCACATGGCCCGTAACCAGTCCTGGGCACAGACACCCCCGGAGCTGCAACAAGGAGGGACTGGAGGAGTAAAAGGGGCACCACGCGGGGTCCCTCCCTCTCCTCCCGCAGGCCATTCCTGGCTCCCTGCCTCTTCCCTGGCCCCTTCACTCATCTGGTGCCAGCTTTTGACTTTGTTCCCCAATTTCTATGTTGGGTGTGAAGGCCAGGAGAGGGGTGACAAAATAAAGTTAGGAAGGGCAGAAACTCGGACTAGAAATCCCTCACAGCAGCTCCCTGTGCTCCATGATTCAGAATGGGGGGAAAAGGCAGTGCCATATTGTCGTGGAAATGTCTGCCACTGGTTTATTTATACTAAAACGCTGAGAACAAACAACCCAGGTGCCCCGCGATAGGGGGCTTTCTAAATAAATTCAGGTCCATCCACTTAATCAGTTATTTAAAAAGCTAAGTATGGGACAAGCAAAGTACTTTGGCAACGTTAAGTTACAAAAGAGACGTAACATATTACAGACTGATCTCAATGGTATAAAAATACTTCGATATACTCTGTAAGGCAGGACGCAATAATGGTAATAGTTACATAAGATATGGAATATGGGTTTAAAAAACATATCTTTGAATATGTTTTTATGATTACAAAAGTAAAATAAAGGCATTAAAAAAATAAGCCTAATAAAAAGGTAAGGAGAAGAAAATCTCAGCTTGGTCTGCTTGCAAGCTTGTCCAACCTGTAGCCCACAGGCTGCGTGTGTGGCCCAGGACAGCTTTGAATGTGGCCCAACACAAATTTGTAAACTTTCTTACAACATTATGAGATTGTTTTGCAATTTCTTTTTCCAGCTCATCAGCTATCGCTAGTGTTAGCATATATTATGTGTGGCCCAAAGACAATTCTTCCAATGTGGCCCAGAGAAGCCAAAAGACTGGACACCCTTGCACTCTCGTGTGTCCACAGCACTTCCCTGCACCTGCTAACCCCTTTCTCTAACCTCCAAGGCAAGCACACAGCCTCTTGCTATTAACATTAGCTAGCTAGACTTCAATAGGATTTTTATGCTTTTTTTTTGTTTGTTTGTTTTTGAGACAGAGTCTCACTCTGTTGCCCAAGCTAGAGTGTACTGGTGTGATCTTGGCTCACTGCAACCTCCGCCTCCTGGGTTCAAGCCATTCTCCTGCCTTAGCCTCCTGAGTAGCTGGGATTACAGGCACGCACCACCATGAACAGCTTAATTTTTGTATTTTTAGTAGAGGCAGGGTTGGCCTGCTGGTCTCAAATTCCTTGAACTCCTGACCTCAGGTGATCCACCAGCCTCGGCTTCCCAAAATGCTGGGGTTACAGGCGTGAGCCATCGCACCTGGCCAGGATTTTTATGTTTTAATTGTATTTGTTTATGCTCACCTTTATTTTGTGCAACTGATAGGCATTTTCTCCATTTATTTGTGTACATTAAAGTTATTTTTTAAATAAAACATTTTTATGATTTGCCTAAATATTCATTTGGATGCTTACTTCCCGTGAGTGTCTTTATTCTTTTCTATATTTGCCCAATGGTATGATACCTCAGTTCATGAGACCGTTAGAAAGATTTACTGAAATAATGTACACAGAGCATTTTGTAAAGTGCCAGAGACAGTGAAATACACACAGTATTATTCTGTGTGCTGTCAAGCACTATAAAATCTACAGAATATTATGGTTTTCTATGTAAGTTTCTATTTTTAAGATACTATATTTGCTTCTGGAAGAGATGTTAACAGTAGCGTTTTAATAAGAATGCCTAATGAGAAACTTGAGACACATAAGTGAACCGGTTGAAGTGAAGGTGTTCAGCACCTAACAGCACAGGTGCATGTGGGCCAGTGGGAAGTGGAGCGGCAGGCAGGTGTGCCTACACCGACCCCGCTGGGGAGCCCGCCTCATCAACAGCCTTAGGGGGTTGCATTCCCAACACGGAGTCCCCCCTGAACTTCAGAGTATGCCCACAGTTTAAAGAAACACCTAAGTTTTAGCATTTTCCCTGAAGGAATGAGCTTAAAGTAAGGCTCCAGGAATGCTTGAGGCAGAAACCTTTATCAGATCAAGGTGCAACGTTCGAATCAAAAGCAGCCAGGGTCCGCTCTTCCCTCTTGCCAGTGCTGAGGTCAGACTCACTGCTCGCTTCACTGCTCCCCAGCTACTCAGACTCACCCGGACACCTGGTTTTGAAAAAAGATGCAGACCGAGGAAAGGAGATGAAGGGGGAGGCGGAAGATGCTTCCTAAGGAACAGGAGGATGCCAAAAGAACCGCAAGATGTGTTCCTGCCTTTCAGCACGCTCTCTATGTGCTTTTCTGCCTCTTCCCTGCAGACACAGAAGCATTTGCTTCATGCTCGATCCTCTCTGTCACAGGGCACTGACGGGGAAGGACCTGGGCAGCATGCTAATTGCTCTGTTGGCCTCGCACCCTGTAAATACGACGTGCACTCTGGTAAATTGTTGGCTGACTTTGCCTGACTGCCGAGATGCTCAGACCTCTCCCAGGGTGATGGGGAGCCTGGAAACCAAATGCCACGCGGTCTGGTGTGTGTATGGAGCAGGTGCTAGCTGTCTTCCTGGGTCTGAGTGTTTATAGACAGATGGTTTCAGGACCATAACAACCCTGGTCTTTCAGAGGTTCTAGGTTACAGGGAGACGGCACTCCAGCAGAACAGCTGTTTTGCTTGACAGTTTTCCTAACAAATGCTCTCTCCCCGTCTAAGAGGACATTTCACCAGGGGAGGAAGCGGGAGGGGGGGGGCTCTTATGTTTCTGAGAGTCTCAGTTTGGGTTCATTAGAAGCCGATCATAAGACAAGGATTCATTTGCAAGTGACTGATTAAGGATGTTGTTTCCTTTCTCCCCACGCACCAGGAGAAACTGGAAAGGGAGAAGGGGAGAGGGAAATAGTTCACATTGCAGGAAGAAGCAAACAGAAGGTGTGCTTTCAATGACCCAGCCTGCAGCCTGACCCTGTGGGAAGCTCTGAGTCCAACCGTGTCCATGACAATTCAGAGTTGTCTGCAGTGGGGGAGATGGGGCTGAGCTTTCGTATTCCACACCTGTCCATCATCAGCAAAGAGGATCCCAGGAAGAAGCTCCCAGGCTCTTCTAAGAATCCGCACAAGTGCACAAAAGTGAGGGGCAGCCCCAGGTGGTGCAGTGACGGAAGCAGGTTCAGGATGACAGAGCCAACCCCATGATTACAGACTGAATTGTTCCCTCCAAAATTCATCTCACAAAGCCCTCTGCCCCAGTGTGACTATATTTGGAGAGCAGGCTTTTAAGATGGTAATTAAGGTTAAATAAAGTCCTAAGAGGGGGCTCTAATCCCACAGGACTGGTGTCCTTACGGGAAGATGAAGAAGCCAAGTTCAGTGGCTCACACCTGTAATCTCAGCACTTTGGGAGGCCGAGGTAGGTGGATCACTTGAGCTCAGGAGTTTGAACCCATCCTGGGCAACATGATGAAACCCTATCTCTACAAAAAATGCAAACATTAGCTGGGCTTGGTGGTGCATGCCTGTAGTCTCAGCTACTTGGCGGATCGCTTGAGAGGAGGATCGCTTGAGCCCAGGAAGTCAAGGCTACAGTGAGTCCTGTTTACACCACTGCACCCCAGGCTGGGTGACAGAGCGAGACCCTGTCTCGAAAAAAAAAAAAAGACAAGACACCAGGAGCTTCTCTCTCTCCATGCACAGAGGAAAGGCCCTCTGAGGACACAAGATGCCGAGAGGGTGGCGAACTGCAAGCCAGGAAGAGATCCCTCACCAGAAACCACCCTTGACAGCACCCTGACCTCGGACTTTCCAGAATTCAGATGGTGAGAAAATAAATTTCTGTGTTTTAAGCCAACCAGTCTGTGGAATTTTGTTCAGGCAGCCCTAGCTGGCTAACACACCTACCGAGGGATATAGAGCAGTGAAAGAGATTTAACGGGAACCAGGGTGGAGCAGTGTCTGCCAGCTGGGGTGATCCATTGGGTGTATTTCCTTTCAGGACAAGAATAAGCACAAGCGACAGCTTGTCCTCCGAGGCAGACCTCCCAGGTTTGAATTCCACCTCCAGCTCTTACTGAGTGGGTTTGAAAAATGCATCATGTCTCGGTTCCCCCCATGCAAATTGAGGTCATGGCTCACTGTGTCTACCTCGAATGCTTGAAGGAGGATTAGATGCTTAGGAGGATTATATGCAAAGCATTTGGAGAGCGCGAGGCACACAGCCAGCACTGCTTGTCTCACTTATGATTCTTCTTTCCTCACTCATTCAAGTGCCCCTGTTCATCCTATGCTGAGCACGACACGGTTCATCATTCGCCAGGTGTGAGTTCGTATTTGGGACAGTCTTTAAGTATCTCATCTTTGAACTTCCCCCGATAAGACTCCTGGCCGTAGATTGTCAGCATGGTAGCTGGCAAGTACCAGGCACTTGACACATAATTTGTTGAAGAAACGAACATGGGAAAGGGGATGTCTAAAGCTTCCCACAGATGGAAACTGTGCAAGAACATTTCAGCAATAGGGGATATTTTCCGAGCCAAGCAGCCCTTTGACGCGCCGGGGGGTGATGGTGGCTTTACTGAGTGCAGCACGCACTCCCTCCACTCACCCACCCCGTATGTCTGGGTGGTGAGGACTTCCTCACCCCATGGCCTGGCCTCGTGTCTCACGTTGGCCTGGGGGATGTTAATGGACAGGACACCAGTTTTGGTCTTAGGTGAGAGGATAATGAGCTGCTGTGAGAGGAGCACACCCAGAATAACTCTGCCCCTTCAGCCTGGGCCCAGGACCAAACACACATGGACAGACAGACACTCAGCTCAAGGCTTGGAGCTAAGCCCAGCCAGCTCACACCCCAAGGCAGTCTCCCGCCTGAGCTTCCCCTTAGCAGGTCCAGACTGCCCTTGACCTACAGCCCTGGGAGCATGAGAGCAAAGCTTGGACAGTTTCCCCTTGTTACCCAAGGGGGATTGGCTCATGGACCCTTTGCAGATGACAACATCCATGGATGCTTAAGTCCTTTAGATAAAATGATGTAGTAGTAGCATACAACCTATGCGCATCCTCCTGCATACTTTAAATCATCTCTAGATTATTTATCATACCTAGTATAATGTAAATGCTATGTAAATAGTTACTGTGATACCATATTATTTAGACAATAATGACAGGAAAACCAAAGTCTGTATATGTGCAATACAGACACAATCTTCCACTAAAAGAATCTGGAATCTGTGAACACAGAACTCATGGATATGGAGGGCAAACTGTAGTTGTAAATCACTGAGATTTGGGTGGTTTTTTTATGTGGCATGATTGTGACAAATTTGTCCACATCCTAGTGCCTAGAACCTATGAATATGTTACCTTATAAGTCAAAGGGACTTGGTAGATGTGATTAGGTTAAGGATCATGAGACGGAGAGATGATCCAAGTGGGCCCTACATGATCACGGGGTCCTTACATAGCTGACTGATACACTGGATTTTCATACTGCAACACCTTCACAAACCACGTAGCCAGTTCACAAGTGGAGAGGCCAGATACAAGACATAGGGTGGAATGGGGACTATGGCTAATTGGAGATTTTGTGTGTCCCAACAAATATCACTGAAATTTTATTTTTGCATGAAAAACACAGGTCAACCAAGTTCAATTCAGGGACGACCAGTTCATATGAGTTAAAGAATTGGAAGAGAGCAGTGAAAGTGGTGTAATGAGAATGGCACGTGGAGGCAGTCTCTCACACACCATATATTTTCAAGCAATTTTAGGGATTGGGGGGCCCTTGGTGCCCATTCATGGTCCTGTTTGAAACTTATTGACTAGAATGACTTTCAGAGCCCTTGAGGCATCAACAACAGGCGTGTTTAACCACTAGCTGCCTGCCGCTCTCAGAGCTCAGCTCCCCAGATCAGCTACCATCATCTCCTGATGTAGAAGGCTTCTATGTATGGGGATCAATAGGGGTGAGTGGTCATGGGGGATCAACAGGGGTGAGCGGTCATGTGGGCAAAGGGCCAGGGGGCATGCTCTGAAGCTGTGCTTGTTTACAAAGCCACCACTTTTAGTTAGACTTGGTGTGTGTGTTTGGTGTTTGTGCCTTTGAAGAAACAGCTACAGATGGGAATGGTTGGCAGGGGGTCGTAAAACCTTCCAGAACCACCTTTCTGGACCTGCCTGGGGAAGCCGCTGGTGTGACAGCCTCTCCATGGGCTGACCAGTTTCGCCCTTTTGAAACTATTTATGTCTCCCTAGGTTCCCTGTCTTACCAGCCAGGGGATGTGGCCAACACGGGGATGTGGCCAAGATCTGAAAACACAGTTGCAGCTTCCACATCTCAAATTGGTGACTCACCTAAATGCAAAAGCTCACAATGAGATATTTCTTTTTTTTTTTTTTTTTTGTGAGACAGAGTCTTGCTCTGTCGCCCAGGCTGGAGTATGGTGGTGCGATCTGAGCTCACTGCAAGCTCCGCCTCCCGGGTTCACACCATTCTCCTGCCTCAGCCTCCCGAGTAGCTGGGACTACAGCTGCCCGCCACCACGCCCGGCTAATTTTTTTTTTTTTTTGTATTTTTAGTAGAGATGGGGTTTCACAATGGGATATTTCAAGAGCCAAAGGCAAGGAACGAACCACTGTCTGCACCTGTGAGTGCCATCCAGCCAGTGCAGGCTCTCAGAGTCCTGCAGAGAGGCTCCTGCAAGCAGCCACAGTCATGGCCTTGGTGGGGCTCAGTGCCAATGAGGCTTCAGATACTTGACTGCGCAACCCTCACCTTGAAGCAAGAATACACACTCCTGGCTGGCACTGACTGCTTCTGCTGGACCCCGCCAGGAAGGGCGACACCATTGCCCGTGGCAGTGCTATACATAAGAAAGATCTTGCTATCAGACCTCCTCGGCTACCAAGAAAGCTCCATGGGAAGGAACGCCATTCCCCGCCCTGGGAATCTTGGAAGGTGCACTCGCTGGCCTGACCTCGGTACCCCAAGGTGTCCAAACCCAGCATTTCAAAGACTCAGGACTGAATGGACATGACAGAGGCCATGCTGTAAGAAGACAGAGGCAGGCCAATTTGTCTACATCCTAATCCTCAGAACCTGTGAATATGTTACCTTACAAGGCAAAGGGACTTTGCAGATGTGATTAAGTGAAGGTTTTGATATGGGTGATGATCTGGGATTACCCAGGTGGGTCCAACATGACCACAATGGCCCTTATAAGTGAAAGTGGGGCCAGGCATGGTGACTCCACCCAATGCACCACCCGCCCTCCTCTTTGAACACATTTCTGGGGTCTAACCATCTGCAGTGCCTCTTTCTGTGCCTCAGATGCCATTATTCTCTATTTCTGCAGATTCAGATCTTCCTCTTGTCCACAGTCTGCCAAAACATTCAGGATGGCTGACTGTGGAAACTCATGCACAATGCTTACCACTGAGACAGCAAACACAACTGGGGTCAAAGTGGGGTGCCTGGAAGCTCAGAACAAACAGGGTGGCCACAGGAGCCCTTCAGGACTCGACACTATGAGGCTCATCTCCCTCGCTCTGCTTCTCATTCAGGTTCCCATGTGAAGAACTATTCACATACATAACTTTGCCACCTGCTAATGAACACATTCGCTTTCATTTGCATAATCAACACTAATCTTACAGGTTAATTAGACTTCATGTGCATTCGATTCAGGAGATTTAATTTGGCCTCTGATCTCCTGCTTGGAACAAGGGACTCATAAACACATTTCTTTCTGGCCATGTTTTCACAAATCAAAGATTCAGACACCCAACCCTTGTCCCTGACCTCACCTCCGCCAGATGCACTAAAATCCTTCTTGGGGTAATGATGGTGACGGTTGGCATTTGAGTTTGTGAACTGTTTGGGACACCAGATTTTCTTTTTCTCATTACACATTAAAGGAAGGACAGAGGAGTGGGTTCTGTGGGCAAAAGAACAGCGTGGTTCTAAACCAAGCAGAGAATTTGAGGATTTTTCATGGTGACTTGCAGCTGTCACTTAAGAAAATGTGTCCAGTAATAGACTATTTCTTTCTTTAATACCAATCCCTTCAGAAAAATACACTGGCAGAATACAAGAGCCTTGAAAAATAATCTTACGTTTTGAATCCAAGAAGCCACCTTAAGGAAAAAGGGATGTGGACAAAGATTTATGTGGAAGGTGGTTTATTGCTGCATTATCTATAAGAATAAATCTTGGACATACAAGTGGCCACAAACTTATGAAAAAAATGTTCCATATTACTAATCATCAGAGAAATGTAAATCAAAACCACAATGAGATGCCATCTCACACCAGTCAGAACGATGATTATTGAAAAGTCAAAAAATAACAGACGCTGGAGACATTGCAGAGAAAAGGGAACACTTACACACTGTGTGTAGGAAAGTAAATTAGTTCGATCACAGTGGAAAGTAGTTTGGAGATTTCTCAAAGAACTCAGAACTACCATCCAACCCAGCAATCCCATTACTGGGTATATACCCAAAGGAAATAGACTGTTCTACCAAAAAGACACACGCACTCATGTGTTCATTGCAGCACTGTTCACAATAGCAAAGACACAGAATCAACACATCCACAGTGAACTGGATCAAGAAAATCTGGTATACATCCACCATAGACTACTACACAGCCATAAAAAAGAACAAAATCATACCCTTTGCAGCAACACAGATGCAGCTGGAGGCCATTATCCTAAGCAAATTAATGGAGGAACAGAAAACCAAATACTCCATGTTCTCACTTATAAGTGGGAGCTAAGCAGTGGGTACATGTGGTTATAAAGATGGGAACAACAGACACTGGGGACCCCTAGAGCCGGGGAGAGGGAGGGAATAAAGGGCTGAAAAACGACCTATTCGGTGCTCTGTTCACCACTTGGGTGATGGGATCATTCATGCCCCAAACCTCAGCCTCAGGCAACATATAAACGTAACAAACCTGCACATGTACCCCCTGAATCTAAAATAAAAGTTGAAATTTAGAAACAACTTGGAATCAACCTAAATGGTAAAATACAGGCATGGTTGGTTGTTTCTGTTACGTTAAATCCGTCTGATGAATATTATAAAGCTATTAAGAATGTTTTTGAGGAATATTTAATGTCAAGAGAAAATGTTTCCAATACAAGTGAAAATTGTAGTGTCCTTAAAATCTGTACGTATTTGATGATCCCAAATTTGTAAACTAAATATATTTAGCATACATTAGCCTTACACAGGTATAACACCCTGGAAGGAAATGAACCAACATGCTATCAGTGGGTTACCCTTGAGTAGGAAGGATATTGGCACATGATTCCCCCCGCTATAATTGTGCTTTCCTCATATTCTAAAATGAGTCTGAATTGCTTTTATAACCAGAAAACAATTATTTTAAAAAATCATCCAGGATGTCTACAGTGAATCTCACATAGCAGGTGCTTCTCCATTATTGCCACTGACTGTCACCACCTTTCCTTAAATTCCTTCTCACTGAAAACTCAATCTTCCCCTTCATGAAAAAATGAGTACTTTGTAACCGAGCATCTTCTGATAATGTAGGCAGGGCAAGGCCCCCAGAAAGTCAGTTCAGGTGTGGAGGATGCACAAGCCCTATCAGAGCAGAGATGAGCTCACCCGGCTCCAAAGCTGACCCCGCAGCGCTGCAGAGCGAGCGCCCCACCCCGCCCTGCTGCAGAGGCAGAGGGTCCTGCATGGATATCAATGCCTCCAGATTTCCACGTGGTGGGTTCAATAGCTCCTCTGAGCAGCCGCTCACGCGAGTCCAAGTCAAGGCTCTTACGCACCAGCCGGCCTGGGCCCGGGACCAGGAACCACACACGCTTGCAGGGAGGGCACCGCTTACCTGTTGCGTGGGCTGGGCCCCAGGCGCTGGCAGGCCACGGTGGCCGTCACGTGCTTTCCGCCGCTGCCCACCTCCTGCTTGACGCCCCACTGCCGGGGCTCACGGGTCTGAGCACTCAGGATGTTCACCCCCTTCTTCACCTTGGCTCTGTGGGGATGAAGATGGGAGAGAGAGAGAGACAGGGTTAAGGCTTGGCCTTTCCAACGTGCCCAGCTCTGCAGAGTTGTCACCTTTAGTTTCTGTTTTGCTTTTCCACTTTTTTCATATCTAGTGAGAGGCAAAGCTGCCCAGTGGTGGTGATGCCAGGGCAGGGCGAGCGGGATCTGCCTGTGGATAAGGCAGTCACAGACCTTGCTGTCCGGTTCTGAGGGGGAGGAAAAAGGACCCCTGGAATTCACCAGACCAGGAGGTGGCAGGGCAGAGCTGTCAAGGCATGCACTCAGCCTGCCTGGGTCCGTCTCCTCACTCAGGGGGCTCTGCGCCCTGCCAGAGACATTTGGCAATGTCTGGAGATACTTGTAGTTGTCATGGCTGTGTGTGTGGGGGGTGTTGTTATCCAGTAGGGAAGTGAGGAGAAAGGAGGAACGTAGCTAAACAGCCTGCAACCCACTTGAAAGCCCCACCACACAGAGCCACTGGGCCCACAGTGTCAATACTACTAGGAAAGCCGGTCCTGGGTTCATACCCCAGTTTCACCACTTCCTAGCGGTGCAAATTTGGACAAGGCATAACTTCATGCCTCACCTCCCTCCTCTGTAAGAAAGAGCAGGATCATAGTAGCTCCCATTATAAAGCTGCTGTAATGATTAAATAGATGTAAAGAGATTAGAACAAGAGCAGCGCCAGGCATACAATACACACTTAATAAATGTTAGCGATTGTCACATCACTCCAGGGAAGTCCCCAACCTGCTTAACGTGACTTGCCTGGCACACACTTAACAAAGATACATTAAGTCAGGGACCAAAAAACAAAGCAACAAAAAGGCAAAGAGCTCCTCCTAAAGCTGCTGTTGTTTTGATCACACCACTTAGCCAGCCTCAATTTCACTTTCCTTATCAATAAACGGACGAGACAAGTAGCAGCTTGAGCACACACATCTACTCATACCGTTTTCCTTCATCCCACTCACAGGAGAGCAAAGGGACTGTTTTAAAAGGCATAAGACAGTTGGGCACAGTGGCTCATGGCACAGTGGCTCACGCCTATAATCCCAGCACATTTTTTTTTTTTTTTTTTTTTTTGCATCGAAGTATTGTTCTGTCGCTAGGCTGGAGTACAGTGGTGCAATCTTGGCTCATTGCAACCTCCGCCTCCTGGGTTCAAGCAATTCCCCTGCCTCAGCCTGCCGAGTAGCTGGGACTACAGGCACCTGCCACCACGCCCGGCTACTTTTTTTGTATTTTAGTAGAGATTGGGTTTCACCATGCTGGCCAGGATGGTCTCAATATCCTGACCTTGTGATCCACCCGCCTTGGCCTCCTAAAGTGCTGGGATTACAGGTGTCAGCCACTGCGTCCGGCCAATCCCAGCAGTTTAGGAGGCTGAGCTGGGCAGATCACTTGAGCTCAGGAGTTGGAGATTAGCTTGGCCAACGTGGTGAAACCTTGTCTCTACGAAAAATACAAAACTTAACCCGGCATGGTGGTGCATGCCTTTAGTCCCAGCTACTCGGGAGGTTTAGGCAGGAGGGTCACTTGAACCTGGGAGGCGGAGGTTGCAGCGAGCTGAGATCGTGCCACTGCACTCCAGCCTGGGCAACAGAGCAAGGCTCCAACTCAAGATAATTATAATAATAATAAAATAAAAGGCATAATCCCATGACCGGAAGAGGAAATGCAGCCGCAGCAACAGATTTGGGAAACTGGAAACTGGGAGTTCAGTGGATAAAACAAGTCAGCAGAACTTCAAAATGGAGCTTCAAGCTGTCAGTGAGCAGAGTCAACAACCAACACAGTTTCTACCAAAGAGCCCCCCAGACTCAGGAGTTTGTGATAACAGTTACAAAATCGGAGTGAATGAGGACTGAAATAAAGAGGGTTGGCTACAAGTCTGTTTAGGAAGCAGCCAATTAAACTCCCCTTTTTATGCCCAGGTGATGCCAGGACTTCACATTGGGTATGGGTATCAGGGCGAGTGGGGAACTGGGGGTGCCTGGGGGTGCCACACCGAATACAGAGGGACCCCACAACCCCATGTGTGCTGAATGCTGAGATTCGCAGGCGGGTCCCCCTAGACTGCATCTTCACCCTCCAGGAGAAACACTGGATTCCAGAGGGTGATACCATCCTAAGACCAAAATGCAACAGGCATTGACACTATGGCCTCTCCAAACAGCCAGCCAGATGCCCTGCAGTGAAGCCTGAAGTCAGCAAGTGCAGTTGAGGGGCTCTGAGCCTCTCACAGCCTTTTAGTCCCCCTCCTTTATATGAACCAGCAAACAGGAATTGTTAGACACTAAGAAAAGTCTCTACGTGATATAAAGACCGTGATATGCTGAAATAAAGATCTGGTACTCATCCCTGTTTCCTGGCATACAGCTCCTAAAATCCTGGGAATAGTGATGTCTTCTTGTGCACTAAGGAGGTGACTGGTGGCTGGGATTACAGGTAGCTTCAGGATAGGGTTGGTCACCAGAAAGACCAAGGCAAGAATAGAGGGTTTGGACTTTCAGCCCATCCCCTCAATCTCCAGTGGGAACAGAGGGGCTCATCACCACTGACCAAATATTTAATCAATCATACCTAGTTATAAAGACTCCTAAAAGCCCCAAAGGACAGGATTTGGGGAGCTTCCTGATAGCTGAATCCATGGAGGTTCCTGGAAGGTGGTGTCCCTGGAAGGTGGTATCCCAGGAAGGCAAGGAAGCTTCATACTCCTTCCCCTATACCCTGTCCTACATGTTTCCTCATCTGTATCCTTCATAACATCCTTTTTAATAAACCAGTCAACATAAGTAAATGTTTCCCTGAACTCTGTGAGCCGCTCTAGGAAATTAATCAAACCTGAGGATGAGGTCATGGGAACCCCACTTTAAAGCCAGGCAGTCAGACACACAGAGAGAGAGAGAGAGAGACAGAGAAAGAGAGAAAGATAGACAGACAGACAGAGACATACAGACAGAGAGATAGAGACAGAAAGAGAGAGAGAAGTAGACAGACAGAGACAGAGAGAAACAGACAGACAGAGTAAGCCAGGGCTTGCAGTTGGTATCAGCAGTGGGGAGCAGTCCTGGGGAGTGAGCCCTCGACCCGCGGGCCCTGACGATTTCTCCAGGTAGAGATGGTGGGAACTGAACTAGAGGACACCTAGCTGACATCTGCTGCAGAACTGCTCACTCACTTGCCGATGGGAGAAACCACCCCCTCTGCCCCATGCTTGGCCACAGGAGTCCTCTGTATTGGTTGTTGTGGGGTGAGAGCAGAGGAAGTAGTTTGTATTTGTCCACGCAGAAAGACTGAAACAGGCAAACGCAGGGAGGGGAGGGCAGCAACCTACCAGAAATACAGCCTATGCAGTAAAGAATATCCGTGTTTAAGAAAACAGAGAATTGGCTGGGCGTGGTGGCTCATGCCTGTAATCCCAGCACTTTGGGAGGCCGAGGTAGGCAGATCATGAGGTCAGCAGATAGAGATTATCCTGGCCAACATGGCAAAAACCCATCTCTACTAAAAATACAAAAATTAGCTGGGCATGGTGGTGCATGCCTGTAGTCCCAGCTACTCGGGAGGCTGAGGCAGGAGAATCACTTGAACCCAGGAGCCAGAGGTTGCAGTGAGCCAAGATCGTGCCACTGCAGTGCAGCCTGGTGACAGAGCGAAACTCTGTCTCAAAACAAAACAAAACCAAAAACAGAGAATCATTCGCATTCACTAAGAGATAAGAGAAGATATTGCAATCATGAAACAAAAATGACTGCTATATCTTAAAAAAAGAACACGCAGCAGGGACAAAATGAGCCCTTGGAAATTAAAAATATAGCAAAATGGAAAGTCGGTGGAATGGTTGATGGATGAAGTTGAGGAAATTTCCTAAGAAGCAGAGAAAAGACGAAGTGGAAGATAGGAGAAAAAAATTAAGAGGATGGCTTTGAGGTTCAATATGTCAATAACAGAAAAAAGAAACAGAGAAAAGAAAGAGGATGAATCATTAATGAAATAATTTAAGAAAATGTCTCCAAATGAAAGGATGTGTTTTCAGATTGGAAGAGCCCACTATGTGATCAGCACAATGAATGAGAATAGACACACACCAGGCCACGTGATCAATACATTTTGGAAGATGGCGTATGTAGAAGTGAATTCTACAATCCTCTAGAGAGAAAAAAACCATCAGAAAGAATTCAGAATTCATAACAGCCACTCCGTAACCTAGAAGACAATAAAAAATGTCTTGAATATTGAAAGGGGAGATTATTTCCAACCTAGAATTCTGTATCCACCCTATGAGCTCAGTGTTTCCACACACACATGTTCATTTGTTTTTTGAGACAGAGTCTTGCTCTGTCACCCAGGCTGGAGTGCAATGGCGCCATCTCGGCTCACTGCAACCTCTGCCTCTCGGGTTTAAGTGATTCCCCTGCCTCAGCCTCCCGGGTAGCTGGGACTACAGGCGACCACCGCCACGCCCAGCTAATTTTTTTTGTATTTTTAGTAGAGGCAGGGTTTCACCGTGTTAGTCAGGATGGTCTCGATTTCTTGACCTTGTGATCCGCCCACCTCGGCCTCTCAAAGTGCTGGGATTACAGGTGTGAGACACCACGCCCAGCCCACACATGTGTGTGCTAAGGTCATTTACTCCTTACACTCATGCTTGGGAACCTACTTGAGCATGTGTTCCATCAAACCACAAAGTGAAGCTGGAAGGAAGACATGAGACAAGGGAAACAGATCCCAAATACAAGTGACGTGGAAAGAATCCCAGGTTGATGGTGAAGAGAGGTCCTTGAATAACAGCAGAGCATGAGGCATGGAGAAGATTCCGGCAAAGACTTCCCCGGGAAACGAAAATTTTCTTAATAAACATGATGTTCAATAAGTGTTCCTTGAGGACATTTAAACAACTAGAGGAGAGTTTCAGGATAAATATGAGCTAAATATACAGAAAATCAAGAAAAAGAATAAAACCCAATCAGTTTTTAATCCTGAAGATAAGAACTCATTATGCAGAGAAGGAAAAGTAATCATAATTTAATACTTGATTTTACTGTGATTAGCACATGTACTTATATTTTAAACACTGAATATTAATCTAGACAAAATATGATTATTATACTTGAGGGATGGAGAGATAAAATGGGAGGCACTTATGTGGGGGAGAAAAGAGATATATCCTAATTCTCCATAGTGGGAAATTTATAGATATTGCCTAAAAAAAAGTGTCAACATCAGTGCGTTACTCGGTGATATGCCTATAAATACCAGGTGAGGAAAGAATTTTGCCTCTGTGCGTGGAGAGAAGCAGTAAAAGGGAGCAGGGCACTGCAGTATTATTTTAAAATAACTTTGTATTTTTAAATAGTTCAATAGTTTGATATTAAGAGGAAGTTGTGGCTGGGTTTGGTGGCTCACACTTGTAATCCCAGAACTTTGGGAGGTGGGAGGATCCCTGGAGGCCAAGAGTTTGAGACTAACCTGGACAACAAAATAACATGCTGTCTCTACAAAAAGATAAAATAATTAGCCCCACACGGTGACCCATGCCTGTAATCCCAGCACTCTGGGAGGCCAACACGGGCAGATCACCTGAGGTCAGGAGTTCCAGACCAGCCTGGCCAACATGGTGAAACCCCGTCTCTACTGAAAATACAAAAAAAATTAACCAGGCATGGTGGGAGGGACCTGTAATCCCAGCTACTTGGGAGACTGAGGCAGGGGAATCACTTGAACCCAGGAGGCAGAGGTTGCAGTGAGCTGAGATTGTGCCACTGCACTCCAGCCTGGGCAACAAGAACGAGACTCCATCTCAAAATACTACTACTACTACCACCACTAGTACTATTACTATTAAGCCCCATATGACAGAGTGTGCCTGTAGTCCCAGCTATGGGGGAAGCTGAGGCAGCAGGATCACTTGAGGCCAGGAGGAGCTATGATAGCACTGCTACACTCCAGCCTGGGCAACAGAGTAAGACCCTGTCTTAAAAAGTAAATTTAAAAAAGTTGCAAAACAACAAAATACTGAGTTCCCATGTACCCATCATCCAGCTTCCCCCAATGATAATATTGACCATAATTGTGGTCCATTGTCAAAGCCAGGAAATTGATATAGGCATATTACTATTAACCAGGTACATACCTTATTTAGATTTTACACGTTTTCACATGAACTTTTTTGGTGTATAGTTCTATGAAATTATATCCTATGTATAGATTTGAGTAGCCATCACAATAATAAAGATGTGGCATTGTTCCTTCAACACAGAGGAGCTCCTTCATGTGCCCCCTTCATAGTCACACCTTCCTCGAATCCTGTAACTGGTCTGTTCTCTAGCACTACAGTTCTCACACTTTGAGAATGTTGTATACAGGTTTCTGCCAATAAACTCTGCAGAACTATTTGACCTTCTAAATTACATGCAAGAAATAAAAATACAATTCTAAGCTACCCAACAGATGGAACGGACCCTCTCTTGGCCAAGGAGATGCCAGTGAAACCTTGAAAACTGAGTTCCTGGCTATGATGGGATGGGAGGCTGGATACACCTCCTTATCCCCCCTCCTTCCCTAAGCACCATTAGGCTTTCTCCCTGAGGGCTAAACGGAAACCAGCCATTTGGAAAGACTTGCTCCAGATACCAAAGACTGCCTGATACTGCCTTGCCCTTTTATGGTTTTGACAAAAGGGTTCCTTCCTAATAAGAGACCACTAACCTTGCAGTGGTTCTGGCCATCTACTGAGGATGCACAGTGAGGGGTTTCATGTCCTCTGCTTCATCTTTTGATGTCAGAGGGCTGAAAACCCCACCTTGGGATCATGCTATCCCTGTCATCTTTTGCACATGGGACCCATGAAAGGGCATGAAACTCAGCTGTGCATACACATGCTTCTCCTCCCATAAATATTCATGACTCCTCCTATGGCTTATTGAATATGCATATTTATCCTTCTTACTCAGCATAAATCCCTGTCTTGTTCTTCCCATCTCTGAATGGCTTGTTTCTTGCTTCTGGCTGGAGGCTACACTTCCCAGCCTGTCAGAATGGCCACCTGGCAGGCTGCAATCCTTTATGAGAAATAAAGCTCTTCTTTCCAAATGTATGAACCTCATCATTCTTCAGTTGACATATGCAAGGTCATGTCTTATGAAAGGAAATTACACACTTACACACACAGACACACACACACACACACAAGCACCCCCTATTAACCTCCCAGACTGAAGGAGATACATTCTTGTGAATAGTTAAAAGGCTAGACATAGCTGATGAATGTGATTACCAGGGGGTCCCCATGCGGGAACACTGCGGGTGGAAGGTGGTGATAAAACACATCTTCACCTGCCAAACTTAGGAGTCCAACCCTCATAGCAGCAATAGCATGCCAGCCACACAGCCACCTTCTCTTTTTTTTTCATTATACTTTAAGTTCTAGGGTACACGTGCACAAGTGCAGGTTTGATACATGTGCCATGTTGGTTTGCTGCACCCATCAACTCATCATTTACATTAGGTTTATCTCCTAATGCTATCCCTCCCCCAGCCCCCCACCCCATGACAGGCCCTGGTGTGTGATGTTCTCTGCCCTGTGACCAAGTGTTCTCATTGTTCAATTCCCACCTATGAGTGAGAACATGCGGTGTTTGGTTTTCTGTCCTTGCGATAGTTTGCTCAGAATGATGGTTTCCAGCATCATCTATGTCCCTGCAAAGGACATGAACTCATCCTTTCTAATGGCTGCATAGTATTCCATGGTATATATGTGTCATATTGTCTTAATCCAGTCTATCATTGGTGGACATTTGGGTTGGTTCCAAGTCTTTGCTATTGTGAATAGTGCTGCAATAAACATATGTATGCATGTGTCTTTATAGTAGCATGATTTATAATCCTTTGGGTATACACCCAGTAGTGGGATTGCTGGGTCAAATGGTAATTCTAGCTCTAGATCCTTGAGGAATCGCCACACTGTCTTCCACAATGGTTGAACTAATTTACACTCCCACCAACAGTGTAAAAGCGTTCCTATTTCTCCACATCCTTTCCAGTATCTGTTGTTTCCTGACTTTTTTTTTTTTTTGATGGAGTCTTGCTCTGTCACCCAGGCTGGAGTGCAGTGGCGTGATCTCGGTTCACTGCAAGCTCTGCCTCCCGGGTTCATGCCATTCTCCTGCCTCAGCCTCCCAAGTAGCTGGGACTACAGGTGCCTGCCACCATGCCTGATTAATTTTTTGTACGTTTAGTAGAGACGGGGTTTCACTGTGTTAGCTAAGATGGTCTCGATCTCCTGACTTCGTGGTCTGCCTGCTTCGGCTTCCCAAAGGGCTGGGATTACAGGCGTGAGCCACTGCACCGGCCTGTTTTCTGACTTTTTAATGATTGCCATTCTAACTGGCATGAGATGGTATCTCATTGTGGTTTTGATTTGCATTTCTTTGATGCAAGTGATGATGAGCATTTTTTCATGTGTCTGTTTGCTGCATAGATGTCTTCTTTTGCGAAGTGTCTGTTCATATCCTTCGCCCACTTTTTCATGGGGTTGTTTGTTTTTTTCTTGTAAATTTGTTTGAGTTCTTTGTAGATTCTGGATATTAGCCCTTTGTCAGATGGATAGATTGCAAACATTTTCTCCCATTCTGTAGGTTGCCTGTTCACTCTGATGGTAGTTTCTTTTGCCGTGCAGTAGCTCTTTAGTTTAATTAGATCCCATTTGTCTATTTTGCACAGCCACTTTCTCTTAAGAAACTTCTTCTGAGTCTTACATTAAATGATTCACTAAATACACGTGCTACTCTGAACACCAGGAGGCCAGGACGTGCTTGAGGGACGAAGATCAAAGACACATTAGCATGGGAAAGTCCCCATTGCCCCTAGCAGGAAATGAATGCCCCAGTTGTGTTCATAGCATGGACACCTTCTACTTCTACTGCTGGAAATAAATGCCTCTTGCAATGTGACTTGGCTTGAAATTGGCTTTTTCTGCATTTGGATTTTTCTCAATATTTCAGATTTCACTGAAGCTACAAATTGTTCTTTCCGCTTAATAGTGCATGTTCATAGGAGGATTCTCACCAACTGGTGCAGTGGCTGGTGTCACCTCTGGATGGGGTGGGAGAAGGAACCACAGAAATGGGAGAAATGCATAGGTTTAACAGGCTGATTGTGTTAATCGGGCATTTTCTTCGATAAGAGCAGTGGATATTCCTGTCTACTTCAAGGAACTAGTTGTTGCAGGGTTTGTGTCCAGGACCAGAAGTTTTGCAACCAGAGTCAGCATTTTAAAAAACAGTGGAAGTGGGCGGTAAACACTGAGGATGCCTGGCTTCAAGGTGCAAGCCCAGGGAAGCTGGCCAGTGGCAGTGTGAGGCCAACCCCGCTCAGCCAGGCTGCATGGAGGGGAGGAGCTTCCAGCCCTGCTTCTGGAGGGTCAGGCAGGTGTGCTTTTCTTTCTTCATCTGCTGCATCCAGGGTGGCCCTAGTTCAGTGGTTTCCAGTTTGTGGGTCTGCTATTGCTGGTAGCTTGGGAGATGATTTCCCATGTAGCATGGAGCACCAACTGTTCCCAGTACTGTGCTAGACACTGCAATGCATCCACGTGGGACTCAGGCAAGGGCTGGACTTGGTGGCATCTCTGGTCCCATCTGGGTTACCTGAACGGGGCTCACGCCATCTACAAGGCACGTTGATCACTGATGCTCCTACTCAGGTTTTTAGTGGTTAAAACCCAAACGAAACAAAAAATATTTTCCCTCTTTTTAAAATGTGCTTGGCTTGGGTATAACACAGGGATGATTAAGTGTTCCTTAAGGAAAATCAATGTTCAGTACAAATTTTGAACACAGGAAGCCTAATTTCCACCCTGCAAACCATCTATCTCATGGTCAGCTACAATCTTCTTATGAAATTCTCTCCTTAGAGGCTTCTCAGGCCTGCTGGGGTGTGTGAGTGCCTGGGTATGATGAGGAGTGTGTGTGTGTGTGTGTGTGTGTGTGTGTGTATGTGCGCATGTGTGAGGAGCATGTGTGTGTGTATGCATGTGTGTGCACGGATGGGAGGGCGGGTAAGTACCACTTGGCCTCTGGGCCCTGTAAGGCTGTCTGCTCAGGAGCTGAATCTGATCTTCAGAGTACGTTCAAACTGAAAAATGATAATTATTGTTGTTATGGGTTGAACTCCTCACCTTTCCAATCCATATGTTGAAATCCTAACTCCCAGCATTTTAGAATGTGACCGTATATGGAGATAGATCTTTACAGAGGTAATCACATTAAAATGGAGGTCATTAGTCTGGGCTCCAATTCAGTGACTAGTGTTCTTATGAAAAGGGGAAATTTGGAGATAGACACCAGAAGAGAAAGTCCATGGGAACATGAAGATGGCCATCTCCAAGCCAAGGAGAGAGGCCTGGGACAGACAGTCCCTCAGACCTCAGAAGGAATCAACCCTGCCAACACCCTGATCTTTAACTTCCAGCTTCCAGAACTGTGAGAGATTCGTATCCTTCAAGCCCCTCAGTCTGTGGTACTTTGTTACAGCAGCCCTAGAAAATGGATACAGTTGCTAACATGAAAATAAAGAAGCAAGCAATAAGAAAGCAGCCCACCCCTGGCCTGGCCCTCAGGAGGAGGAGCTGCTGTGAAGCTGTCATTACAACCCTGAAGGAACCAGCTGATGTAAGGTCCCATTGCACTGAGCTAACCAACCAGCAGCTGTAGGGTCCCATTGCACTAAGCCTGTTAGCCCAGTGTTCTCTACCCTGGGCATTGCGCAGGAAAGCCTCTGGTCACATGTACATAACAGCTTCTGCACTGAGAAGAGGAGGGCTGGCCCTTTGCAAGTGGTACATCCTGCATACAAAGGCATGGCACACACGCATCCTTGCTCTTCCACTAGAATAAGACTCCCACACTTATATCCAAACCCACCCACTGACCTGACAGCAGCCCTACAAAGCTGCTTCTTCTAAAGGAAGGGGGCTGTGGGTTTTCAGTATTCCAAAGGCCTTCAGAGGAAACTAACAGTGTCTTAGGATCAGGGTGTGTATATCAACAAACGTGGCATGGGTATTGCTGCTGCTTTCATCGTCTCATCCAGGGAGCATGGCCACCCAGGCCTCATGGGTTGATGACATGCTCACCGGAGGGTAGACAGCTCTACATTATCCATGTGGATTTCCCTAGGATCAGGCACTCGAGCTTCACCCTCACATGGTTGGCACATCCATACACTCTCTATAATATCATTTCTTTAATATGTTTCTCTAATTTGGCTACTGCTCTTTTTTTTTTTTTTTTTTTTTTTTTTTGAGATGGAGTCTCACTCTGTCACCCAGGCTGGAGTGCAAATGGCGCGATCTCAGCTCACTGCAAACCTCTGCCTCCAGGGTTCAAGACATTCTCCTGCCTCAGCCTCCCAAGTAGCTGGGATTACAGGTGCCTGCCACCACGCCCGGCTAATTTTTGTATTTTTAGTAGAGATGGGGTTTCATCATGTTGGCCAGGCTGGTCTTGAACTCCTGACCTCAGGTGATCCACCCGCTTTGGCCTCCCAAAATGCTGGGATTACAGGTGTGAGCCACTGCGCCCGGCCTCCTTTTTTTTTTCTTTAGAAAAGTTATTGTTGTCTAAAGTTTTTATTATTGCATATATAGTCATTTTATTATGCATACATAGTCATACATAGCTCCTCATAAAGGAGCTATAGAAAACAAAATTTACAAACTTTTCCCCTAAATACACATTGAAAGAAGCATATCAAAATACAAATAAAAACTGCGTGTTCATGAATCTCATAAAAGAACATCTCCTGCTGCTAGCATGCGTGCAACACTGGCAAGCACTGAAAATGCACAATTTAAAATACACTTTTCCTTTCATAGATGCAGCTTTGTATCTGAAATCTTTCAACACATAGGAGGGAAGAGTAATTAGCAGGGCTCTGCATAGAAACTATTGAAAAACATTGAAAATTACCGTTCTTGTGTTTTGTTTTTAATAATGCGAGCTGGTTTCCATCTCCCCGTCTGCCACCAGGAGCCTTGTGAGCAGGGTCATCTTACTCCAGCAGCAGCTTTATGGGCTGGGTACAGGTGACCTGCCAGTGGGGTGAGGGGGGCACTGTCCTTTTCCAGGCTAAGACCCAGACTCCTGACCCCTTGTGCCATCCCCCTTTGATTTTTCCTAAACTACCTGTCAGGGCAGACTTTCTGCCCCTGTCAAAAGGAGTAGAGGCCCTAGGAAATGAGGAAGCACAGACTGGTTCCAAGGCCATAAAAAAGACTCCAGTGGTCACTACTGCAACTTCCTAAGAGAAGTCATGTGTATGTGCATGCATGTGAGCAGGTATGTGCCTGTGTGTGTGCACACGCATGTGCCTTCACCTGTGGTTATGTGTGTGTATGCATGTGTGTATGTGTGAAGCCACGGAAACCCAGCTCTCTTCCCTGCCTGTAGAACTCCCTGCTCTCTCATTGACCAAGATGGACAGCCACTGCCAGTCCATCTGGAACAAATTCTCCTCATCTCTTTCAGGTTGGCTGTGAAAACAGCTGCAGTCAAACGTGTTTCCAATTGAGCGCTCTTTTTCATCTTCTGTTTAGCTTATCAAACACTGACCCCTTTTGGCCATTACCTTTTGCTGCCTTTTACCATTTACTTTGATCTTCCCTATCAAATGAAAACTTCCCTATCAGTGACTCATCAAATGCTGGATCTCAGAGAGCAGTAGGATTTCCTAAGCATTGTTGCTACTTCTAACTCTATTATTTCTTTTTCCCCTGTTCTGGTCCCCAGCAAGGGGCTACTCCTACAGCAAAAACTTTAGCAAAAGGAATGTTTCTTCATAAAACAATTACCAATGTTTTGCTTCTGTAAGTTTGCTCCCAAGAACTCCCAATTCCACCTTTCCATTCCTCTCCTTCTCTTCTTTCATTGAAACTTCAGGCTGATCAGCATGAACCAACCAGTGGTGTTCTGGCTGTTACATTTTCAGGAATTTGGCAAGCTAGCTGTCAAACACAGCCATTATTCAAATATAAGTCATAAATGTACACATTAATCTATGTTAGAAACAAAGGTAATAAATGCTCAAAACTTAGCACTTCCTAATTATTTCATGACAATTTGATATTATCTGTCCTCTTGAGTTTATGCATTTACATTTACATGGAATGAGGAAAATACTATATAAAGAAGTGTTATTGGAGGCCGGGCATGGTGGCTCATGCCTATAATCCCAGCACTTTGGGAGGCCAAGGCGGGTGGATCACGAGGTCATTAGTTCGAGACCAGCCTGACCAGCATGGTGAAACCTCATCTCTTCAAAAAAATACAAAAATTAGATGGGCGTGGTGGCACATGCTTGTAATCCCAGCTACTCGGGAGGCTGAGGCAGGAGAAGCGCTTGAACAAGGTAGGCAGAGGCTGCAGTGAGCCGAGATTGTGCCACTGCACTCCAGCCTGGGCAACAGAGTGAGACTCCGTTTAAAAAAAAAAAAAAGAAAAAGAAGTGCTATTGGATGTGTGCTCTCAACTCCGTATTCAGTGATGTCAGGTAGCCTGAAATTGGCTATGGTGAGAGTATTTCATACCACAGAATCTGGCAGTCCATATAAATCAAGGTCTTTTTCCTCTAGGGAGCAAGATGTTAAACACTGACCAGCACAGCCCTGGTGAAGGGCTGGCTGCTGTGCCATGAGGGCTGATCTACATAGAAAACTGTCCCCGGCATCTTGCATGGCAATTACCGCTTCGTTCCCATCAAATCATCGTTAGCCTGGGTGCATCGTCTACGCCTGCGGAGACTCCATCTGCACATCTCACCACTCTTCCCACCCCCGCCCACTTTCTGCCTTTTTCACTCCTACTCCATGTCCTAGGAGGCTGACCTCTAAAAATAAAACCACTCAGGGATCCCTTCCCTTCTGGCTCCCATGACGTTTAGCCAAATACCAGATTGAAGGGTAGGAGGGGAGAATTATTAAAATATCATCATTTTGCCATTATCGTGCCTAACAAAATTTGTAATTTTCTAATATAAACATTTCCCTAATCATCTCAAAGATACTGTTTTTCTGTAACTGGTTTGAACCCTCAGAATCCACAGGGTTCACATATAGCATTTGGTTATATTCTTCTATCTCTTTTATTTTTACTTTTTTGTTGTTGTTTGTCTTGCTCTGTCACCCAGGCTGGAGTGCAGTGGCACGATCTCGGCTCACTTCAACCTCCACCTCCCAGGTTCAAGCAATTCTCCTGCCTCAGCCTCCTGAGAAGCTGGGATTACAGGGGTGCATCATCATGCCCGGCTAATTTTTTTGTATTTTTAGTAGAGATGGGGTTTCACCATTTTGATCAGGCTGGTCTCAAACTCCTGACCTCAGGTGATCCACCCGCCTTGGCCTCTCAAAGTGCTGGGATTACAAGCGTAAGCCACCACGTCTGGCCCTTATATCTCTTTTATTCTATTAATAGAAAAAGAAGTGTCTCCCACGTTTTCATGAAATTGGTATTTTTTGAAATACTAAGTCACTTGTCTTATAGAATACCCATATTCTGGATTTATCTGATTGTGTCCTTGAACTGTCATTTAATTTTTTCTTGTATCCTTTGCATTTCCTTTAAACTAGCTGTTAGATCCAGACAAATGAGAAGATCTAGATTTAATGGCTAGGCAAGAATGCTGATGGGGGGTACTCTGTGTTTGTTACTGCATCATACACTGAGTCCTGATGGAGTCCACCTGTATGTAAAATTATTAAAATTTCTGCCTTTTAATTATACTAATTAATTAATAATAAAATATTAATATAAAATATTTTTATATTAAAACATTTCTGAGATGAACAGTGTTATAATTATAAGTGAGTGTTATACAGGGCAAGGCGAGACGATATCTGCCTGTTAGGAATACTGATTGGGCACCAATTTGGAATGACTGTGAGATGCACCATTCTGGAAAGGGCCAAAAGGCAAAGTGAATTTTTAGCCTTGGAACTAAAATCCCCGCTGAGTCCCGCAGTTGACAGTAACTTTTCCTGAGCAGGGAAATCTGTCTGTCCAGCTCTGAATACACAGCTCTTCAGGGGTATGTTCATGGAGAGGTCCCAATCCCATCCTGCTATGAATTATCCACCCAAAGCCCCACGGTGAGCCATGGTCTAAGCAGTGTTCTCAGGGGTGTTCTGTGCTCCAGGGGACACTGAGCAATGTCTGGAGGCATTTTTGGTTATCATGAGTAAGAGCGTGGGTGATACCGGTATTCAGCGGGTGGAGGCTGGGAGGTGATGTTGCTAAACAACCTACAATACACAGGACAGTTCCCCTCACCACCACACTAACTAAGAATTATCTGGCCCCAGATACGGACAGTACTGAGGTTGAGAAACTCTGTTCCAAGGCAGGGTAAGCAGAGCTCAGCAGAGTGAGTGGGGCGAGCAGGAGACACCGCTGTGTGATCAGCAGAATAGCCCAGCCGCGCTCCCCAAAAACACTGTCCACGCATCTGCTGCTCTGAGATTATGACGCTGTGAGCCTACATGAACACACAGTGAAGAATTTTTATGAGCTTGCCTTACCTATTTCAGAATGTAGACTGGCACGATGCTAATTTAATTATGGGAGAATAAACCATCAGGAGGAGAGATCGTGCTGTGGTCCAGGAGAGTTTCAAAGCAAAGCCCACAATGCGTGAGGGCACAAAATTCCGCAGATGAGACTCCCCTAGTGATCTGAGTCTGGAGGCTGGCCAACGGAAGACAAAACCAAGTCTTTTTTGCTGCCCTAACTTACCAGGTTCTTGTGGAAGTGGGGATGTAGCCCTGAAGTCAGCGCTCTGCTATGTTTGTGAGTATGTCCAATCGTAACAACGATAGCAACAGCTGACATTTCTCATTAATATTGCCAGTATCAGCCAGGCTCTCTTCTAAGTGTTTTCCTTGAATTACTTTTTAAAAAATCTCCTAGCAGCTTCATTGAGTGGATTCTTTTGCTATGCTTCTTTTTTAAACAGATGAGAAAAAAGAAACCACAAGCACAGAATGGTTAAGAAACTTGCTCAAGATCACATAGGAGTAAACAGTTAGGAAAGAGTGAGTGGTTGATCCCTGCACTCTGACTACAGAGTTAGAAGAAACCTAGGCAAGTGTTGGCTTGAAAATATTGCCCTGATGCCATGCTTTTTTCCACTATGGTAGGGGAAATGGTATGGATGTAACACACACACACACACACACACACACATACATGCACATTCACGTACATGCACGTTCACATACACAAACACCCCACTGCTAACTTGATGGGAACCAGACTTCTCTTTGGTCAAGAGTTACTGCTGCAAAAGAGTGTATTAATAATAAAACCCCAAAAGGGCAAAAGAGCCCATCCATCAATCCTTAATGGCTCCTTAAGTAACTTCTAACTTCTTACAGGTAACTGCGGCTTCCTTGAGAGACTCAGTGGCCAGGCACGGAGGAGCTTTGGCAGGGGGAAGATGACTTCAGCGCAGCTGCCCTATCAATACTTGATGAGGCTGACCTACTAACTCACCCCTCAAGGAGCCCTGGTCTCTCACTAGTGTTGCTTTCCCCAGCAAGTATGTAAAAACTCCTTCGTAAAAAAACAGCTACGCATGAGATAATAGCACCGGACTCCTGGCTGGGGGTGGCATCACATCCTGGCCACTTTCTTGACCCCACTCCCAGTGCCCCAGGAATTCATCTTTCTTTTGTTCTTGTCATGTTGGGGTGCAATTCTGGACACAGCGACCATCCATGGTTGCTTTCCAATTCTTGCACAAAGTTCCCTGAATTTCTTTCTTAACAGCAGCAGAATGTCCTCTGGAAGGTAACCAAGAGAGACTTCATGAGGATGCACGGGCTGAAACGGATCTTCCTAGCTTGCCAGGGAGTCAGGCAGTGAGGTGCATGGATTACAAGTGTATACTTTGAGGCCCACCTGCCTGGGCTCACAGCTCACTGCCACTGTCTAGGTGTTTTCTATTCTTGTTTATTCCTTAAGGCCCTGCATGATCTGTTCCCCATGCTGTTGCTCCCACCTGCCTCTCTGGCCTCATTTTGCAGTCCTCATTCACGATAATCCAGTCCAGGCTCTGTACTGCTGCTCCTGCCTCTGAGCCTTGTTCTCACTGTTCCCTCCTCCAGAATGCCTTTCCCCCAGGTATCTGCACGGCTGGTGTCTTCACTCTTCTCCTTCTCCACTCAAATCCCACCTTAGGGAGGCTCATATCAAGTGGGATTTGCCTTATCTTCTCTATCTTTTATTTGACTTTATTTTTCTCCATAGCCTTTATCACTCTCTGACATATACAGTTAATACTTTTTGTTGATGTGTCTCCCCAACTAAAATCTAAACTTCATCTGCGGAAGGATGCTATAGTCGGAATGTTTGCATCATCCCCAACTCATGTGTTGAAATCCTAACTCCCAAGGTGTTGGCTTTAGGAGGTGGGGCCTTTTGGGAGGTGATTAGGTCCCCAGGGTGGAACCCTCATGAATGGGAAGGGTGCCCTTATAATAGAGACTAAGGGAGCCTCATCCACTCCACCTCGTGAAGACACAGAGAAGGCAGCCCCTACAAACCAGGAAGGTACCTTCACTGGACTCTAAAGCTGCAGGTGGCTTGATCTTGAACTTTCCAGTCTCCAGAACTCTGAGAAATTAAATTCTGTTGTCTATAAGCCACCCAGCCTATGGTGTTTTCTTACAGCAGCCCTAAGGGACTAAGACAAAGGACTTTGCCTTCTTTGTCCATTGCAATATTTCTGGCATCTAGAAGAGCTCCTGGCACATGGCACACACTCAAAATATTTGTTGGTTAATTTCAATAACTATTTACTTACCAGGTGACTTCCCTGTGACTGACCCTGAACTTGGTTTCTGAAATATGGAGATAAGGCCCAGAGACATTCCTGCAGAGAGCACATTCTGTGGCATTCATGTCTCTTTTCTGCTCCCAATGTGGTAGCCCGTGGAGGTCGTGCCATTGTCTGCCATCTGGGATTGTGAGCTCTATAAGGCAAGGGTCATATGTATGTGGTTCTCCAGGTATGAAGACAAATTCAGGCCTCTTTGATGCCAGGGGCACTTCATGTGACATCAGCAGCCAATTGCACTGCTGCACCCAAGGCAGGCCAGGAGTTGCAGGTATTTCTCCAGAAGGCTAACACATCCCCAGGGCTAACAGCTCAGCTCATATGTGAGCACCCTCTCAGGAACCTGGGGCACGGAGAGGCTGAGTCACTTCCAGCTTGACAGGGGTAAGGCCGATGGGTTCTAGAAGCTTCACTCTTAATTCTTGCATTGCAATAGATCATACACCTCTCAGAAGGGCGTGTGCAAAACTCAGATCAGCCCTGTGTGCCACTGACACAGAGCACATGGTGTTACTATTAACACCTTGGGCTTCAAAAGTCAGCTCAAGAGATACTTTAAAAAGCAAGACATTTAATTATTCCAAAGAACAGGATGTATGGAGGTTGGCAGGTGTGAGGTTGATCTCTCATTGTGTCAGGGGAGTTGCTATAGCTATTAACATTATATTCTTTTACCACCATTCAAAGGAGGGAGAGAGAGAGAGAGAGAAAGAGAGAGAGAGAGAGAGAGAGAGAAGTGCAAAGGATTTCTCTTCAAAGGGCTTTGTTCCTGAAACACATCAGAAAACTTCCCTTTATGGCTCATGGGCCAGAAAACCACCCAAGCTAGAATAGAGTGCTTGGAAAGGCCTTGCCTATCACAACAGATTGGAATTAGACCAATCATGATTCATCCTCTGAGACTCCAGGAAGGCCCACCTTCCTGAGACCAGGGCACCTCCACCTGCAATCTAACAGCATCAGGCTTCTCTTAGAGGTATAGAAGGTGGGAGGCTACTGGGCATTGAGCCAGTCCTCTCAAGGGTCTGCCTCATCCGTTATCCTGGCGGGATCCTTCCAGATCAAGCTTCAACAACTGCTACAGTGGGCAGTGACTAGGGAAGGAGAGTCTTCTATCCCACTCCTCAGAGGAGGGCATTTCCGTATTCACAGAGCACCCTGGGCAAAGCAGGGATAAGAAAGCATCAGGCAGGCATCAGGGAAGATCATAGTTCTCAGCTGAGTGGACGGCTGGCATTTATACCCTAAGTCCGTCCACATCTTTACAGAGAACTGACAGGTTACCTACAGGGAGACATGGCGTTTCCACCTGTGCCCTTTCTGTAAGTAAAGAAGGAAATGAGAGCAGAGAAACCCATCGATCCCAAAGCCTGCTTCAGAAGCACATTTCAACCTGGAATCTCACCGCAAGCTTCTCACGGTGGAATTTTAATGAGTAGGCTTGTTTTCTCCCAATTCACAAATTACTGTTTGTAGCTTCCTGTTTGATGAATTCTACCCTGGAGTTTGCCTTCCAGGTTTAGAATTATATTCTTAGTTGAAAAAAAAGGTGAACAACAGGAGAAAGAAGTAATACCCAGGGCCATAAATGACAGCCTGTCCATGAGCTATGTAGGGCTAAAGCCAGCAGGGGAAGGGCTCTCTGCAGAAAAGCCATGTGATGGCAAGGGACAGCTCCTGGGGCTTATTCACATCAAACGGCAGCACTTGGGTCCTGGTGAGATGGTTTATGCCACCGTTAGTGTTTTGAATGCACACTCCCAATGCCATCGTGTTACATGCTGACTAGGATTGTATGCTACACATTCCCCAATTTTTTCCAAAGGGTACCCCATAGATCAAGGATTCAGTTGCCCTGGACTCTACAATAGCTCTCTTCCTTTCTAATAACAGAATCCCACCTTAAGCCAAGGAACCCAGTCTATGTTGTTGTAGTACAGAGAAATGGGAATGACTCAAAAGAATCACATCACCCTGGCCACGGAAATTGGTTCAGAAATGCACCACGACTCAAGCTTTTTTTTTTTTTTTTTTTTTTTTTGAGATGGCGTCTTGCTCTGTTGCCCAGGCTGGAGTGCAGTGGCACAATCCTGGCTCACTGCAGCCTTGACCTGCAGGGCTGAAGCAATCCTCCCACCTCAGCCTCCTGAGTGGCTGGGACTACAGGTGTGTGCCACCACACCTGACTAATTTTTTTTTATTATTATTTGTAGAGACAGGGTCTCTTTTTTTTTTTTTTTTTCCTGGGCTTGTCTGTAATTCCTGGGCTCAAGCAATCCTCCTCCCTCGGCCTCTCAAAGTGCTGGGATTACAGATGTGAGCCATCATGCCAGGCTCAATCAGAGGTTTTGTTTTGTTTATTTTTTTACAGATTTTTCTGACATGGTAATAGGGAAAGAACATCCCTTTTCAAGGGTCATTAAACAAGGAGGTTGTGAGTCTATGCTGCTGGTGACATCTGGTCTACCTTGTGGAATGTTCGTGAGAAATGGAGAGAAAGATAGACCCTTGGCAACACCATTCAAACTCCTGGGTCCAGCTCTGCTTGAATCTAGTTCTGTCTCCAGATTTTTTCAGCTCAAAGAGAAAATTAGTTTTCTTTTTAAAAAACAAAGTGGTAAAATACACATAACATAAAATGTAGCATCTTAAGCATTTTTAAGCATACAGTTGAGTGGCATTAAGCATCGGCACAGTATTGCAAGACCATCATCACCATCCATCTCCAGAATCTTTTCTTCTTCTCAAAATGAAACTCTGCACCCATTAAACACTACCAGTCCATTCTCCACTCCTCCCATTCCTTGACAACCACCATTCTGCTTTCTGTCTCTATGAATTCGACTACTGGAGACATCTCATGTAAGCGGAACCCTACAGTATTTGTTCTTGTGTGACTGACTGTCTTATTTCACTTAGCACGGTGTTCGCAGGGTTCATCCATGTTGTAATGTGAGTCAGAATTTCCTTCCTTTTTATGGCTGAATAATATTCCATTGTATATCTATACCCCATTCCGCTTATCCATTCATCTGTTTATAGGCACTTGGCTTGCTTTTACCGTCTGACTGTTGTAAACACTGCTGCTATAAACATGGTTGTGTAACTATCTCTTTGAGTTCTGCTTTCAATTCTTCTGTGTATATACCCAGAAGTGAAACTGATGGATCATTCAATTTCCTTTTGTTTTTTCTTTAACAGTCTGGGTTAGGGTTCTGCTGCCTGCAACCAAGAGTAGCCTATTTAATACCAAGGACACCTTCGGCATCAATGCTAATAATAATAATAGAATATTCTCAAACAAAGACTTGGCCCAGCTTGCTTGTGGCCACATCTCAGTAATCATTTTGGATAGACATGAAACAAATCAAACCTCATTCAATATTTCTTAAATGGAGGGGCACTTCTAAAACTTCAGAAACTCTTTTGATTGCTCTGTCTGCCAAATTAATTAAAAACAAGATATCGCCACGTAAATGTGGGAAAACAAAGCATTCACTAACCAATGATGAAGGTTGGCTAGGGATTGAACATAACCACCTTCTGAATCTGAGCTCCAATGGAAAATGAAAATAAAATAACACAACCAAGCAATGCCAAGAAGAGACTGATAGAAAATGTACAGTCTAGGGACAACTGCAGAGAAGGCAGAGTGCCGGGCTAGCAATCTGGAAAGCCTTTGATGGAGGAGGCTGTGCCTGAGTCTGATTCTGCCATGAGTAACTCTAGACACCAACTGCATGTATGAAAATGGAATCGTGTGGCTCCTCAAATACCCACAGGCCTCTGAGGGTAGCACCTGAGTGCAGCAGCAGCTTCCTGCTTGATGTGTGCGCGGCTAATTGTTATGACAAGATGTTACAAGGGTACGTCCAAAATAGCTACAGGGAACATACACCCCAGCGTTCTTGAGATAGCATGGGGTTCGGAATTTCTCCTCTGTTTTCTGGCCGTGTGTCAAGGCGTGGTGTCCCAAGTTTAGGTCTGGAAAATACAGTCCTTACGGTAGCAGCAACACACAGCTCAGCTCCGACCAGGGAATCACTGAACAAAGACCTCATGTATTTAGCTACATGTGAGGACAATAATGAGACTGAGTGAATTATTTCTACAGTAATCTTTACCTCCCTGGCCAAGCAGTACAGGAGTGAAGCACATAATTTTGAACAAGAAGCCGTTGATAGGGATTTTTACATACAATATTCTTATTTAAAATGTTTGTAAGGACTTTAAATATTTTTTAAAAATTGTGGAAAAACAAAACAAAATATATCTGAGTACCAGATTCCGCTCTTGAGCTATGATTTGTAACTTCTGCCTTCTCAGGACAGGCTACAGAATTTCCACAAACAAGGGAAATCTAGCCAAGTTCAGGTCAGTAATCTGGTAGAGTAGATATTGCTAGTTTTCTAACCAAATCAAGGATGGATTTGTCTCTAACATTTAGCATCTAGTTAGTCCTGTATAATCTGTTAAAATTATTAAGAATATATGTGCATATTAGTTAGGGTATAGTAATCTACTGTAACAAAGACATTCAAAAACACTTGCTTTAATAATATGTGTGTTCCCACCGGGGCCTGTTGGGGGGTGGGGGGCTGGGGGCTGGGGGAGGGATAGCATTAGGAGGAATACCTAATGTAAATGATGAGTTGATGGGTGCAGCAAACCAACGTGACACATGTATACCTAGAACTTAAAGTGTATACACACACACACACACACACACACACATATATATATATACACATATATACAGAAGCACAGATGTCATCTCAGAAGCCACTTCCTGACCAGCATATATAACAATATGTGTGTTCCCTTCTGTCTCTTAGAACAGAGATAATCACTTTGAGGATGGTGGAGCTGCTCTCCAACTTTCATGCCAGTGGTTCTCAACAGGGGGGATTTTTATCTTGCAGTGAATATCTGGCAATGTCTGGAGATATTTTTGATGATCAGTGTAAGAATTAAAGAAAGAGGAGAGAAACGCGAAGGGTGGCTTGACAGTTAGCAGGTTTATTTTAAACCTGGGAGTGCACCTTAATAAGCACATTCCTTTCCTTTCAGGTGCACTAAGATAGGGAAGCTAGAGGCAGACTCAGGGGATGTTCCTGCAGCTGCAAAGAAAACACACGGGAACAAACACACAACATGGGAGCAAACACACAACTCTCCCTCCCAGAGAAGCACAACAAAGAGACACAGAAGCAGTCCAAGCCTCTAATAAACTCTCCCACCCTAAATCCTTAAAAACTCTTAGTCTGTAAAAGACCTAACTAGGTCAGAAGTCTCTCCCAGGTTTAAAATAAACCTGTTAACTGTCAAGCCACCCTTTGTGTTTCTCTCCTCTTGCTTTAATTCTTACAATCACAACTGGGGAATGTGCTACTTGCATTTTAGTGGGTAGAGTCCACAGATGCTGCTGGATACCTTATGATGCACAGGACAGTCCCCTCCAACAAAGAATGATCTTGTTCTAAAATGTCAGCAGTGTTGAGGCTAAGAAATTCTGTGGTATACATATCTTCCATCTCTGGGTCTAAGGTGGCTGCTGCAGTGACTGCCATTACATCTGTCTCCCAGCCAGTGGAAGGGTGAACCAAGGGTTCATATTTATACCTTTTCAGGACATAATCTGATAAAAGAAACACATCTCTTTTGCTCACATCCATTCAAAGGGAAACACAATCTTTGTCCTGGGTAGTCCTGGGCCCAGCTAAAATCCAAAATCTCTGCATTGTCAAAAAAGAAAGAAGAAAACGTTGGTAGACATCTATAGTCTCTGACACACTGACCAAGAGCATGCAGGGGTGATACGTGGACTGCTGAGCGAGGGCTCTGAGCTGGTCAGGAGGTGCCTTCTGAGATGACATCTGTGCTTCTGAGAGCACTGAAGAGGGGAAAGGGTGTCTGGGGGAACCCAGCATGTGCCTTTGCAAGTCACTTTAAAGTTGGCGAGGGCAGAGGGTGACGGTCATTCCTCTGAGAGTTTAAACAGATCATGATCAAATTAAATGATATGAGAGGGGCTTAAGTCCTAGAGATTTAATCATAAACAGAGTCTGAGGAAGAAAACCAATGAGCTTGAAATAACATGTGTTTTAGGTGGTTACTGAAAGTAACCAGGGGCAAGACATTGAAAACAAAGAGGGGCAGAGACCTAGCAGAAGTCAGGGCCGCACAGGCAACATCGGAGGAGGTTTCTGGACCTTACAGTAGAGGCTTGGCAGGGCAGACTCTCGAGGGGTCTCACTAACTGCCAACCCCTCATTCTTCCTTGTCAATAGTCCCAGATTTTGACTGGCCAAGGACTTCTAGCGAGGTTGGCCTCTTTCCCCAGCCCTAGGGGAAAAAGTATTAATGAGAATACAACAGACTTGTAATTCCATTTCCCTTACCAGTGATGGATTTAGAAATAAACATGGATTTCAGTTTTGGCCAGTAATAAGGAAGGCTTAGTCCGTGGGGCTGTAAGATTCTGGAAATAATTTCCTTGACCTTAAAGGACATAAGGAAGGGCCATTTTTTCCTTTAGCCTGGACACATGCCTTGTAAAGATTTGATGAATGCAGCTGTAGAAGCCATCTTAAGACTTTGAAGGGACAAATATAGGGACAATGTCTAGCACAGCAGCCTTCACTGTAAGGATGAAAACTGGATGCAACTTATCGTGGTTCATTCAGGACAGTCCTAGTTTACACTTGCTGTCTTGGAATAATTATTACTAACACATTCTTTCACTCTGAAAAATTCCCAGTTTGGATAATAAAATGTGGTCACCTTCTCAACAGGGAATGGCTACCTTATCCATAGTTTGTCTGGAATTCTCTGCAGCAGTAAAGAAGAATGAGGCAGAAGAGGTATCTGTACTAATGTGGAAAGTTCTCCAGGATGTACTGATGAGGGGAAAATTAAGTAATGCAAAGTGATGTGAAATACTGTATCTTCTATGTTTAACACCCCCACACAAATACTAAACATTTATCACTTTAAGTATAACATGTAAATTATACATAATAATATAAAATCCTTAGAGTCCACTCTCTCCACACCAAATACCCTTCTAAGTTCTGTAAATATATTGACACATTTAATACACATTTAACACAAAGGCAGGGGGTGGTACTATTATTCCCACGTGACAGAATGAGAAATAGACACAAAGGATTATGTAAATTGCCCAAGTTCCTGCACGGCTAGTAAGTGTCTAAGCTGGAATTCAAACCATGCAGTCTTTTGCCTTTTGCTTCTGAAATAAGGGTGTGTCCCTGTGCATACACACACACACACACACCACACACACACACGCACACACATGCACACACACACACATTCACACACCAATAGATAATTCAAGGGGATAGGGTAGGCGGTTTAGATTGAAGCTGAAGATCAAAAGAAGTATTACTTTTATATGGAATGCTTTTAAAAATTTACAAAAGGTATCTTCATGAAATGTTTGCATAATTAAAATACAGTAATTACTTTTTAGATCCAGTGAAAAGAGGAGGAAAGGTCTCATCATGGACCCTACGTGTGGCATCAGGTCCCGTTCTGTTGTCCGGGTACCTTCTTCCTTCTGAACTACAACAACCCTCAGTCTCTAAGAACGAGGATGCCAAACCAGCAAGCCACAGGGCAAGTGATGATGGCATGGATACCTGTGTTCCAAGGACGCCGCCTGAACTTTCCATCTTTTCCTCCCTTCCGAAGCTATTGTTGATAAAACTCGTGGGTTAATTGCAAAACAACTCCAGACAAAAATAAAAGACTCCTAGAATATATATCTAGGTGCTTTCTATTTCCATCTCATTAATTGTCCACACATTATTTCATTTTCTGCACAAATAAATCAGTGGCCCAGAAAATGCAAGCTTTATCCACCAGGGCCCAGAAAGCGCAGGGCCGAGCCCTAGAGCCTTCAGCATATATTTGTTTGTGCCACATAAGATGTCGATTCTAATAAAAGAGAAAAGGCTGGAGCTTAACCATGCTTTCCCCTAAGGGTGAAGACTTCTGCTATACCTGAATTTCAATGCTCTTTGCTGAAACTTTCAATGCAACATAATCCTGAGGTTCCTGGCTCTACAGGTCTATTCTGGTCTTTGAGGCTAAGCTCATTTAGCAGCTGACATGTCCCCTTTTGGATCTGTCTGAGGCCTTCCTCCCCGGCATTACACGAAGATTTGCAGAAAGAGCTCAATCCCATGAAGAGCAGCTCCATCCTGGCTCATCTACCCTCCTAGCTCCAAATCTCATTTCCATAAAACTACCTTCACCAAAGACAGGACATGGCTGCTGGGTAAAGCTTGGAGAATTTTACCAATAACAACGTCTGCAATGTTTACATTAATGATACCCCCAAATTTATTATGAAAAGTTCCAATACACAGAGAAGTTAAAACTGTACAGTGAACACCCATAGACCTACCACCTAGAGTCTATAATTAGCATTTTGTTATACTTGCTGTATCATATACCTATTCACTTCTCCATCCATCTGTCCATCCATGGATCAATCTTATTTTTGGATGCATTTCAAAGTGTTAAAGTATAAATCACCCCTAAAGACTTTAGCATGCAAATTATTAACTTGAGTTTGTTGTTGTTGTTGTTGAGATGGTGTCTCACTCTGTTGCCCAGGCTGAAGTGCAGTGGTGTGATCTCGGCTCACTGCAAACTTCGCCTCCTGGGTCCAAGTGATTCCTCCACCTCAGCCTCCCGAGTAGCTGGGATTACAGGCGTGTCACCCTGCCTGGCTAATTTTTTGTATATTTGTTTGTTTATTTATTTATTTATTTATTTATTTATTTATTTGTTGAGACGGAGTCTTGCTTTGTCACTCAGGCTGGAGTGCCGTGGTGTGATCTCGCCTCACTGCAACCTTTGCCTCCTGGGTTCAAGCGATTCTCCTGCCCCAGACTCATGAGTAGCTGCGATTACAGGCACACGCCACCACACCTGGCTAATTTTTTTTTTTTTTTGTATTTTTAGCAGAGACAGGTGTCACTGTGTTGGCCAGGCTGGTTTCAAATTCCTGACGTCAAGTGATCCGCCTGCCTCAGCCTCCAAAATTGTTGGTATTACAGGCGTGAGCCACCATGCCCGGCAAGTTCAATCTTTACAAAATTGTTTTAGAAACAGGGTCTCACTCTGTTGCCCAGGGTGGAATACAGTGGCATGATCATAGCTCATTGTAACCTTGAACCCCGGAGTTCAAGCCATCCCCCTGCCTCAGCCTCCCAAATAGCTGGAACTACAGGAATGTACCACCACACCTGGCTAATTTAAAAATTTTTTTTGTAGAGGTGGAGTCTTGCTATGTTGTCCAGCCTGGTCTTGAACTTCTGGCCTCAAGCGATCCTCCCACCTTGGCTTCACAAAGTGTAGGGATTATAGGTGTGAGCCACCATGTCTGACTCAATCTTTTTTTTAAGGTTTTTTTTTTCCCTCCTTTGGAGGTAAAATTTGCATACAATAAAATGTAAAAGTTGTGACAGCACCCTAAACTCCTATCACGGCACCGAACATAACCATCAGCCCAGAAAGCTCCCTCTTCCTTGCTTCCCAGTCCCTCCCAGCCCCAATCCTAGAGCCATCCTGTGTCCTGATGTTCTTCCACCATGAATTAAGTTGCCCGCTATGGAACGCCTCGGACGTGGAATCACACAGTGCTTAGTCCTTGGTGCATGCCTGCTTGACCCAGCCTAACGCACGTGAGAGCTGCCATGTCGTGCTCACACCAATTGTCCCATCGGAAGAATGTTCCACAGGTTTATCCAGCCTCCCGTGGATGGGCACTCTCACTGTGTCTCGTGTTTGGCTCCTATGGATAAAGGTGTTATGAGTATTTTCCTGAAGTTTTTTTGTGGGTACTTAGTGTTTATTTTATTATTTTTTAAATCCAGTGAAAAGAGGAGGAAGGGTCTCAGTGCGGACCCTACTTGTTGTGGCATCAGGCCTCGTTCTGTCGTCCAGGTTCCTCCTTCCTTCTGAATGGAAACACCACTCAGTTTCTAAGTACAAGGACCTCAAACCAGCGAACCACAGGGCGGGTGATGCTGGCACGGACATGGGCCCGACGTGCCTGTGTATCATCCTATAATCCTGTATCCTGTGGATCCTATAATATACCCTTGCATTATCCTCTAATAACACACACGTTGGGCTGTATTTCTTCTTTAAAATGTTATCAAAGATACTTTTTTTTTTTTTTGAGACGGAGTCTCGCTCTGTCGTCCACGCTGGAGTGCAGTGGCACCATCTCGGCTCACTGCAAACTCCGCCTCCCGGGTTCACGCCATTCTCCTGCCTCAGCCTCCCAAGTAGCTGGGACTACAGGCACCCGCCACCATGCCCAGCTAATTTTTTTTGTATTTTTAGTAGAGACGGGGTTTTACTGTGTTAGCCAGGACGGTCTCGATATCCTGACCTCGTGATCCACCCGCCTCGGCCTCCCAAAGTGCTGGGATTACAGGCGTGAGCCACTGTGCCGAGCCAAAGATACTTTCAACTGCAAATAAAAGAAAACAGAATCAATGGTGGCTAGAGCATTCACTTTTTGTTAAACAGAAGCCCAAAAGTAGGTGATCCCACCGTTAGTTCAGCTGCTTAGCATTTCAAGGACAGAGGTGCGTCCAGTTCTTGTATTTGGCCATCCTCACTGGCTTTTGCACCTCGGCTAGAGTACTCATGCTCACAGAAAGGCTGCCGCAGCTCCTGCTATCACATCCTCCCATTATTACGGGTAAATGCAGGTCACACGGGTGCAGACCTGTCAATGCAGGAGAGCTATCTGTGTGTACCTCTCTCTTTATGCATCTATCAGAAGTCCCCAGTGTATTTGAATGGCTAGAAACAGGTTACACGGCTACCTCCAGCATGTAGGGGAGAACGTGATTCATGATGGCTGCTGGTTAGCTGACCGATGAAGTCCACTATGAAAGATTATTCGATTTTAACCAGGAACTTGTCCAATATGCTAGGGATCGAGTTATCTCCATGGTAAGCCTTATACAACTTTGCTTTATCCGTGTCCAGACTCTTAGCATTGTAGACACCATAAGTAGTTTTGCCTCAAGGAAGTTATTTACTGTGTTTTATTGTTCGGGGACTCAGGATCAACAGCCAATAGTCTGCTCACTGTATTTACAGGTTTCATTTATTTGTTAGTTGTCTGAGTTTCCTCACTAGAATGTAGAGCTGGGAATGTTGTCTGCTGTGTTCACTACTACACCTCCAGTTTCCAGTGCCTAAGACAGCTCAGTAAATACGTGTCAAATGAGTGGCAAATCTGTGCCATCTGTGGTCAAGGTCAAGGTGAATGCCTCGTCTTTGCAAGGGTGTAGAGAGAATTCTCACTCTTGGGTTCCATTATGGTCACTTCTTGCTGTTCACAGAGGTCTCCGTCACAGCTGATAAACAACATATCAACTCTTCTTTAGGGTGAAGACTTTGCATCTGGGGTCAAATCAGAACTTTGGAAGTCCCAAACACTGAACAAATTGCGTCGCCCCCGCACCCCGCCTGCCACCACCACCTCCCACCACATTCCAGACATATGAACATCAGAATAAAAAGAGATAATGAAATAAATGTAAGAAAGTCCAGTATCTGGCCTTGGGCAAATTACTCACTCTCTATGATTCAATTTCTTTATTTTAAAGTGGAGAGAATAATAGCACCTGTGTTTAGCTGTGTTAGGAAGACTGAAGGAGACCGTATCGGGAAGGTGCTTAGCACAGAGTGTGAGCTCTCTGAGTGCTTGCTAAGTAGAAAGAGAAACATGTTTCCCTCCAAGCTTACTGCTTTGAGTTCTTTTGAACTATCCACTTACAAAATTCTTTCATAAATGTTTCTGGTGTTTGGGCTTCAGGGGTGCCGCCAACTTGGATTGTGATGCTTTCTTTAGCATTGTAAGTACAGCACTTTTGTTCACAAGAAAGGGATTTGATTCCTCGGGGAGCTGGACAGGCTGCTGGGATTTCTGACTACCCTGCTGTGCAGTAATTCCGCCTGGCAAGCATTGGAGCCTCAAAACACAAGGAATGGCAAAGCTAACTCAGACCAGCCAAGAGGCGATGCCACCCTCCCTACGGTCTGTCTTGTTGCAGGTTCAGCTATTCTTGGAGGCTGGGGCTGCCTGTCCTTGGAACAGGCTCCGTCTTGATCACTTTTTGGTCAGCTGCAAGGAGGCCTGGATAATTCTGTATCCTGGACCATACCCTGCTGATCGTGCATGTGAGGACTTTGCCAGACACTTTGTCTGAAAGTATTTGTTCAATTAAAGGAAAAGTCCTCATAGCCCCTAGACAATTCTTCAGTAAAAAGAAATCTCTCTAGTGCCTACATCTCATTTTTATACCTGACATCTTTCCTAATCAGCTTTCCCCCTCTTCTCAAGGAGCAAAATCTCCATTTTAATTGCAGATGTCACAGTTAAGCCTGAAAGAGCCAGGATGCTTTCCCTCTCACGCACATCTCACTGCTTGTTAACTAAGTAAAAGATCGTCCAAGATGGGAGGGCCCCATGGCTAAGACTCTGCCAGAAGGCAAGAAGTGTCCCTGCAGAAAGCGTCCACTGTGGATTATTCCTTTCTCCCTGACGAGGGCAGGGCAAAGGAATTAAGACTGGTTTCTGTGTTAGAGTACGTAATGAGATTATATCTCGGCATATTAACCAAGGTGATTTTCATTCCTGGCACAGCTTGTCTCCTGACTCTTCCCCTATACTTGGGGGCTGGAGGAGGGGGAGGCAGAGGAGGTTATTCCATACTGACACCCCGCAGCCATGGACCTTCCCACTTCAGGATGTTTCTGCTTGATGTGCCCGAAGCAGTCCTTCCCCTGTGAGCAGGTGGCTCCCTCCCTTCCTTCAAGCAGATCTCTGTATCATGTCCCCTCCCCAGAGGGTCCATTCTGGCAACTGCATCTAACCCTGCTCCCCTCTGCTTTCTTCTGTCTTCCCCTCTTCTGAGCTGCTTCTCCTCACAGCACCTCTCCCTCCCGGCATATCATCCATCCAAACAGTGTCACGTGCTTCCCCCACCGGAAGGTCAGCTTTACACGGACAGCGGTGTTGCTGTACCCCCTGGCTGAGATCTATGTTCCATATATACGTCTGTCGCATGAACTCAGATTGAGAGCGTGGAAAGTCACACATTCTTGGCTTTAAATTTTCTTGTTTTGTGTGTGTGGCTTCAAGTTTTCAAAAAGCGAGGTGTGGGAAATCCAAAAGTTGCACCAAACACACCTTCTCGCTGCAGTGTGGGGAACAGGCTCTCTCTCATGTTGGTGGGTGCGGAACAGTGCCACTTCACAGCGGCAAATTCAACAAAGTCCTTCCAAATGACAGACAATTTTTCCCTGTGATCCAGCAGCTCTCCTCTGCCTACTTGCAGAGCTTTACAGAATTTACCCCACAGCTAACTCTACCCATACCCAACAGCATATCCACAAGGCTATCTGTTGAAGCATTACTTCAAACATGTTTTGGAAGCATTCTTTTTAATAACAGACATTTGGGAAACACCCAGGTTCTCTTGCCTGGTGAAATAGATTCTGGAAGCTCTACTCGGTGGAATACTATGTGGCAATGAAAAAGCTGAGAGAATGGATATACTGATATGGAAAAAACTCCAGGACATATTGTTAGGGGGAAAATGGAGCAAAACAGGACATACAGAGTGGTTACTTTTGCACAAGAAAAGAGGTAAAAACAAGAAAATATTATCATACTTGCTTATATTTGTATAAAGAAAGATTAGAAGGAGATACAAGAAACAAATGCAAGTGGCTCTTCCAGGAGCAGGTGCACGGGGATGTGGGGGTGGGCGCTGAGATGGAGAGGCCCAGGAAGGGAAGCAAGGCGTCTCTTTGTCTATCTTTTTAATTGTTATGATTTTTGAGCTTTATTTTGCTTTCTAAGGAATAATGACATACCTTAAAAAGAAAAAGAAAAAAAAAACTGGCAGTGCGGTAGGAAAGTGCCTGTGGCCGACAGGGGCGGAGCTCGAGGGGCCTTGGGTTGTGCTTGGACCGACACAGCAGCCCTTGGGAGTGTCAGGCCAGAGAGGGACTGGGCCTGAGGTGGTCTTGGCAGATACAACCATATGGGGACAGTGACCCAAAGGACAGGTGCACCAGCCTCTAGGCTCCTGAAAGGCAGCTCTGAGCCTGCAGGAGTATCTTTGTTCACTAGGAGGCCCTGGGCCAGCCAGACTGTAGCAGTAGGATGCAGAGTGGGGCCTCTGCTCCTCACCAACATTGCACCTTGGGGTGGGGTGCGGGCCATACACTATCCACTCCACCTCCTGGGGCTGGGGACAGAGGTCAGCTGTGTAGAATATCCACCACACTTAGGTGGTGGGGCCCCAGGAGAGACAGGACCCCAAGGTTCAGGTGAGCATCTCGTTGTAATGCTCCAGGTGTGTTGTGATACAAGGCCAGGAAAGTGACACTGTCTGTGGCTCCACAGGGCAAGACACCCAGAAGCCCTGCATTTGGTGTCGTCTTGGACTCTGCCCCACATGCTTCTTCCCTTAGATGGCTTCAATCTATGTCCCTCTTAGTAAGGAACTGGAACCAGGGATACGACAGTTTTTGGTGAGTTCTGTGAATCCCTCTATGGAGAACTGTCAAACCTAACGATGGTTTGGGAACTCCCTAAACTTGAAATGGTGTCAGAAGTGAGAGTGGTTTTGTTGATTGCTCCCTAACTTCTCACTCCTTCCCCAGAATGTCAGCTACCCAGGGCTTAATAAGTGTCTGGTTTATGGAAGGTGCCTGAAAATACCTGCTGGCCGAATGACAGCAGCTGCATTCATGGGTGGGGGCTGCAGACAGTGCAGAGGTGTACTCCAGACAGAGCTCCTACTTGGGACTGCAGCGTGGCTGAATCCAGGTACTTTCTCGACTCATCCACAAATCAATTGCAGAAATCCCTGGGCCCACCCAAATGCCAGGGCCAGCCCTGCATGCCTGCTCTTTCCATGGTGCACCCAACCACTCCATGCCTGCCAGCTCATCAAGGAGGAGGTCCTCCAGCAGGACCTGGAAGGGAACAGCTATCAGCCAGGAGAAATGTAACATGGAGTTACTGGAAAGCAACGTGGACATCGGTGGGTGAGCGGCACACAGCATCGCATTGCAGGCCATCTCCAGTCTGGGAAGCAATGAGCAGCAGGCATAGGGCACTAAGAGAAGGTTCCATCTGCCACTCGCCAGGCGAGGCTGCCCTGTGATCCACGCCCATCTGAGGTGCTTCCCCTCCCAGCATCCCAGAGCCTGCCAAGGGCCTTTGATCCTGCCTGGGGAAGCCCTCCAGGGAAAGTGAGACAATTTTGGCTTATTTCCTCTCTGGTAACTCAGTGGGAACTGCGGTTTACCAGGTTCATGTCCATCTGATGGAAGTGGGACGGAAGCCAGAGAGCTTTGCTTTTGCTGCCAACCAGCTCCAGCGATGCAGAAAATGTGAGGAGAGTCTTCTAGACGGCAGGCTACCAGAATTTACAAAATGCAGGGGGTGAAGTCAAATCAGACCCGCCGTTCTAGGTGCGGGCTTGAGAGGCCTTAGCCCGGAAAGAGATGCAGGGCAGAGAGACAAGCAAACCTTGTTGTTTATTTTTTTAAAAAAGCAAGAGAAAATCTGCCCTCTTGGCAAATCCTGTCCCTGGCCTGCCAGCCTTCAGGGCCATTTATGATGGTGATCGATGTGCAAAGTGTCCTTTCTCAGTCATGGTGTTGTTGGCCTGTAAATGTTTTATAGGGTGGTTGCTTTCGGGATCCACCAACAGAAAGAGATCACATAATTCAAAGGAAGAATAAGTCACAATATAAAAGAAGTTGGCCTCCTCAAAGTAGATAAATATCAAAAGAAAGAAGAAAGCAAACCCAGGTCCCCGATCCTTCTCCTCACCTTAATCCCCTGGACCTGTTGGGATTGACTTTGTATGTCCTTGACTCCAGGCAGGTCACCAGCCTCAGGAGTGTTGGTTAACACCCTAAGAACAATTTCTAACCTTTCTGCATCATAAACTCAGCCTCTGTTTCCTCCAGCATCCCCTACTCAGTAAGGACCAAGGTATGATGATAAAGTCACAATACCAGGAAAAAGGAGACAGTCTGTAGGATTAGCATTTAGTTTGACTCTCTGATAACAGAATAATACGTTCTTTTCCCCTTTTAGCCACAAGATGTTCTCTGGCCTGTGACATGGTACAGAAAGGCTCACTGGCCTTATTTTTAAAAATGAGTATTACCAAATCCTCCCCTGTCCACCAAGAGCCGACCTGGACTTGTTCCCTCTGCAGAGGTCTCAGACCTTCTGGAATTTTCCCCAGTGCTGATGACTGTGATATTCTAGTTCTCCAGCCGTCCCTACCCCACACTCTCAGGCTGCTGGTCATAAAATGACTGAGTTCTCAGAGGGCTCCCTGTGGAAGGCAAATAGAATCTCAGGACCCCAAACTCACTATCCCAAAAGCAAAGTTAAGTTTGGGAAACTGAGTCATGCAAAAACTGCCTCCTTCTTGTTACTCAACAGCTGTGATTTCACCTGTTTGCTTTATCTTGTGTAAAACGCAGATTTACTGAGCACACTAAGAATGCATAGTTGACTGTTCCTCTACCCCTGCTTTCACATGTAAAATGTAGATTTGGTGAGCACTAACCAAAGCCTCCAAAGAATGTGACCCCTGCCTCATTGCATACTCTTTTCCCTTTTTCTTTCCTTTCCTCCTTCCCCTCCCGCCCGCTCTTTCCCCTTTAAACACTGAGGTACTCAAAGCCCGCTTTGGGAAAAGCACAGGTGCAGATCCTACTGTAACTTGTGTTTCCTTTTCCCAGGTACATCCTCAGCCTTGGTAAAATAAACCTCAAAATCAATGGAGGCTTGACTCAGTCATTTGTTGCTTTGGTTTGGTTTGCTTCGAGGACTTGCACACAGCCTAGGCCAGCCCACTGTCCTCTCCTTGCCCAACATCCTTCTGATTCCCACTCGTTCACCCCAATAACATCTTCTGAGGCCCTGCCCTGGGCCAGGCAGGACACTGGGGCCTGGATTTGCAGATGTGAACCAAACAGTCATGGGCCTTCCTCTCCTAAAGCTCAGTCTTTGTTAGGAGACGAATAACTGTGCAAGTCAGCCACGCTGGGGAGAGACTGACATGACATGACACGACATGACATGACATGATATGATATGGTATGATATGATGACCCTCATGCCACTTTCACAGCTCCAGCCCTGGAAGCTGAGCAGCTGGAGGGAGCACGGGTGTCAACAGCTACAGATGGTACCAGGCTGCAAACAGGAAAATGAAGGGCAGCTCTCCTTAAGGAGGGGACACTGGAACAAGGGAGAGCCCAAGAGGGAGAACAGGACAGTTACAAAGGAGCTCCACAGAAGGAGGCACTGGTGGCATCCGGAGCCACGGCCTTGCTCCACACAGAGGCTGACAATGCATGCAGCACTTGCTTGGAGGCCGCAGGAAGTGGCTCTGCACACAGCTGGGGACAGGAGGCAAACCCCACTGAGCCCAGGCAGCAGGACCCATGTCCCCACTCCGCCTCCCTGCATCTATCATTACCAGGAGAAACGGTTGTTAACTCCTCATCTCGAGGGCCGTAGAGCAGGTGGATGCCCTTTGGATGGGTCACCCACTGATATGGTTTGGCTCTGTGTCCCCACCCAAATCTCATCTTGAGTTGTTTTCCCATAATTCGCAGGTGTTGTGGGAGAGACCCAGTGGGCGATAACTGAATCACGGAGGCGGTTTCCCCCATACCGTTCTCATGGTAGTGAAAAAGTCTTATGAAATCTGATGGTTTTATAAGGGGTTTTCCGCTTTCGCCTCTGCCTCATTCCCTCATCGCCTTCTGCCATGATCGTGAGGCCTCCCCAGCCATGTGGAACTGTGAGTCCATTAAACCTCTTTTTCTTCCCAGTCTCAGGTATGTCTTCATCAGCCGCATGAAAACGGACTAACACACCCACAGACAAACCAAGGGTGTCAAGGTGACTCCAGACTATCAGAGTTAGTACAGCCACATCATGGTTAATATTCAGCAAGAATCCACAGATCAGACAATATGTTAGTACCTGGGTGAAAAAACCGGTTAGAGCTCCATCTGAGTGGATTTTTCACCATCTCCTCACACAGCATCTTAATCCCACTTTACAAAATGGTCCTCAGGTTCCCATGCCTCAGCCAGTTTCCTATCACCAAAATGATATGATTACTCACAGAGAAGTCTGCGGAGCCTTGGAGGAGTGAGTCCCTTTCTCCTTCAAAACATGCTTCTGGGAGAGTTTGCTCACTTCATCAAAAATTTGTCAGTGAAGAGTGGTTTCACACCTTTCGAAACATATAAAACGTTTAAACGATTTGATGACTCAGGATTGCTGGCTGAGTTGGCAGCCCTGAAAACAGCCCAGAAAAAACCTGAAGCAGCTCCCCGTCATGTTGGGACTCACGGAGATTTTTCAAACATCTCTCACTGATGTTTCTGGAGCTTTTCCTACAAGGCAATGCAAGGAAATGAAGCACACAGACAGTGCCTCGGGAGAAATCCTGTCCTTTGGATTTTCATCTGAAAGACTAAGCTGCGGGGATGGCTTGGTCTTATTTAAAAAAAAAAAAAAAAAAAGAAAGAAAAAAAAAAAAAGAAAAAAACACCTGGACAAACCTTCGCACACGATTACAAGGGTTTCAGTTTCTTCTCTCTCTCGATCCTAAAATCTCATTATCACATCCCTCTCTGCACGGTCCAGCATTTCCCAAGTACAGTTAGGTCTCCAGGTGAAGTATGCAGTAATGGAATAAAAAATAAACAGGAACAGCGGTCACCCGGGGTGTGGGACAGCCTGGGTTGGTCAGGGATTTTTTGGTTGTAAGCAGCAGAAACCCAACTCAGACTGATTTAAGCAAGAAAAAAATGGTGGAAAACAGAAAACCAAACACTTTAAATTAATCTAGGAGCCCCAAAGCCAGGTAAACCAGGACTTCTTTTTCCCTGGGATCTGCTTTTCTCTCTGTGGGCTTCCTTTTCAGGGTATGCTCTCCTGGGGTGGTAGGAAAAGTGGCCACCACTAGTTCACAATGCTGAAGAAAGAGGGTGCCTTTTCCCATCAGCTACAGCAAAGTTTCAGAATTGAGTCTGAGGTCGTGGTCACACCGTCCAGCACTCACTGTGACCCTGTCTGTTCCTGCTAAGGGCATCAGCCCATTCTGGAGGCAAACACTGTGGCCAATGGAGATGAACATTCTGATTCGCCAAGTCTACTTCATGTGCCCAACCTTGGAATCTGGTGGTGAGGACAGGAGCATGGGAGCCACTGGGATGGTGCATGGGGAGGCCGGGCATTACCAACAGAAGCAGAGAGCAGCATTTTCAGAGGAAGGGAGACGGAAGCCAGGCAGGTTAAGGCAACAGATCTCCATGAAACCTACCCACAATGGCCTAGGGTAATGTTACCCCAATTTAAATTTAAGCTGGATGACCCACATACACTTCTGCATCCTCCTCAAATAGCTCCCACCAGAGCCCCCTCCTATGTCCAAGTCTTGGAGAAGAGGAAACCTGGAAGATCTTGAGGCAGCCGTGCAGTCATGGCAAATCTACTCCTCCACATCTTTGGTCTAGAACTCTGCAAGGAAAACCCAAACATCTCCCACATGTTGACTTGAGCACCTGCCTCTTTTTGGAAGGAAACTTGTGTTTTTCTGGTTCATAGGGTTTTGTTCTTTGAGATGCTCACTGGAAAGCAGATCTGCAGGAGACCCATGTAATGCAGATGATGCTGAGGCTGGCTGCCCCCAGCCATTCCCCACTGCTTTCTCCTGCATCTGGAGAGCTGGCATGATGTCTAGAGACGTGTCTGCTAGCTGCCGACCATGGGTATAAAAGCCACATATTAATGACGGCGAGGTTGGGTCCTGCAGAACGAGTGGGGCTGCTGGCTGCATCATGAACTGCTTATATCCAGGCTTGATACAGAAGAACAAAACCAGGGCCAACAAAACCCAAAATGCTCCATATTTATGCCGCCATGGTCTGGTTTTCAGTTACATGCAGCAGAACACAGCCCATTCTGATGAAAGAGGCTCTAAAACATGGGGACTGGGAGGCTCTGTGGAATGCAAGTGCCATCCCAAATCCCACGGGTCTGACCACTCCTCAGCTCTCTGACCTCCCTCCTCAGAGCTGTCTTCCAGGAGGGAGGCCAAGCCCTGAGATGAGTCTTTGTGTCCTCTATATGGAGAATTTGAATGTCACTCATTCATCCAGTTCATCACTCAATTGACATTGAGTAGCCCTCACATTTGCAGGGCAACGCCCAGACACACACTGAGCAGAGGAGTAGTCAAGCACATTGATTATACTTTTTAATAATGGGCAATGGCTATTGAGGGCCTCCTAGGTGTCAGACATCAGGTTTGGCATGTTTTACATATCACGCTATTTTTACAACAGCCCTATAATATGAGGAACACTTGTCAATTTTTTGGTTGCTATGTTTCTCCTCCATGGGGGTGGGTACCAGGGCCCCAATTTCATCCCGGAAGAACTTGGAATAACTAGCCCCCCACAGACTCCTTTGATTGCAATCTTGGCAGAACTGTCTTTCAAGGTGTGGTACTAGCCAGAGCTAGTTGAGCAAGTAACTCACACTGACACTAGAGATGCCTCCTAGGATTTTGGAAGTTGAGCAGAGGGATGTAGGAGCATGGAGGGAAGAGAAGCATGCTGGAAACAATCTATCTTGTCTCTGGTGCCCTCTCAAGACTGTTGGTTGATTGGCCACCGGCACCTTGATCTGTCTGTTCTCATTCCTTTCCCTGACTGCATTTCCATCAGGTCCTTTGGTTCTGGGAGCCAACCATCTCCTTCCCAATGAGCCCTGACTTTGCTTAATGTAGCCAGTGTTGATTTCTGTTGCTTGCAACCAAAGGACTCTAATTGAAACTTGCTCACTAGGGCTCTCTAACACTGACAAGGGTGCCAGGGCTATGAGATATTCAGTGATTTGTTCATATTTACGTAGTAAGTAATCTTACTTACTACGTAAAGTAGTAAGTAAAGTCCCCAAAATTGTGTATTGTTTTCTTTTCTTTTTTTTCTATCATACTAGCTATTTTTTCTGCAAGTGCAGTAAAGCATTTAAGACTTTGCAGTTAAAAATTATTACGGACTGAATTGTGTTTCTGCTCCCACCCCCACCCCCACCCCCACCCCCACCTAAATTCATGTAATTTAAGCCCTAACCCTCAATGTGACTGCACTAGAGACAGGGCCTATAAGGAGGTAATGAAGATTATCTGAGGCTGTGCAATGGGGCCTTCATCCAATAGGACTGGCGTACTTATTAGAAGAGGGAGAGATGCCAGGGACCTCTCTCTTTTCACTCTCACATGGAGAAAAGGCCATGTGAAGACACAGAGAGAAAGTGGCCATCTGCAAGTCAAGGAGAGAGGCCTCAGGAGAAAAGAACCCTGCCGGCTCCTTAGTCTCGGACTTCCAGCCTCCAGAAATGAATAAATTCCTGATGGTTAAGCTGCCCAGACTATGGTATCATCTTATGGCAGCCTGAGCTGATGAATACAGATATTGCAGCAAACTGTATTTTCCAAAGATTGTCCAACATTGACTTTCACTATATACATTCCCCTTAAAATGTGACTTTGACATTCTTCCCATTGATAGCTGGAATGTGTGTTCCATCCCTTTGAAACTGGGTGGGATTCTGGGACTCTTTTGGCCAAAAGAGCATATTGGCACAACTTCAAGTGTGTTGTGTGACTTCTGGGGCTAGCAGGCTGGGTCATCAATGGTTATTCAGGTTCTGAACTGGCCTGTGGATTCACTTGCTCTTGGAGACCCTGAGCTGTCACATGAACAGCTTGGGGCTGTCCTGAGACCACCATGCTGTGAGGAAGCCCAACTGGCTCTCATGGAGCCACCACCTGGATGGGCCCTGAGATGACGTGAGAGGGAGGGAGAGGGGGAGAGAGGAAAGAAGAAAGCCCAGACAACTCCCTGCTTCTCTCGTTCTCACTCCAGCACTGTCTGTCTGTTCACAACTGCAAAAGGGTTCATGGGCCAGAACCACGTGGCAAAGCCCTTCCCAAGTTCTTGATCCCCATAAACCATGAGAGACAATAAAATGATGGTTGTTATGAGACACCAGGTTTTGGGGGTGATTTGCTGAATAACACCAGAGAGGCTGACCACACTGAGGGTTGACAGTCAGGCCTGGGTTTGAAGCCAGCTCTGACACTTGCCAGCTGTGTGATCTTGAGCAAGATACTTAGCCGGTCTGCACTTCCATTTCCTCATCTGTGTAACAGAGAGAACGATAGAACCTTCCTCATGACATTGATGATGGGATTAAAGGAAAGGATACAGACAGCACATGGTAACTATCCCATAAGCATTAGCTATTGCTATTTCAGTATTTGTGTTGTTTTTGTGAACCAATCTAAGAAGATTATGCCAATAGGAAAAAGTCAGAAACACTGAAGTTCAGAACCAGAAGAATGTTAGAAGTCCAGCCCAATCCCCCACTTTAGATAGATATACTGAGACCCAAAGACTTACATTAGGGGTCCACTGGAAGAAAAACAGCGCTGCAGACTGAGGAGGAAGAGTTCAGCACAGAAAGCTGTCACCAGGGCATTTCCAACAAGACCAGAAACCTCGGCTCCTCGCCTACACTTAAAATTCCTCATTGTTTTGAATCCAAGGTGGGAGAATTTTCTTGACTCTGAAAACTGTACATCAAGCTTTCGTCAGATGAACTCCGAAAGCCCCATGCATAGATAATGTATCTCCAGATGTGACAGACTCTGCTGTATTGAGGTCAATGATAGTCTACAACTTTTCTTCACTTCCTTTAAAAGAAATTATTATTTAAAGGTGGAGAGCATCGAAAGTAAGGCCTTGAGAGTTAATGGGACCATTTTGGCTAGATGCCATCGCTCTGAGAACCTGAATAATGAGACACATTTTAGCCTTCAAGTTTCAACAATGCTCAAGGTAATGGCACAGCTATTATCCCAGCCTCCGATTGACACAGCCTTCTAAAATGCTTTGTGACTGGTTAAATGGGACTGAATGAGAAGTACTTGAGAGATCAGAGCAGATGGAGCATTCTATCTACATGTGTTTTCTATTCAAAGAAAGGGAGCATCCCGGCCCAAACTGGGTGCCGCCAAGGCCTCCACCACAATTTGTAGGGTCTTAGGGTAGGCACATTCCATTGGGGCCATTAGAGTCTCTGGTGAGGGAGTGTCCTGAAAAGGGCAAGGTTATTCCTGACACACCTTGAACCTGTTGCCTTGGCTAGGTCAAGACAAACCAAGAGGCTGCCAATTGCCGATGTCTTCACTTATGTGAATCTTCCTCTCCATCCTGAGGCACATCGCAGCTGGTCGGGGACACTAGCTTTGGATCCACTCTGGTGTAGATGGCCCAGGGGGCTGGCTGCACCATACCACTTACCTACATAGGATCTGCCCTTTAGGGTGAAAAAGGTGATGATCTCTGCCAATGTGTTCTTCCAATATAGCCAGGAAATGAAATCGTAACCAAGTTAAAGAAATTAGAGCTATAAGCCCTGAAAGAGCTACCATTATTATCCAAATGGCCCCTGTAGAAGCCCAGGAATCACCTTGTTCTCCCAAGCCTCTTCCTGACGTCTCCATGGAGAACTGCACACACACATCTCGGTCTTCTCCCTGTGCCTGGCTTGTACCACTTCAAGGACACCCATCACACAGACCACTGTTTGTTCATGTGTTTGTCTCTCCCTTGGGGCTGCAAGTTTCTCGGGAGCAGGGCAGCCTCTGTCACTTCTGCATCCAAAGCATGACTTGGGTGGACCCATGGTTGTTGGATGCAATGTGTCATCCAGGCAGTGCCAACCCTGGCTGCACATTGCAACCACTCAGGGAGATTTCCTTTTGTTTATTTCATCTATAAATATTTGGCATGTAGCTATAAAATAGAATGACTTTCTTCTAAAATGTAGCCATCATCACCTTGCACACAGAAAACAGCAAATGATTTCAGGCAGAAATTTAGAGGATTGGTACTCAGGCCCCTCCCCAGAACTACTGACTCAGGCTTTCCAAGGATGGCTCTCAGGATGTCAAAGTGTTACAGACACAAAGGCTTGGGAGGCAATGGTTGAGAATCATGGTCTAAGGTTTAACAGGTTTCTTTCCACCCACATGTAACCGACTTGGGCCTTACAAAAAGTTCATCTGGATACATAGATGCTGCTGCTGCTGCTCTCAGGTTCAAAGACTCATTCTTATATTTTTATCTTGTAGATTCAGATAATCATTGTGGTTGGCGGTTGAATCATCTGATTTCTCTCCAAGACACACCACCCAACTCCAAGTATTGAAGCCAGGGCATAATTGAAGCTCTGGCCTTCCAGAAACTTCTGGTAGAGCACGTCACAGCCCATGTTCACACATTCCTATTGGTCCATGAGTGGAGAATGTACGTTTAGATGCTTCTTCTCAGCACACAATGGTTTCCATGGTCTCAAGCTGTAACCATTATAAGGATGATAACCCTGCACCACTCACTTAGTTAGGAGCTATGATGAATTTGGATTATTGGCTGACATTCTGAGTCACATAGGGATGCAGGTGGATGGCAGAAGAGAAAGAAAGATAACATTAAAGTGATGATGAGGTTTAAATGACAGTCTCCTCATGTGCATCAAGATTTCAAAATTGACCACCAGCCTTCATTCTAGATTGACTATCTCGAGTGGCCTAAGGATGCTGAAGACAAGAATGGCTGCATCAGTCTTGGTTCCATCAGGGGAGCTGAGCCACCTATGGTACCATGGAATAGAGTCTTAGTTATAGGCGTACCACAGATATGGGGGAGAGCTATGGAAGTGAAGGTATGCAAAGGGAAGGTGAGAAGTCATACAATATTTCGTCTTCTGTGTCTGGCTTATTGCACGTAGCATGTTTTTGATATTTGTCCATGTTGTAGCAGGAATCAATGCTTTATTATTTTTATGGCTGAATAACTGTCCATAGTATGGCTATTCCAAATTTGGCTTATCAATTCTTCTGTTAATAGACATTTGGGTTGTTTCCACATTTTGGCTGTTATAAAAAAACACTACCTTGAATATTCATGTACAAGTTTTGGTACAGATATATAGTTTCAATCCTCTTGCATATATATATATATCTGGGAGTAGAACTACTAAATCATGTGATAATTCTATGTTTAACTTTCTGAGAAATTGACAAATTGCTTTCCATAGCATCTTGTACCATGTTACATTCTCATCATCAATGTATGAATGTTTCAGTTTCTTCCCAACGTCTGTGGTCTTTTGATTATTGCCATCCTAATGGGTGTGAAGTGGTATCTCCTTGTGGTTTTGCTCTGTATTTCCCTAATGACTAATGATGTTGGGCACCATTTTGTATACATATTGGACATTTGTGTACCTTCTTTGGAGAAATGTCTACTCATATCTGTTGCTCATTTTAAAGTGGAATTATTTGACTTTTTGTCATTGAGATGTAATAATTCTTTATATGTTCTAGATACTAGATGCTTATCAGATAATGATTGGTAAATATTGTTACCATTCTGCAGGTTGTCTCTTCACTTTCTTGATAGGGTTCTTGGAAGAACAATTAAAAAAATTTTAATGAAATCTGGTTGATCTATTTTATCTTTTGTTGCTTGGGCTTTTAGAGTTGTAAGAAACCATTGTCTAATCCAAGGTAATAAAAATTTACACACCCATCTGTTTTCTTCTAGGAGTTCAAGTTTTAGCTCTTCCAAGTAGATTTTGCATTAATTTTTGTGGATGGCATGAAGTAGAGTTGCAACTGGGTTGTTTTGCCTGAGGATAACCAGTTGTCTCAGGACCACCTGTTGAAAAGTCTATTGTTTACCCCACTGAATTGTCTTGACACTCACTCTTATGGCTTTTATCCAAAAGACAGGCAATATGAATGCTAGTGAGCATGCCGAGAAAGGGAACCTTCATACACTGTTGGTGGGAATGTAAATTAGTGCAGCTGCTATAGAGAACAGTATGGAGGCTCCTCAAAAACTAAAAATAGAACAATTATATGATCCAGCAATCCCACTACTGGGTATATATCCAAAAGAAAAAATCAGCATATGGAAGAGAAATCTGCACCCCCATGTTTATTGCAGCAGTATTCACAATAAGCAAAATAGGGAATCAGCTTAAGTGCCCATCAATGGATGAACAAATTTTTAAAATGTGGTAAAGATACACAACGGAGTATTATTCAGCCATAAATAGAATGGAATCCTGTTGCTTGCACCAAGATGGATGAAACTGGAGGACATTATGTTCAGTGAAATAAGCCAGGCACAGAAAGACAAATATTGCATGTTCTCATTCATACGTGGGAGCTTAAAAATGAACTTACAGAGACAGAGAGTAGAACGATGGTTGTCAGAGGCTAAGAAGGGTAGTCGGGAGAGGGTTAATGGGTACAAAATACAGGCTGATAGAATGAATAAGTTCTAGTATGCAGTAGCACAGTAGGGTGACTCCAGTTAACAACAGTTTATTATATATTTTAAAATAACTAAAATGGTAGAATTGGAATATTCTTAACATAAAGAAATGCTAAATGCTTGAGGTGATGGATACCCCAATTACCCTAATTTGATCATTACACACTGTATGCCTGCATCAAAACATCACATGTACCTCATAAATATGTACACTATTGCGTATCCAGAATAATTAAAAACTTACAAAAATTTAAAAAAGAAAATCAATTGACCATTACTTGGTGTTTATTTCTGGACTTTCAATTCTATTCCATTTATCCATGTGTCTATTTATATGCCAGTACCATACAGTTTTGATGACTGTAGCATTGTAGTAAGATTTGAAATCAGAAAGTGTGAGCTCTTCAAATTTGCTCTTTTTGAAGATGATTTTGGCTATTCTGGGTCCTTTGTATTTCCCTATAAATTTTCAGATCAGTTTGACAATTTCAGTAAAAATGGCAGCTGGGATTTTGATAGTAATTGCATTGAATTGGTGATCACTTTGGAGAGTAATATTACCATCTTGATAATATTAAGTCTAAGTTTGCCAATTGCAAAACCTGGGATGTTTTTACATTTATTCAGATCTTCTTTTATTTCTTTCAACAGTTTTTTTTTAGTTTTCAGGGTACAAGTCTTCCGTTTCTTTTGTTACATTTATTCTAAGGAATAAATCTTATTCTTTTTGATGCTATCATAAATGAAAATTTTTTAATTTCATTTTCAGATGAGCATTACTCTGTATAGAAATGCAATGCTTGTTTCTTTGCAGATTCTTTTTTTTTCTTTTTGAGATGGAGTCTCTGTTGCTCAGGCTGGAGTGCAGTGGCATGATCCCAGCTTGCTGCAACATCTGTCTCCCAGGTTCAAGCAATTCTCTTGCCTCAGCCTCCTGAGTAGCTGGGATTACAGGCATGCACCACCAAACCCAGCTAATTTTGTATTTTTAATAGAGATAGGGTTTCACCATGTTAGCCAGGATGGTCTAGAACTCCTGACCTCAAGTAACCCACCTGCCTCAGCCTCTCAAAGTGCTGGGATTACAGGTGTGAGCCACTGTACCCAGCCTTCTTAAGGTTTTTTTTTATATAGAACATCACGTCATTGGCACATAGAGACAGTTTTACTTCTTCCTTTCCAGTCTGGAAGCCTTTTATTTCTTTTTCCTGCCTGATGTTTTGGCTGGAACCTTGGGTACAATGTTGAATAGAAGCTGTAACAGTGGCCGTATGTGTCCCATTTCCAATCATCTAAATTTCATCTTGTGGAGAGTAGTGGGCAATGCATTTGAAGAGTCTCCTTTATGGAGAACATAATTAAATAAGGGGATCATTCCATCAAAATAAAACCAAAAATATTTAGATCCTCAAAGAACTTTAGATCCTAATGAGCCCACCCAAACATGCTAGGGGGATGGAGGAAGATTGTGAGCCAGTGGTCTGAAGAATCCATTTGAAGTTTCTCTCATAAAGAACTGGTACAGACTGGGGGTGGTTCCAAGATGGCCGAATAGGAACAGCTTCAGTCTACAGCTCCCAGCATGAGCGATGCAGAAGACGGGTGATTTCTGCATTTCCAACTGAGGTACCGGGTTCATCTCACTGGGGCTTGTCAGACATTGGGGGCAGGACAGTGGGTGCAGCCGAGTGTGAGCCAAAGCAGGGTAAGACATCGCCTCACCAGGGAAGCGCAAGGGGTCAGGGAATTCCCTTTCCCAGCCAAGGGAAGAGGTGACAGACGGCACCTGGAAAATCGGGTCACTCTCACCCTAATACTGCGCTTTTCCAATGGTCTTAGCAAACGGCACACCAGGAGATTATATCCCGCACCTGGCTCAGAGGGTCCCATGCCCACGGAGCCTCGCTCGTTGCTAGCACAGCAGTCTGAGATCTAACTGCAAGGCAGCAGCGAGGCTGGGGGAGGGGCGCCTGCCATTGCTGAGGCTTAACTAGGTAAACAAAGCTGACGGGAAGCTCGAACTTGGTGGAGCCCACCATAGCTCAAGGAGGCCTGCCTGCATCTGTAGACTCCACCTCTGGGGGCAGGGCATAGCCAAACAAAAGGCAGCAGAAACCTCTGCAGACTTAAATGTCCCTGTCTGACAGCTTTGAAGAGAGTAGTGGTTCTCCCAACATGGAGTTTGAGATCTGAGAATGGACAGACTACCTCCTCAAGTGGGTCCCTGACCCCGAGTAGCCTAACTGGGAGGCACCGCCCAGTAGGGGCAGACTGACATCTCACAGGGCTGGGTACCCCTCTGAGACGAAGCTTCCAGAGGAACGATCAGGCAGCAACATTTGCTGTTCAGCAATATTCGCTGTTCTGCAGCCACCACTGCTGATACCCAGGCAAACAGGGTCTGGAGTGGACCTCCAGCAAACTCCAACAGACCTGCAGCTAAGGGTCCTGACTGTTAGAAGGAAAACTAACAAACAGAAAGGACATCCACGCCAAAACCCCATCTGTATGTCACCATCATCAGAGACCAAAGGTAGATAAAACCACAAAGATCGGGAAAAAACAGAGCAGAAAAGCTGAAAATTCTAAAAATCAGAGCACCTCTCCCCTTCCAAAAGAATGCAGCTCCTCGCCAGCAATGGAACAAAGCTGGATGGAGAATGACTTTGACGAGTTGAGAGAAGAAGGCTTCAGATAATCAAACTTCTCCGAGCTAAAGGAAGAAGTTCGAACCCAAAGCAAAGAAGCTAAATCCTTGAAAAAAGATTAGATGAATGGCTAACTAGAATAACCAGTGTAGTGAAGTCCTTAAATGACCTGATGGAGCTGAAAACCATGGCACGAGAACTATGTGACGAATGCACAAGCTTCAGTAGCCGATTTGATCAACTGGAAGAAAGGGTATCAGTGATTGAAGATCAAATGAATGAAATGAAGTGAGAAGAGAAGTTTATAGAAAAAAGAATAAAAAGAAATGAATAAAGCCTCCAAGAAATATGGGACTATGTGAAAAGACCAAATCTACATCTGATTGGTGTACCTGAAAGTGATGGGGAGAATGGAACCAAGTTGGAAAACACTCTGCAGGATATTATCCAGGAGAACTTCCCCAATCTAGTAAGGCAGGCCAACATTCAAATTCAGGAAATACAGAGAACGCCACAAAGATACTCCTGGAGAAGAGCAACTCCAAGACACATAATTGTCAGATTCACCAAAGTTGAAATGAAGGAAAAAATGTTAAGTGCAGCCAAAGAGAAAGGTCGGGTTACCCACAAAAGGAAGCTCATCAGACTAACAGTGGATCTCTCAGCAGAAACTCTACAAGCCAGAAGAGATTGGGGGCCAATATTCAACATTCTTAAAGAAAAGAATTTTCAACCCAGAATTTCATATCCAGCCAAACTAAGCTTCATAAGTGAAGGAGAAATAAAATACTTTACAGACAAGCAAATGCTGAGAGATTTTGTCACCACCAGGCCTGTCCTAAAAGAGCTCCTGAAGGAAGCACTAAACATGGAAAGAAACAACCGGTACTAGCCACTGCAAAAACATGCCAAGTTGTAAAGACCATCGAGGCTAGGAAGAAAATGCATCAACTAACGAGCAAAATAACCAGCTAACATCATAATGACAGGATCAAATTCACACATAACAATATTAACCTTAAATGTAAATGGGCTAAATGCTCCAATTAAAAGACACAGACTGGCAAATTGGATAAAGAGTCAAGACCCATCAGTGTGCTGTATTCAGGAAACCCATCTCACGTGCAGAGACACACATAGGCTCAAAATAAAGGGAGGGAGGAAGATCTACCAAGCAAATGGAAAACAAAAAAAGGCAGGGGTTGCAATCCTAGTCTCTGATAAAACAGACTTTAAACCAACAAAGATCAAAAGAGACAAAGAAGGCCATTACATAATGGTAAAGGGATTCAACAAGAAGAGCTAACTATCTTAAATATGTATGCACCCAATACACGAGCACCCAGATTCATAAAGCAAGTCCTTAGAGACCTACAAAGAGACTTAGACTCCCACACAATAATAATGAGAGACTTCAACACCCCACTGTCAACATTAGACAGATCAATGAGACAGAAAGTTAACAAGGATATCCAGGAATTGAACTCAGCTCTGCACCAAGCGGACCTAATAGACACCTACAGAACTCTCCACCCCAAATCAACAGAATATACGTTCTTCTCAGCACCACATCACACTTATTCCAAAAGTGACCACATAGTTGGAAGTAAAGCACTCCTCAGCAAATGTAAAAGAACAGAAATTATAACAAACTGTCTCTCAGACCACTCAAACTACAACTCAGGATTAAGAAACTCACTCAAAACCACTCAACTACATGGAAACTGAACAACCTGCTCCTGAATGACTACTGGGTACATAACGAAATGAAGGCAGAAATAAAGATGTTCTTTGAAACCAACGAGAACAAAGACAACATACCAGAATCTCTGGAACACATTCAAAGCAGTGTGTAGAGGGAAATTTATAGCACTAAATGCCCACAAGAGAAAGGAGGAAAGATCTAAAATTGACACCCAAACATCACAATTAAAAGAACTAGAGAAGCAAGAGCAAACACATTCAAAAGCTAGCAGAAGGCAAGAAATAACTAAGATCAGAGAAGAACTGAAGGAGATAGAGACACAAAAAACCCTTCAAAAAATCCATGAATCCAGGAGGTGGTTTTTTGAAAAGATCAACAAAATTGATAGACCGCTAGCAAGACTAATGAAGAAAAGAGAGAAGAATCAAATAGATGCAATAAAAAATGATAAAGGGGATATCACCACCGATCCCACAGAAATACAAACTACCATCAGAGAATATTATCAATAGCTCCACACAAATAAACTAAAAAATCTAGAAGAAATGGATAAATTCCTGGACACATACACCCTTCCAAGACTAAACCAAGAAGAAGTTGAATCCCTGAATAGACCAATAACAGGCTCTGAAATTGAGGCAATAATTAATAGCCTACCAACCAAAAGAAGTCCAGGACCAGACAGATTCACAGCAGAATTCTACCAGAGGTACAAGGAGGAACTGGTACCATTCCTTCTGAAACTATTCTAATCAATAGAAAAAGAGGGAATCCTCCCTAACTCATTTTTGAGGCCAGCATCATCCTGATAGCAAAGCCTGGCAGAGACACAACAAAAAGAGAATTTTAGACCAATATCCCTGATGAACATTGATGCAAAAATTCTCAATAAAATACTGGCAAACCGAATCCAGCAGCACATCAAAAAGCTTATCCACCATGATCAAGTGGGCTTCATCCCTGGGATGCATGGCTGGTTCAACATATGCAAATCAATAAACATAATCCAGCATATAAACAGAACCAAAGACAAAAACCACATGATTATCTCAATAGATGCAGAAAAGGCCTTTGACAAAATTCAACAGCCCTTCATGCTAAAAACTCTCAATAAATTAGGTATTGATGCGACGTATCTCAAAATAATAAGAGCTATTTATGACAAACCCACAGCCAATATCATACTGAATGGGCAAAAACTGGAAGCATTTCCTTTGAAAACTGGCACAAGACAGGGATGCCCTCTCTCACCACTCCTATTCAACATAGTGTTGGAAGTTCTGGCCAGGGCAATCAGGCAGGAGAAAGAAATAAAGGGTATTCAATTAGGAAAAGAGGAAGTCAAATTGTCCCTGTTTGCAGATGACATGATTGTATACCTAGAAAACCCCATCGTCTCAGCCCAAAATCTCCTTAAGCTGATAAGCAACTTCAGCAAAGTCTCAGGTACAAAATCAATGTGCAAAAATCACAAGCATTCTTATACACCAATAACAGACAAACAGAGAGCCAAAACATGAGTGAACTCCAATTTGCAATTGCTTCAAAGAGAATAAAATACCTAGGAATCCAACGTATAAGGGATGTGAAGGACCTCTTCAAGGAGAACTACAAACCACTGCTCAATGAAATAAAAGAGGATACAAACAAATGGAAGAACATTCCATGCTCATGGATAGGAAGAATCAATACTGTGAAAATGGCCATACTGCCCAAGGTAATTTATAGATTCAATGCCATCCCCATCAAGCTACCAATTACTTTCTTCACAGAATTGGAAAAAAGTACTTTAAAGTTCATATGGAACCAAAAAACATTCCACATTGCGAAGACAATCCTAAGCCAAAGGAACAAAGCTGGAGGCATCATGCTACCTGACTTCAAACTATATTACAAGGCTACAGTAACCAAAACAGCATGGTACTGGTACCAAAACAGAGATATAGACCAATGGAACAGAACAGAGCCCTCAGAAATAATACTACACATCTAAAACCATCTGATCTTTGACAAACCTGACAAAAACAAGAAATGGGGAAAGGATTCCCTATTTAATAAATGGTGCTGGGAAAACTGGCTAGCCATATGTAGAAAGCTGAAACTGGATCCCTTCCTTACACCTTATACAAAAATTAATTCAAGATGGATTAAAGACTTAAATATTAGACCTAAAACCATAAAAACCCTAGAAGAAAACCTAGGCAATACCATTCAGGACATAGGCATAGGCAAGGACTTCATGACTAAACACCAAAAGCAATGGCAACAAAAGCCAAAATTGACAAATGGGACCAATTAAACTAAAGAGCTTCTGCACAGCAAAAGAAACTACCATCAGAGTGAACAGGCAACCTACAGAATGGGAGAAAGTTTTTGCAATCTACCCCTCTGACAAAGGGCTAATATCCAGAATCTACGAAGAACTCAAACAAATTTACAAGAAAAAAACAAACAACCCCATCACAAAGTGGACAAAGGATATGAACAGACACTTCTCAAAAGAAGACACTTATGCAGCCAACAGACACATGAAAAAATGCTCATCATCACTGGCCATCAGAGAAATGCAAATGAAAACCACAATGAGATACCATCTCACACCAGTTAGAATGGTGATTACTAAAAAGTCAGGAAACAACAGGTGCTGGAGAGGATGTGGAGAAATCGGAACACTTTTACACGGTTGGTGGGAGTGTAAATTAGGTCAACCATCGTGGAAGACAGTGTGGCGATTCCTCAGGGATCTAGAACTAGAAATACCATTTGACCCAGCGATCCCATTACTGGGTATATACCCAAAGGATTATAAATCATGCTGCTATAAAGGCACATGCACATGTATGTTTATTGTGGCACTATTCACAATAGCAAAGACTTGGAACCAACCCAAATGTCCATCAATGATAGACTGAATTAAGAAAATGTGGCACATTTACACCATGGAATACTATGCAGCCATAAAAAAGGATGAGTTCATGTCCTTTGTAGGGACATGGATGAAGCTGGAAACCATCATTCTCAGCAAACTATTGCAAGAACAAAAAACCAAACACCGCATGTTCTCACTCATAGGTGGGAATTGAACCATGAGAATGCTTGGACACAGGAAGGGGAACATCACACACCGGGGCCTGTCGTGGGGTGCAGGGAGTGGGGAGGGAAAGCATTAGGAGATATACCTAATGTAAACGACGAGTTAATGGGTGCAGCATACCAACATGGCACATGTATACATATGTAACAAACCTGCATGTTGTGCACATGTACCCTAAAACTTAAAGTATAAAAAAAAAAAAAAGAACTGATACAGCCAAAAAGGTCACTGGCAAGTGGTCCATAAGAGGACAGTGGGGTAAGCAGACTCCTGGAGGCAACCTGAAGTTGGGAACTGGTGCAGTTGAGAGCCGGTACAACCTCGTCCTTGAGAAAGAACCAAGGAGCGGTAGCCAAAGAGGAATGCCGTGGGTCAGCACCAGGTCCGCAAGCCCCTGGCAGAGGCATGGAGGTCAGTGTCAGCACATCAGGGACAGAGTAGGAGCAGGATCCAGTTGAGGACACGCTGAAAAAGCCCTGAGTGGTTTTAAAAAGTTTCTCGTGTGCTTGCAGCTCTCAGGGAATCCATTGGGCTGTTGGCAATTTTTATGCCAGCCAAAGAGACGTCACAGGAATAGTGCAGGGACTAATCTCCGACTGGCTCTCGCTCCATTGGGCACAAGCAGCCCACTGACATTGCTGAGATGTATGTGCTGCTCCGTGCTGACCAAGGCAGGGCCGCCGGAAGCAAAATTCATGGACAGAATCAATGGGATTTAGATGCCCAAATTGCTCAATTGCAGCCAAATCCATCAACCTCAACGCTATTGTATTTCAAGAAAAATGGAGGCTCCAGGCAGCAAGTTGGTGAAATTCATCTGACCCCTTTTTGTCTCTAGCTAGAGTTCCTGCTCCTTATCAATGATAACAAATGTCCCTGCAGTGGTGCAGTTTGTTCTGTTTGTCTACAGAGCACCTTGCCTGTCACCTTCTGTTTGGCCACAACAGGGCTACACTATGGTCAAGGATTTGGTCTTTGGAGCCAGACAATGCTGGGCTGAAATCTCAACTCCACTCCTTACTCACTCTACACCTTGAATGAGTCTTACTCAAAAGTAAGCCTTGGTTCCCTCATCTGAAAAATTGGTATTATAACTGCAAGTGCTCCTGCGGCCATGAATTAAATGAGATAAGGCAATGAGGGCTTAGTACAGTGCCTGATAGAGGGTAATCACTAAAGAAAGGCTGGAGAGTGCTACTAATGAATCATCCCATGGGATAGAAAGGACAGTCACTATTCTCTTTACGAAACCAATGCAGATTTGGCATTTAGAACTTGGGGACTTTTCTAGAATTGCCTCTTGATACAGAGCCAGAGCTAGTTCTTAAACCCTATTCCCCTGATTGACCATCAATATTATTCCCACTCCACTCTTCAGGATTTGGCTTTGTGATTGGCTTGTTATTGAGCATTGATCAGTGGGTATGCCAACACTAACACAACCACAAAGGCTCTCTATAAGGAGCTTATGCTATGATAAAATATATCATTCAATGTGGCAGTTGCAGAATGCATCATTATTCACTGGCTTAGGTCTCCAGCAGTCTCCTGCCCCTCACTGAATTCAGTGAGGTGCCAGGCCCCACCCACAAAGTCATTCCTCTAAATACACTGCCAGGGGCAATGAGGGTGTGGAAGGGGGGAATTTGCTTCACATTGTCTGGGAGCCATCGTGGTGGCCAGGTGATCTCTTCCAGGGCAAGGCGAGGGAAAGAAAACCCACTGGTGCTTCTGACCACTGAAGGGCCAGGAAAGCTCCTACGACAAAAGCCAGGTACAAGCATTGCCTAGATGAACCACATCCATGACCAAAGCTGGTTCTTGGATCAGAGCAAAACTCTTGGCTCAAAACCCAGTCTCTTTCACACTCGGTGAAGGGAACTGAGTGCTCACCAAGATAGGGCGACATAAGGGCCTCCTTCCCCCAATCACCTCCCTTGCTAGCCTCCCACTCATGCTTATTCATCCATACTTAGTCCCTTCAATTGGAATTCAGTTGGGATTATATCTTGAAGGAACGGCTGAAATGTGAATGTCCAGCCTAGACTCTAAGCCTGTGGCTTCTCAGGCTTATTTTGGGGTCCATGACATGTCTGCAAACACAACGATTTTGGTGGCATACACGTGGACGAAAGGGAACATCCAGGTTCTTTTGTTTGTTGGCTTGAAAAGTATATTTCAGGATGTTGTAAAAAAATGCCAGCTACTGTCCTGTTCAGTTGGTGGCTCTTTAATAGAAGGACGCTCATGAAACAAATATTTCACATGCCCTCATACATATATAGACATGAGTCTGAGTGAGGCGAGAAAATTTCTGACTGAGGCATGTGAAATTTTTTATATCTATATTCCCACATGTATATATATATGAGTCTGAGTGGGGTGGGAAAGCACTGGGAAATTCTGAGCAGGGGAGTAGCATGATCAGACCTAAAGATTTAAACAATCACTTTCACTTCTGTGTTGTGGACAGAATATATATATATATATATATGAGCATATAAAAATATATAATGGAGGGACATCAGCTTGCCTTTAAATCTCACAAGTAGTCTGTCCTGCACTCCTTCTCACGCTCTCTCAGTTCAACCTCCATCTCACAGACATCACGGTAACACAGTAGCAAGCCCTTAAACGCTCTGTGCTACAGCAGCTAAGAGGCTATGGTTTTTTTTTTTTCCAGCTTTTATTCTCGCCTCCTTTCTCCCCCATCCTCTTCCTCTAACATGAGCATGGTGGGCAAGAAGAAAGTCAAGGTGAGTTAGAAAAACCACACGTCTCATCATCTGTAACACCGCTTAGTAGTTGGCATCCTGGTGTGAATACCTGCCCTTCCACCCTCGTCTAGCAGGAAAACGCCCCCATCAGTACTGACTGGGGTGGACAGGGGAGAGGAAACAGCTGGAGAACACGTGGAGGAGAAGGAACGGAGACAGAGGCACCTGCCGCCCACTGCCCGGGGACCAGTCCTGCTAGTCTGCACCCTTGGTCTTTAATTATGTGATCTGGGACTCTCTAAAGCACCCCAGGAGGAACAGCCTTGAAAGGATCCTCCATATGTATTTGTGGATAAAAACTTTTTTCTTGGCATGAAGAATCGCAACCTTTATCAACCTGGGTGGGACGAACAGCACTGAGGTATGAACTGAAAAGAGAAAATTTTATTTATAAAAGCTTTTCTGTTAATGGATTTTTTGTTTTGTTTGAAAACATTCAACTTGTTTTCATTCGGTAAGTAATTATTAAGAGCCCTTTGCATCCTAGTTATTGCAAAGAAAGTTTTTGACGTTTGAAGAAAGTCATTTTCTAGTTGTAGGAACAGAAAACAAGTATATATAACATTAATATACAATATTTAGTATTATAATATTTATAATATCTTTCTATATTTTTTTTGAGATGGAGTCATGATCTATCACCCATGCTAGAGTACAGTGGCATGATCTCTGCTCACTGCAACCTCTGCCTCCCAGGTTCAAGCAATTCTCCTGCCTCAGCCTCCCCAGTAGCTGGGATTACAGACATGCACCACCATGTCCGGCTAATTTCTGTATTTTTAGTAGAGACAGGGTTTCACCATGTTGACCAGGCTGGTCTTGAACTCCCGACCTCAGGTGATCCACCCGCCTTGGCCTCCCAAAGTGCTGGGATTACAGGTGTGAGCCACCACACCTAGCCAATAATATCAATATTTTAAAATACTAAATATTATATGCATAATGTTAATTTGCCAGGTAATAATAAATGGTAAAATCAGTCAATCAAACAGGGTACACATTCAGAGCACTGCTCTCCAATAGAACTGGCTGAGTTGAGAGAAATGTTCTATGATCCACACTGTTCACATTAACAACTAGCCACATGCCATGCAGTGGTAGGCTGGAGCCAGTAGTTTAAATCTGATAAATTTTTCCAGCCAGTTGGTAAATGCAGCCATCTTTGAAATTAGCTATGGTGTGAGTAGTTACACCGTGGGAACTGGCAAGTGCTACAAATTAGAACTCTGCTCTTTCCCATTAGAGAGCCAGTGGCTAAATACTGATCAGGACACCACTGTGTGTGTGGTCAGTGGCCACCTGAAATGTGGCTACTGCAATGGAAGAACTGTGTTTTGAAGTTTGGTTTTAATTAATTTTAATGGAAGCAGCCACACATGGCTAGTGAGTACTTCATTGACAGTGCAGATCTAGAGAATGAGGCCAGTGGCAGACTGTATGATCCTGTGGGTACAAAATTCCAGGACTGGCAAAACTGACCTATGGAGATGTGGAGGGTGTTCCTTGACTATGAAGGGGCCCCAGGGAGATTCCAAGGGTGACTGGAACACTCTGTGTCTTGATGAGCGGTCGATGAAACTGATTACATGGGGCACTTAAGATCTACGTCTTTCACGTGTGTGCCTGTGTATACATGCACATATGCATGCATATATATATATATATATATATATATACCCACACACACACACTCATACACACCATTGAAACTGATTACATGGGGCACTTAAGATCTACGCCTTTCACGTGTGTGCTTGTGTATATATGCACATATACATGCAGGCATACACACACACACACACACACGCACACAATTTATATGTATAAAAGACTATACTGAAGGCCAGAGAGAGACCAAAGTAGCTCATTTTGGGGCAGTTGGTGTAAAATTGCTAAGAATGGTTAGTGTGTTAGATTATGGCCAAGTTCTTCATTTCAGGGCTAGAACAACATAGTGAAGTTGGTCGGGGAAGAGGGTGAGCAAATGCCAGCTAAACAGTTGCTTGAAGGGGCTGATTAGAACAAGGAGGATGGGTGAGGAAGAGCAGGAAGCAAACTTCACTGAGCTCCCTGGAACCAGACACCGGCGGGGCACTCTGCCATAGCATAGCAGGGAGCTATTGAATGAGCAATACCACGCAAGATCTGTGCACAGCCAATCACTCCAGAAAGTCCCTTGGTCGGTGGCTGGGTTTCCGGAATACCCTGGCACCCCTTTCTCCACTTTGGCTCTCAAATGGGCTGAGCTAGTAAGTTTCTAGAACAGAGTAGCAATTTACAGCCTTAGAATCATTACGATTTCCTGACATTGTTTCTTTCTTGGATTTCACACTAGTACTAGCACTAAAAGTGCTGAGCTGTGTGTGTGTGTGTGTGTGTGTGTGTGTGTGTGTGTGTGTGTGTTTGCATGCACACATGTTTACAAGCATCTAAAAACACATTCTTAAAGAGATGCATTTATTTCCGCAGCTGTTGCAAATTCTCTGCCAAGATTCGGTTCAGGTGACATTGGCAATGAGATATAATGGTCACCAGAACTTCCCCGGACTGCCCAAGCGCTGAGAGGCTATGCCTGTCAAAATCTCTCCTCCCACAGGGTAATTTGCTTGTCATTGTTTCTTCAACGATGGTGAGAATATAAAAAGGCAAGTGAAAAATAAAGAGAAAAGGCATGTTGTCAAGGAAACAGCATTTCTCCAGAAGCAGTAAGTATTTTCAAAGTCTTAGCGACCCACACTTTCCACAGGGCAGGGCTTTGAAAAAGTCCCTGAGGCTAACTGAGAAGGAGGGTCTGCTGGGTGGGATGGTCCTTTGCCTCTTAGCTTGTAGACTCTCCTCGGGCTAATTTCCTCCCAATCCATTTTCATTCCTGTGCCCAGTTTTGTGTGTTCCCTTAATTACTTTTCCTATTATTGAGAAAGGGTAGATTCCCCCAGCTCTTGCCTCACTCACCACATGTCCGTCTTGGAGATAGGAATGTCTGGAGAATGCTGTCACTTCTCAAAGTTAAAGTCACCAAGGGCTCTGAATAAAGATGGTAACGATCTTCAAAACAGTAATACTTCGATGTAAGACTGAAAATGCAACAACCCAATGTGCCTACGAACGTGTCCCCACCCAGCCAAGCAGACTGTGTTCTAGGTCCAGAAGGTGTCGCCGAGTAGACTACAAAGCTTTGGCTCTGTCTCTGTGAATTATTGCATTGTCACATTTCTAAAATAAAATGAACACACAACGTGTCAGTCCCCGTCTCCTAAATATGAATGGAAATCTCCGACTATCCAGGGAGAAGCCATTTTTTATGGACTCTACACCTCAAAGTCTAACTTTGAAGCGTTACGTGCTGTAAACATGACATACATCTGCCGCAAAAGGAAAAGTGGATGCAAATTAGAGGAGGAGGAGGAAGAAGGGAAAGGTGCTTTGCTGTCCCTCAGAAACCTCCGCGCCCTCCGTCAGCTCAATATTTGCATCCAGTGGGATGGCTGGAAGGGGGAAGAGCAATCCGCTTAACGCATCATCTTAGTACGGCCTGAGACTGGAGGTTCATTGCATCCCAGAGCAGGGTTTCTCAGCCTCGGCACTACTGACATTGGGGATGGATGAATCTTTGCTGTGGGGGGCTGTCCTGTGTTTTTTGGGGTGTTTTGCAGTATCCTGGCCTCCACCTACTAGATGACAGTAGCACCCCACTCCCCAGTAGTGGCAACCAAAAATGTCTCCAGACACTGCCACATTCCCTTGGGCAAGGGTTAGGGGAAATATCCCCTCCAAATTAAGAACCACTTAAGAGTTAAATGGGAGGCCGGCTGTGGTGGCTCACGCCTGTAATCCCAGCACTTTGGGAGGCCGAGGTGGGCGAATCACCTGAGGTCAGGAGTTCGAGACCAGCCTGGCCAACATGGTGAAACCCTGTCTGTAATAAAAATACAAAAATTAGCTGGGTGTGGTGGCAGTTGCCTGCAATCCCAGCTACTCGGGAGGCTGAGGCAGGAGAATTGCTTGAACCTGCGAGGCGGAGGTTGCAGTGAGCAGAGATCACACTACTGCACTCCAGCCTGGGCAACAGAGCAGGAATTTGTTTCAAAATAATAACAAAAAAAGGGAGCCTTAGTTCAATATTGCTCTTGAAGCCTGAGTCCCTTTCCCAGCATCATTTCAGATGGGCAGCAGGCTCTGCTCACACTTTTTGAAGACATTTTTATTTTTGTGAAAGCCTGTTTCTTGGGGCGCTCACCTCTAGCTGCTAAGAAAACCAACCAACCAACCTTCCTTCCTTCGCTCCTTCCTTCCTTCCCTCCTTCCCTCCCTGCCTCTTTTTTGAGGCAGGGTCTCACTCTGTCACCCAGGCTGGAGTTCACAGGCATGATCACAGCTCACTGCAGCCTCGAACTCCTGGGCTCAAGTGATCCTCCTGCCTCAGCCTCCCAAGTAGCTGGGACTACAGGCATGCACTACCATGTTTAGCTAGTTTTTAAAATTTTATATAGAGGTGGAGTCTCAGTATGTTGCCCAGGCTGGTCATGAACTCCTGGGCTCAAGCAATCTTCCCGCCTTGGCCTCCCAAAGTGCTGAGATTACAGGCATGAGTCGCCACGCTGCCAAAAAGTCTTTCTTTAGTTCAACTGAACTCTTCTTCCTAGGAATGTTTCCCCACAGCTGTTTGCCTTCCTGCATAATGGCCCTTTTAATATATGAGGACGGCCATTCTATCTCCCACTAGAAGAGACATAACAATGAAAAGTAAGATGTTTATAGGAGGCAGAAGTCTTGGAGGGAGATTCGGCCAGAACACAGAAATGTACATATCATCATATATGGAACATGGAAGGTCCCAGAGATTGTACCTGCCTATGATATCAACGTGCTCCTAGAAAATCCACAGTGCCTGCTGGACACCTGCTACCCTCCTTCCTCTCACTGGAGAGCTTCCCTGGAGCTGCAGGGGGCCCTTCCTCCCCCATGTTTCATTCTGCTCCATTCCAAGTTCAAAACCTTGGCCATTTCTGTGATCTGATAAAACCTGTCACTGCTTTTCAAGATGAAAGCAACTTAGAATGTCGTCCCCTTAGTGTCTTTCCATTTTAAAGGGAATTACTTGAGACCAGTGATAGCTTCATCCTCGTGCACTGGCAAACATATAACAACAGCTCTCTGATGGGTGGGAAAACCAAAGCCCGGCTTTATGTTGTTTGCTAGTTTCCATGGTGCAAATGCTCTTCAGTCTAAGCTACTGCAGGGGGATTCTGAACTGCAGTTGGAAGAGACTGGAGGAACATATCTGTAGTATTTTTACCGTTTAGATACAATAAACATGAATGAACTCAAGAGCATAGATCACAGCAATGTAGAGTGTAATCACTGGGAAGCGATGAGCTTTGAGGGTTTATTATCTTTGTTTTTAATGTCGTTTAAATCTATTTATGATTAAATATATTAATTTTGTTTATATAATTTGTATTATATAGAAGTGCAGTGACAATGAAATACGTTGTACTTGTATATAATACAATCTCTAACGATGGCTATGTTTCACAACCCCCTCACTCCATTCCTGGACAATTTCCCACGGGGCTCTGAAGAGCCAGTTCTACAGATGTCCATACACCATTGCTTTGGTTCACAGAAATGTATTCAACAAACACCTGTACAAAGTTTGCTATTGGCCAGGCTCTGCTGTAAACACTTTATCCCAATCCTTATAGCAACTGCATTTTACAAGCAGGGATACTGAGGCACAGAGAGGGAGGAAACAACCACCACAGAGGTATCGAATGGTGGAGCAAGAAGACGAACCCAGAAAACCAGGTGGTGTGCTGGCAGTAACCATGCAGTGTGGAGAATCTTCTGGAGCCCTGGAGCCCCTCAGTGACTCACAAATGATTACCCAGGGGCTCCATGGCCCCTTCGGCTGCTTGTCTTGTGCCTCTTGAGCAAGCTTCTTCCTCCACCCTCCCCTCCTCTCCCCTCACCTCCCCCTCTCTCTTTCTTTCTCTCTCTCTTTCTTGTTTTGAGACAGGGTCTTGCTCTGTTGCCCAGGCTGGAGTGCAGTGGCATAATCACAGCTCACTGCAACCCCAAACTCCTGGACTCAAGCAATCGCCCCACCTCAGCCTCCCAAGCAGCTGGGACTACAGGTGTGTGCTACCATGCCCAGCTAATTTTTTAATTTCATCTTTATTTTTAGCAGAGATGGGGTCTTGCTATATTGCCCAGACTGGTCTCCAACTCCTGCCCAGTACTGCTGGGCTCAAGCGATCCTCCTGCCTCAGCCTCCCAAAGCACTGGAATTACAAGCATGAGTCACCATGCCTGGCCAAGCAAGCATTCTTTATTTTATTTTTGGCTCTGCACCCAGGCCCTGTTCACATACACACCCATCTGCCCACTCACCCAGGGATGTGCTGGACTCTTGCTCTGTGCAGGGCTTGGTGCTGGGAGATAAGCATTGTGGGAGATTCATGGGTGGGAGGAGAGAGGGGACTCAGTGGCTGGCTCAAGGTGTGAAGCTGGGGCTTTGGGAAGAGGGTGCTTGATACTGAAGAAGAAATGGATAAATTCCTGGACACATACACCCTCCCGAGACTAAACCAGGAAGAAGTCGAATCCCTGAATAGACTAATACGTTCTGAAATTGAGGCAGTAATTAATAGCCTACCAACCAAAAAAAGCCCAGAACCAGATGAATTCACAGTCGAATTCTACCAGAGGTACAAAGAAGAGCCGGTACCATTTCTTCTGAAATTATTCCAAACAATAGAAAAAGAGGGACTTTTCCCTAACTCATTTTATGAGGCCAGCATCATCCTGATACCCAAACCTGACAGAGACACAACGACAACAACAAAAATTCAGGTCAATATCCCTGATGAACATCGATACAAAAATCATCAATAAAATACTGGCAAACCGAATCCAGTTATTCAGTTATTTCTGAATAACTCCTGTATCACTACTCCCCTACTTAGAATTCCCCAGTGCTTTCGTCCTCACTCAGGTGAGCACATCGAAAAGCTTATCCACCACGATCAAGTCGGCTTCATCCCTGGGATGCAAGGCTGGTTCAACATATGCAAATCAATAAACGTAATCCATCACACAGACAGAACCAACGACAAAAACCACATGATTATCTCAAAAGATGCAGAAAAGGCCTTCGATAAAATTCAACACCCCTTCATGCTAAAAACTCTCAATAAACTAGGCATTAATGGAACGTATCTCAAAATAATATGAGCTACTTATGACAGACCAACAGCCAATATCACACTGAATGGGCAGAAGCATTCCCTTTGAAACCCAATACTGAAGAAGCAGAAGAATGAGACAAATGGCCCTCATGTGTGTACCTTCCACATGCTCCAGGGTTCTGCAAAGGCTTCTCAGCAGCTTTGCAAGGGCTAGTGTGGTCTTACATTCATTTCCTCATGAGGAAATAGGGGCTCCACCAGGTCAAGCAGAGTGCCTCCAGTGCCGCAGCTGGGAAGCCAGGGACAACCAAGCCCCCTTCCCCTTCCTCTGAAGGAGGCCAAGGCAGTTCAGCACAGTGCCGCATCTGGCACCAAACCATGGATGTCAAGTTAAGGCTCTGAGCTTCCCTTTTTGGGAAGGCAGGATTCAGAATCTGCTCCAGAATCCGACGGCTAGGGTGGGACCTGCGCTTTGACACTCACTCCCTGTGCGGCTTGGAGCCATGAACTGCACACTGCTAGGCCTCAGCTCTCTCATCCGCACGGCAGGGGGTAACAAGCGTGCTTATGGCGATGAGGCAGATTCTAGGGGATGATGGTGGAAAAGCACTTGTCTGGGGGCCTGGGACAGGCAAGCACCCTGGAAGGTTTCCTGCACTCTGGACAGCAGAGAGGTGAAGAGCCGTGGCCCCAAAGCCGTCCGGCCTGGTGGACGTCCTGTCCCCATTCCTGGCATATGAGCAACCTTGGACACACTTCACGATCCTCCAGTGCCTTGTTTTCTACATTGCGTAAAAATCGTTAAGGTTGTTGAAAGGATTAAATGACCTAATGCACACTGAGTGTCTGGGTCACAGCTAGCACCCGTGTACCCTTACAAGGTGTCACCTGCCGCTGCCCTTACTAGGCTGGTGGAAATACAGGCCCGACTCTGGCAATGATACATTCAGGCATCTGGATGTTTCATCACAATAAAAGCAGAACTGACCACACACAGGCCTGGACTCCATGAGCAACTCACATGCACCTGTTCATTCGCGTCTTCAGTTCACATTCATTAATCACCTACTATGAGCCAGGAAGCGTGCGAGATGCTGGGAACAGTGCAAGGAGCTGGACCCTGTGAGGAGCTGGGAGACAACATAGGCTCCGTCCCCACCCTCTCTGAGCTGACAGGGAAAATGTATTCACAAGCCCTTTCCAAGCAGCCGAATCCTTTTTGGTGAATGATGGGCTGGAAGATGATGTATGACTTTGTCCTCTTCCTGCTCAGATAATTTGTAAGCAGTGCAGCAAGGCTTCCCCTCCAGTGCTCTGTGTCCCCCTCACACCAGCCTGGCCCAGGGGGAGGCTGTTCAGGTCTCACAGTCACACTCCTGATTGGGGTGATAAATCTGTACCCTAAATGCTAGTAAGTGGGAAGCTCGGGAATTCCCAAAATTCAGCTCTGACGCGGTCCTCACAGAGGACAGCTGTTCTTTCCCTTCAGCCACAAGAAGGCCCCGGGGTGCTGCAGCAACGGGGACTGCAGCCTCAGAAAAGGGGGTGCAGCCAGATGCCTCAGCTCCCGCATGGGCTGGCTTCGCCGGGGACTGGATGCTGTCACTAACTTGCAACCCTCCAGTAGCTGGCGGAGACCTCTGATGTAGATCTGGAACTATCTCAGACTTTGGGCGCAAGCTTACTGGCTTATTGCTGTCTACTTTAGCTTAAGAAATACAGAGGTTTTAGATTCCACGAAGAAGGTCCATGCAGAATAATCACAGAAGCCAAATGTATCAAATTGCCTGGGCCCGACTGTCCATGAATTCAAGGAGAAAGGTCAAAGAGGAGATTTTTTCTTTCTTTGTTGCCCAAGCTGGAGTGCAGTGGCACAATCGTATCTCACTGCAGCCTTGAACTCCTGGCCTCAAACAATCTTTGCACCTCAGCTTCCAGAGTAGCTGGGACCACAGACACACACTACCCAAGTCCAGCTAATTTTTAAAAATTTTTGTAGAGATGTGGTCCCACTACATCGCCCAGGCTGGTCTCAAACTCCTGGGCTCAAGCAATCTTCCCACATCAGCCTCCCCAAGTGCTGAGATTACAGGCATGAGCCACCATGCCTGGGCAAAAAGGAGACTTTTCCCCCCATGATTTACTGGCAGAATTTTCCTCATTACTGAAGGAATCATTTTTATGTGTGAGGCACTGTTTTAAGCACTCAATCTATATTAATTCTTACTGTTCTCACAATACTCACATGAGATGGATACTATTATCATCACCACCATTCCCATTATCTGGAAGAGGAAACTGAGCTCAGGGAAGTTAAGACGTTTGCTTAAGGTCACATTGCAAATAAGCAGCAGAGCTGGGGCCCGGGTCCACCTTGGCTGGGGGTCAGCAGACAACTCCTCTAAAGCGCCAGATAGTAAATGGTTTTGATTTCTTGGGCCATGCAGTCTCTTGCAACTGCTCAACTCTGCCACTGGAGTGTGAAGGCAGCCGCGGCCAAAATATAAACAAACGAACATGACTGGACTGGGCTCTGATAAAACTTTATCAATGGACCCTGCAATGTGAATTTGTATGATTTGCACTTGTCACAAAATACTTTTTTTCCCCCAGTGGTTTTAAAATATAAAACCTACAGCCCATCTCCCTGGCTGTGCGAAAGCAGCTGACTTGCCAGACCAGGCCTGTAGGCTGTAGTTTGCCAACCCCTACTCTTTTTTTTCCTTAACTTTTAAGTTTAGGGGTGCAAGTGCAGGTTTGTTACATAGGTAAACTTGTGTCATGAGGGTTTGTTGTACAGAATATTTCATCACCCAGGTATCGAGCCTAGTATCCATTAGTTGTTTTTCCTGATCCTCTCCCTCCTCGCACCCTCCACCCTCTGAAAGGCCCCAGCATCTGCTGTTCCCCTCTAGGTATGTTCTCATCATTTAGCTCCCACTTATAAGTGAGAACATGCAGTATTTGGTTTTCTGTTCCTGCACTAGTTTGCTAAGGATGATGGGCTCCAGCTCCATCCATGTCCTTGCAAAGGACATGATGTTGTTCTTGCCAGCCCCTACTCTTAGGCCACCTACATGTATGTAGATCCTGGATGATTTGGTTTGACTTGTCCAGCATTGTCATAGGCCAGCCTTATGAGGTCTCTCTCTTCTTAACTTTTTATTATGAAAAGTCGCAAATGCACAGAAAGGTGGCGAGAACAGTACCATACATCCTTAACATACTGGCCCCCAACCATGACAGGCAGGCGCTGTCGTGAGATCTCTTGGCATAAGTCGTTGAGTGCTGGATAGACAGGATTAAATGAGCAGATGCGTCTGAGTCCTTGTAGCATCTATCTGGTGTGCAAATAGTTCAGGAGGCTTACGTGCCTTTGCTGTACCTCCGGTAATGTGGCACTGAGAGTGCTTGAAGCCAGAGGACTTGTCTTTTCACCTTTCAGTGAGCTATAAGATGGGACAGGTGTCATCTTAAAAGAACAAAATGCTTAAGTACTTTACCAGTTCAATTAGAAGCAGAGGCTGGGTAGGGTTTAAATACTCTCCACTCTACTCATTGGGATAAAGAGAAAGTCCGGGATAAGAGTCCAGCCAATGAAATTTCTAGTGTTCTTTGGGCCAACTCACAGGGAAGGAATTCCTCCCTGAAAGGAGGCCACCCTGACTTCCACTCCTTTGCTCAGCCTTGACGGCCTCCTGATGTTAAGAGGTGGAAGTGAGCCTTTGCTAGTTTGCCACAATGATTATTTTGTTTAAGAACTATAAGTGCTTAGAGATTGAAAAAATAAAAAAATAAAAAAACAACAATCAGTGTTTTTCAATAAACAGCTGATGGCTAAATTGAAGATGGAAATGCAGTCATAATCATCTCGAATGAGCATTCATTACGCGTCTATCTGCATGTGGTATGGGCTTTAAAGGAAATGATGCATTGACCTACTTTTTTCCAATAGAGATGCTTCACCTATTTGGGTTTTGGCAGAGTTTGCAAACTGTTGCAACTTTAAAAATAACTACTCATAGACTCAGGGACTTGAGCTTGTAGGACTATGGAATGGCTTGAAGTCCTAGTGAGAAAATGCCTTTGTCTTGTTATGCCATCATGTTCTTCTCTGGATAAACATATGTTCTTGCCCAATTTTCATCATGGAGAGACCAAGACCAAGTTTCATTCTACAGGGACTTATAATAAAAAGGTGCCTGCCCAGCTGGCCATGGTGGCTCACGCCTATAACCCCAGCACTCTGGGAGGCCGAGGTGGGCAGATCACTTAAGGTCAGGAGTTCGAGACCAACCTGGCCAATATGGTGAAACCCTGTCTCTACTAAAAAAATGCAAAAATTAGCCGGGTGTGACGGCGGGTGCCTATAATCCCAGCTACTCAGGAGGCTGAGGTAGGAGAATTGCTTGAACCTGAGAGGCGGAGTTTGCAGTGAGCCGAGATTGCACCACTGCACTCCAGCTTGGGCAACAGAGTGAGACTCTGTCTCAAACAACAACAACAACAACAAAACAAACAAACAAACAAAATGGTGCCTGCCTATCAGAATATACTGTATTAGTTGTCTCAGTTCTTTATCCCATTCTGAGCCCTGAAAGGGGGTTTGCGGTGCCCTTCTGGTGGAGGTGGTGTCCAATTTCCCATCTCTGGGCTGAGCCATGGACTTATCTTTAGCTAATAGAACACAATGGAAATGATCCTTCTGCTTCCAAGCTTTGGCCTCATGCGGGGAAGGCCTCTGCTTGTTCTTTTCTTCTCTGCTATTGCTATAAGGAAGACATTCCCAGGCTAGCTTGGTGGCCCAGGATGAAGTTGAGATATTTACAGTGCAAAGTGCATCTACCCAACTGACGTGTGAGTGAGTCCAGCCAAGATTCGCAGCAAGATTTAGCAGAATTCCCAGACCAGCCCACTCCAAATCGGCCAACCAGTTCCCTCCCCCAGGCAGCCTTCACAATAGAGAGAAATCATAAATGAATGTTGTTTTAGGCCACTGAGTTTTGGGGGTGGTCTGTTACACAGCAGTAGCTAACTAATATGTCAAGTCACTTTAAACTTAAGCAAACCACAAGCAGAAAGCTAATTTTTCTGGAAAAAATAATTGTGATATATTTTAAGTCCAAGTGAAAGTGAGGTTTTATTTTATGTACAGATTTGGTTTATGAGTATTTATGTGGATAATTGAGACTTTCCTACAGAACGTGGGAAGTATAATAAAATTCCTTGCTTAGGGAATATAGTAGGCAAATATAAAATCAAATGCTGCTCAAATCTAGCTGTGCAATACATTTATCTGAAGTTCCGTCACTTGGGCCCAACTGCCACAGATCAAACATTTACTGGCCAGGGGGTGAGGCCCAAGTATTTTCTGCAAAACTCCCTAAATGACTGCTTGTACTGTGCAGCTGAGGCTGGGAAACACTAGGCTCCATGATCTAAGATCTAAATAGTTAAAATGCAGTAGAGATTTTAGCAAATTCTGTGTTTTCTTTTTCTTCTAACACTAAATGCATTTCCCAGTCCCCATCAATATCAGATCAGACAGGAGGCTTTTTTCTAGATGACTTTATGATGTAGACAGGAAATGCTCCACTTCCAGGCTGGAGGCAGCTGCAAGCCACGTGAGAAATGTTCTTTTCTTCACCCTTTCTCTCCCATTACAACCTCCCGGAGTCATTAAGCTTCGTTCTGTGGCCTTGCTTTATTCTGCATTGCACAGGTTTTGAAATGTGACGATGTCTCCCCAGCCTTTCTCTCTGTACTGCCATGTGCACGCTGCAACCGTCTCCTCAGGTTGCCAGGAAGGATTCCGACTCCCAGGAGCTTGCTGCATCCCTATCTTGTGGACACAGGCATCAGACATTGCTGTTTTCATTCCAAGCGAATTAATCCAATGGACAGCCTTTTTTGGTGGTGCCCTGCCAGTCACAGGTAACTCAGAGGAGAATGCAGGGATGATCAGAGACTGACTCTGAAGGGAAGTTTGCCCTTTGCTGCCTACCTGGAGGAAAGCAGGAACTCAGTTGCAAGCTCACGTCCTAGGGCCCAGAAGATGGCTTGATTTAATGTCTGGACAAAGTCAGAGCAAAAGTCACTGGTAGGGCAGACATTTCTGTAGGTTCCTGAGCCACTGGTGGAAGCGGATGGGGGACAGTGAACCACCTACCTCCCTTGGTCAATCCCAACCCGGTCACTTGCTAGCTGTGGGGTCCTGGGCAGGCAGGGCGTCAGCTTCCTCATCTGTAAAAGGGGTGGCCCAGGGTCTACCTCGTACAGGACTGCTGGGAGGCTTCTGTGAAGTTACACACAGAACCCTGACGCCAGTGTTGCCGCTATGTTCACTCTGCACAGATGAAGGGACCAGCAAATATTGCGATACATATTTGAAAGAACTGAAAAGAAATTCAAGGACAAAAGAGATGGGACTTGGCTGCCTGATTTCCCTTTTTCCTCTACTTGTTGTCCTTTCCTGAATAAAGTGGTCTTCAGTATAAACTTAAACCTAAATTTTTTTTTATTGAGATATAATTCACATACCATGTAATTCACCATCTGAAAGCATATTAGTGTGAATTCATATATTCACAAATTTGTGCAACCATCTCTATTATTTAATTCCAGAACATTTTTTATCACCCCAAGTGCAACCGCATGCCAGTTAGCGGTCCCTCCCCATTTCTTCCCCTACCAAAACCTGCAACTGCTAATCTGTTCTCTGGTTCTGAAGACTTGATTATTCGGGACATTTTATATAAATGAAATTATGTATAAATGGAATAGAAATAAGTACAATATGTGACCTTTTATGTGTAAGCCTGAGTCATTTTATAGGAGAAAAAAGAAATCGCAGGTCCTAAATGCCTAAGAAATGACATTTCGAGTTGGGGGCGGGGTCTTACCTTCTGGCTGTAACCTGACCTCCCCACCTGCTAGTGGTGCTTGCATGGAATTCTGGAAATGGGGTCCCTGGAGTTGAAGCCCTGCTGTGCCCCCACCCACAGCCCTTCTGCAGAATTGTTGCCACATCCTCACGTCCCTGCCTCGTTCCCTTCCACATGTAGCCTCGGCACTGGATTCTGTGCTCTGCGGGGAGAAGTCGTTAGGTAAGTCATTGTCCCGGGCAAAGAAGTATTCCAAAGGGGGCACTGTCGGGAATGTCTGATAACTGGTCACATACAGAAAAACCGAGACACAGATGATTCCTGAGGCTTTACTCCAAGCTGCTGTTTTTAAGAAAGGGGCAGGTTGTTTCTGAGACATACTATGTGGTACCAATTTGTGCAGCTTGCCACTGTGAGGTTTTCAACAGACCACTGCTCAAAGGAGAGACATATTCATAATTCCAGAATTCATAACAAAAATAAGGGACTGCATGGAGTGGCACAAACGGGCTATATTGTAATTTCTTCTCCCGGGATGTCAGAATTTTCTCCACTTCAATGAACGTTCTCATCGGGCATTCTAATTACTATGACAAATATCAAAACATTACCTCTGTTGTTGCTGCAATCTTACTTATGGAAATGTGTCTGGATGTAAAACATGTTGTTCTGCTGCTTTGCTGCAAGATAAACTGTGTCTCTAGTGAAGCTGCCCCATCTGGCATTTGGCAAATGGTTTCTATGGACCAATGACACCCCTAGGTGTGATGTTTTTCTGGAGTTTCACAGTGTGTGCTAAAGGCAGTGAGGTCTTTGAGCAACAATTGAGGGAGCTGGGGTACTGCCTATCCAGGAACATAGACTTCCTGCAAATGGTGGGCCCAGCATGCTTGTGACTCCCCTCCTGAAGAAAACCTGCCAGACCAGAGGTTCTCAAAGTGCTCTCTGGACCAGCAGCATCTGCATCACCAGGGATTTCTTAAAAATGCAGATTCCCAGGTCTCACCCTAGACTTGCCAAACCAGATGCTCTGGGGTGGGACTCAGCAATCTGTGTTTCAGCCCTGGGCAGATTAAGCCCTTCAGAAGATGTGGATGTTTCCTCGAGTTTAAGAACCATGGTTCTAAAATTTTACAACAGGATGATTCATCCATGCAAGGAATTAGTGTAACAGGGACCCGAGATGACAATAAGGTAGTTTGTTATCAAGAGCATCAGGCATTTTCAAGATAACATGGCCTGCAGTGGGTGACTGGTGATCCCCAAAAGATACTTCAACATCCTGGAAACTGTCAATGTGACCTTCTTTGGAGAAATGATTTTTGCAGATGTAAGTAAGTTAGGCATCCTGTGATGAGATCATCACAGACTTTCTAGGTGGGTCCTTAATCCAGTAACAACTGTCCTTATTGGAGACACAAAGAAGAGGCTGGGAGCAGAAGACACGTGAAGATGAAGACAGAGGCTGAAGTGAAGACGAAAACGGAGGCTGGAGTGAAGATGAAGATGGAGGCTGGAGTGAGGATGAAGATAGAAGCTGGAGTGAGAATTAAAATGGAGGCTGGAGTGAAGATGAAGACAGAGGCTGGAGTGAAGATGAAGATAGAGGCTGGAGTGAAGATGAAAATAGAGGCTGGAGTAAGGATGAAGATGGATGCTGGAGTGAAGATGGATGGTGGAGTGAAGATGAAGATGGAGGCTGGAGTAAGGATGAAGATAGAAGCTGGAGTGCAGATGAAGACAGAGGCTGGCGTGAGGATAAAGATAGAGGCTGGAGCAAAGATGAAGATGGAGGCTGGAGTGAAAATGAAGATGGAGGCTCGAGTGAAGATGAAGATAGAGGCTGGAGTGAAGATGAAGAAGGAGGCTGGACTGAAGATGAAGATAGAGGCTGGAGTGAAGATGAAGACGGAGGCTGGAGAGAAGATGAAGATAGGGGTTGGAGTGAGGATGAAGATAGACGCTGGAGTAAGGACAAAGATGGAGGCTGGAGTGAAGATGAAGATAGTGGCTGGAGTGAAGATGAAGATGGAGGCTGGAGTGAAGATGAAGATAGTGGCTGGAGTGAAGATGAAGATGGAGGCTGGAGTGAAGATGAAGACAGAGTCTGGAGTGATGCTGCCACAAGCCAAGGGATACCTAAAGCCAGAAAATGCCAGAAAAGGCAGCAGATCCTTCCCTAGATCCTCCAGAAGGAACCAACCCTGTAGTGTCTCACAGTCCTGGAGGCTAGAAGCCCCAAATCAACATTTCTATTGTTTTAAGCCACTACATTTTGGATAATTTGTTACAGTAGCTCCAGGAAATTAATGCACTGCCAGACTTCATATATATGTGGGCTCCTGGTCATGTGAACCTCAAGAATGGCTACATCATCAGGGACCATTTTATAACTAACAGCAAATGGGATGAAAAACACTGTTCCCAGGCAAAGGAGCCTGCACACCTGCTCTCAAATAAATCCAGGCCGAAGCTGACCCCCAGATGTTTGAGGTCCTTTGCCACAGAGTCCCCAACCCAGGTGTCAGCCCATAGAGCTTCCTGATCCCACCAGGGATATTATCTCCCCTTGGAATTCACAGCAATCATTAGCACAGCAAACATGATATAGAAAGGTCTGCCTTGATATCATCCAAGCTTCTGTCACCATGGTGGTCTTTCCCAACCACTCCGTGCACACATGTTCCCTGGAAGGTAGGGAACAGATTGGACCTGGAGCCCCCTCAGGCTCCCAGTGCATAATGGCCTACTAAGGCTCCCTGGAGTTCTGCCATAAATAACTCTATTTCCCGTTGACTAACCTAATATTTCCCAATCTTGCATGGAAGAGGGTCTCTGACCCAGAACTGCTAGCATCTCACAAGACAGGAAGGTTCTCTGGAACACAGAGAGGTGGGGAGATTATACTGCTTGTTTATAATTGGCCAGACAGGTGAAAAGACGCATGGGGCTGCAGAGAGTGTCTTTAATCTTGTATTATCTCATGGTGTCAAACATCAATATAGAAACCCGAGTTATTATGTAGCCCAGAAGTTTGCAGGAGCACAGAGGCCCCCAACCCACTCCTGAACCATCTGTGTCAAGAGGCACTGGGTACGTGCAGGTGCCTCCTGCAGGACTTACCTGCAGGTCTCTTGGGGAAGCACCATGAGTATGAGGAGTGGTTATTTCATCTGCGTAACCCTAAACTACCCCCAGACTACAGCCAGCCAGTGCGGTTTGATTTTTAGGGAACCGAGAAGACTGCTCTTCATACCTAACTAAATATTTCCAAATTTCCTACTTGAACATTGCTGGAAATTTGACTTCAGAATATCCTTTTTTGGTTAGCTTTTATTTTATTTATGTTATTCAACAAGCACTTATAGAGTGCTGACTTCAGGGCAGCCACCATCTACATACTTGGGATAGCAATTCATTCAATCTTCCACATAGCCCTAGCGGGTAGGAATTAACATTATTCACATTTTCTAGATGAGAAGACTGAAGCACAGAGAAGTCAAGTGATTTGCCCAAGGTCACACAGCCAGGAAGTATTAAAGTCTGTATTACACCCAAGCAGTCTCACCCCAGGATCTGTGCACCCAAGCATGATGCTATGCAATGCTGCTTCTCGGTTACAGGCTGCCTCCCATTTTAATCCCCTTTAGCAAAGATAACTTCTTAAACTCCTATCTTATATATTCCTGTCTTTTTTCAGAGCTATGCCTAGGGCCAGGGGCAGAGCTTGACAACCTCCTTCCATTTGGTTCAGAAGAGGGAAGATCAAGATTCAGGTCATGGAGGTCGTGGGCCATAATTGATTCTTTGAGCAGCAACTAGGGGCCATCTGTGCTTCCACCTCCCTAAATTAATGCCTTAAGATCTCTGTCAAAGAGACCAAACACACAAATACATCAGGAAGGAAAACAATGGCGAGAATTTAAAATATAAGTTGTCCACTGAGGGCGATTTTCCCCCAACTCCACCTGGAGGGGAATATGGCACTGCCTGGAGACATCTGGTTGTCACAGATCGAAGCAGGGATACTTCTGGAGTATCTGGAGACATCTGGTTGTCACAGATCAAAGCGGGGATGCTTCTGGCATTTAGTGGACAGAGACCAGAGATGCTGGTAAACATCCTACAATACACAGGAGAGCACCTCACCACAAAGAGTCATTTGATTCAAAATACCAGTAGTGCCAAGGTTGAGAAACCCTGATTCAAAGATTTCTTGCAACATGATCTATGAAAGAAGAGTGAAAGTACAGAAAACATGCATGGTTCAGGGCAGGGGTAGGCAGATTATAATGCATGGGCCAAAAGCAGCCTGCCGATTATGTGTGTAAATAAAGTTTTATTGGCACACAGCACATTCACTTTGAATGTATTGTCTAAGACAGAGTTGAGTAGCTGCAAGAAAGGCCACCTGGCTTGCAAAGATGGAAATATTTACTATTTTGCTTTTTATACTAAGAAAAAGTGTACAGATACCTGATGTAACAGCCCACCAAAACTTGAACACATTCCTCTTGCATAGTAAATTTGACTGAACGGAATCCAGTTATTCCCCATACATGCAGCTGCGTGTAGTTCATGTATCAATGGGATTTGACTGGCTCTTTAGTGTGTATGTGATTGACCCATGCTGGTTTTATGAACTGGATTATTTCCTTACATCCTCTCCTCCACTGGCCTGTCCTGCATATTTTTCTCCCAAATTAGCAATGGTTGGAAAATTGGCTCCTACCAAGACCGAGAGGTAGCAGAGGAGACCACAGAAAAGCAGGTGATTAGCAAGGATGAAAAGATTCTTCTGCCACTGCCTGAGCGACAGAACCAAAGGGAAGTCAACTCAGCCACACTGAAAACTGGTCTAGGAATAACAGGAAATTCAGAGGACACGCGACAAATGCCTCTTTGCTGTCAGAGTTCACTGGTTGGAAATCGTCCATCATAAGCAAGACAGGATGGTAAGTCGACAAGCCACTTTCTCTGCCTCAGCAGTTGACCCTTCCAGTTCTTATCACCCCGCAAAAATGAAATGAGGGCCACCAGGTCCTGCCATCCACGCTCCACTCCGGCTTTTCAGAAGCTGGTCCACTTGGAACAGGAAACTTCAAATCAGTGGTGTTCAAATAGAGGTCATAAGGTATTTGGAAGCAGATTAGTGGGTGTCATGAAGTCTTTTGTAAGTCATGAAGGAGAACAGAGAAGCATCAGTTTGTAACATAAAGCAAAAGCAAATATTGTTTTCAGAAACTGCATTTCAGATATAAATGTACACACATATGTGTATGTATTTATATAATATGTGTGCATTTATGTGTGTGTATATACATATGCATTTATATGTGGGTGTGTGTATATACACACAGGTACATTTATGTATATAAATGCACGTGTGTATATATATACACACATAAATGCATATACACATTTATATACACATAAATGCATGTGTGTATATATATACACACACATAAATGCATATATATATACACACACACATAAATGCATATATATACATACACACACATAAATGCACATATATATATATACACACACACACACACACACACAAACACACACACACAAAGCATACAAGCATACAAAAATGCATGTTGTGGCCAGGCATGGTGGCTCATGGCTGTAAAGCTGGGTGTATCTCTCGAGTTCAGGAGTTTGAGATCAGCCTGGGCAACATAGCAAAACCCTGTCTCTACCAAACATACAGAAAGTTAGCTGGGTGTGGTGGTGCATGCCTGTAGTCCCAGCTACTTGGGAGGCTGAGGTGGGAGGATCACCTGAACCCAGGAGGTCGAGGCTGCAGTGAGCCACTGCACTCCAGCCTGGGCAACAGAGTGAGATCCTGTCAAAAAAAAAAAAAAAAGCATGCTTTATGATATTACTTGTGTGCACTCACGCTTATATATATGATCTGAGTCATAAAGTAAAATGTGTCTCTGTGCATGATCAAAAAATGAGAAACCCTGCTTTAAATGCTATCTTTATTATCTGAAACACCAGATCTCTTCTGGAAATGGCTTAGGCTGCCAAGACAGAATTAGGAAATCAGAGAGAAATGTTTCCATTTCCTCATGTCACGAAAACATCGTAAATGATCCCTTTTGCTTCCCCTACAAGTCTGATGTAACTTCAACCAAGCGGTATGGTTGCTATGAGGGATGTGTTGAATTCTTTGTGTTTCTAACACCTAAGAAACAAGAGAGTTAGAGAACTAGAAGGAAATGGAGAAGAAAGAAAGTCCAATGTTTCCCACATTGAGTCTGATTCATGATTTTTGTTAGAACCATGACGCATATACTGTTATTTAATATTTTAAACTAATTTTTTTAAAAGTTGTCTTAAGTAGTAATATCTGTACCATGACTCATTTGATGTGATAGTGTTTTCTTTTTTTCTAATACATATTCAACTAAATACATTATTATAAAAATAAAAAAGTTAATGTACCTTCTAACATTAGTGGTACACATGAGACATTTTGGGAAATTCTGACTTTGCCAAAGCCTCTCATGTTATTCTCCACCTTGGCAGTCAGAGATTTTTTGTTTGTTTGTTTGTTTGTTTAGAGTAAATTTGGTCAGGCGCAGTGGCTCATGCCTGTAATCCCAGCACTTTGGGAGGCCGAGGCGGGCGGATCACCTGAGGTCGGGAGTTCCAGACCAACCTGACCAACATGGAGAAACCCGGTCTCTACTAAAAAAATACAAAATTAGCCTGGCGTGGTGGTGCATGCCTATAATCCCAGCTACTTGGGAGGCTGAGGCAGAAGAATCGCTTGAACCCGGAAGGCAGAGGTTGTGGTGAGCCGAGATCGTGCCATTGCACTCCAGCCTGGGTGACAAGAGCAAAACTCTGTCTCAAAAAGAAAAAAAAAAAGTAAATTTGGTCCCTTCCCCATAGCTTACTTGTGCTTTCAGGAGAAAGTCTAAGCCCCCTGCCCTCCCTGCACACCCCTCACTAGGACTTCAGGCTACGCTTCTAACTCCCATCATCCTTGTCACCCCGGGGTTGGTGTTCCCTCTGGACCGCTAGCCCTGCACAGTTAACGCCTTCCCTCTGCTCAACATGCATTCACTGAGGCCAACACCTGCTGAGCTTCAGCACTGAGTCAGACATTGCGTCATCACCAGATACCTCTCTGCCCTCTACTCCCTATGGTGCCGGATTCCCCATCCCCTCCAAGTGATGTCCTTGCACACTGCATCACAGAGCACATGTTTATCATAGGTTCACATACCTGTATGACCGTCTGATTGATGCCCCTCTCCTCCACCGGACTATAAACCTCATGAGGGCGAGGAGCATCCTGGTGTAACACATGATGGGCACACATCAAATGTCTGTTGAATGAATGAATGAATAGATGGATGGACAGATGCTTGTGCCTGTTTTGCAGATGGGGAACGAGAATGCTGAGAAGAACAGAGGGCAGCTTGCTCCAGATGCAGCTGATCGGAAGCTGAGTATTAGAGCTCCAGTCTGGGCTCTTCATCCTGCTCCCTCCCCCATGCTCCATTCTTGCAGAAACCTTTCCCTGCTTCCTTTATCACTGCTGTGTTAAGATCCAAAATCTGGACCTGACCCCTGCTACTGCGAGATGGAGAGGCCAACTTGGAGCAGAATTGTTCCAATTCATGGACTAACAACAACAAATGGAATGAAAAGAAAACACAACGAAACAGCTCAGTTGGCTCACAATCATCCATAACAATTGCTTATGATTAGTCATCTCATTAAAATATAAACCAATTTAATTCAGCCATTTAAGCAACAGCCCAAGACAGCCCAGCCATTATCATCAAAAACTCCATAATGCTCACCCTCTACAAGACATGACAATTTGGCATTTGTATTAAGAATATGAATTTCATGCTGGGATGGAGAAGAAGATCTCTGGCAGCTGCCATTCTCCCATTGTTCCTGGGTGCCAATAGCATCTCTATTAATTTCCTAAACAAAGCAGTGAAGAAACCACCCCAACATACCCGGAGTCTGAGATGATGGCACATATAAATAGTTCAGAAGGAGGATTTTCTATCAAATTAGCAACATGTCTGATGCTTGCACTATGAACGCCATGAGTTCCCAATTCCATGGGAGGTTTCAACAATTCCACTGTCCCTGCCTGACCTTCCAGCTGCCTCACATCTTCTGACCTTCACCTGAAAGCCCCTCTTCCTTATCATGTTGAAATCCTACTCCTTCCACAAGTGCTGGCTCAAAAGCTCGGCAAAGTCTTTATCAGGTACCAGGATGAAGAAATACCTCCCCTCAGCACATTTGCAGCTTTATCTCTTCCCCTATGTAGCCAAGTGTCAGGGCTCCAAACCTGAATGTCCAAGGGGACTAGGACAGGTCATATAAAGAAGTGTACCTGGCCAGGTGCGGTGGCTCATGCCTGTAATCCCAGCACTTTGGGAGGCCGAGGCGGGTGGATCACCTGACCCCAAGAGTTCAAGACCAGCCTGGGCAACATGGTGAAACCCTATCTCTACAAACAAAAAACAAAAATTAGCCAGGCATGGTGGCACGTACTCAGGAGGCAGAGGATGGAGTATGGCTTAAGCCCTGAAGGTTGAGGCTGCAGTGAGCTGGGATTGCACCACTACACTCCAGCCTGAGCTGCAGAAGACACAGTGAGACCCTGTCTCCAAAGAAGAAAAAAGTGTAGCCCTCCAGGTGCAAAAAAGTCATGACCTGGTGGAACGATTGGGCTCCATTTGGCTCTAAGCAATCCATTATTCTCAGTTGCCATAGGTAGTCAGAAAGTTGAATTTTCAAATGAAAAGTTTAAATCTTGGCCATTAAATTGGTAAAATGTAAATTTTATATAAGCCAAACAAAGCATGCTTGCAGGTCAAACTGAGCCAATGGCTACAGTATTTCTTCCCTCTGTTCTAGGATTTTGCTGACTCTCCAGCGGTTCTCTTCAAGGACAACTTGGATCCCTGGGTCTGCAGCTCCCAGAGGGAGGTTGTGCTGGCTCCTTCTTTCCTGTGCTCTCCCCTTCACACATGCTGGCTAGTTCTCCATCGCAGCAGCGGCATCGCTGTCTCATTTCTGGGCCCTTCTCCCACTTTGACTTCCACCTCCCCACCCTGTTCTGTCTTTATTTAAAACTTAGATATATGGTTCTATATGGGTTTTTTTGGCATTAATTTTGATTTTTCAAAAATACCTTATTTTCATGCAATGTTATCTTTACTCTGGAGTCTTTTGGAGGCCCCTTCAACCTCACTCCCAGTGCTTCACTCGCCTTCCCTTATCCCCGGGCCTCTCCTCACCTGTGCACATCCTCCTTCCCACAGACACACCCTCATCACAGCCCTGCTGCAAGGCAATCAGCAACCGGCTAACTGAGCACCCGGTGCCGCAGAACCACAGCTGAGAGCCTAGCATGCATGTAGTCAGGTTCTGCACCTTAACGCGTGGCATGCTTACTGCCACCCTTGAGGGTGTTCTTTTGGCCCTTGGGGCCCTCACACCACACCCAAGCAGGGTCTCACTCCAGTGCTCGTGAGGGCAGGCCTGGGTTCAGGGTAGGATGAGACAGGAAATCCCAGGCAGGCCCTCACCACGTGCCTAGGAGAATGGATTGTCCTGGTGTCACCTGGGTGGACGCCTGGCTGTGGACAGTGCTAGGCATGTCGAGTGTACTCATGAGTATCTCTCATGTGAATGAAGAAATGAAGAGGCCGGGTGTGGTGGCTCATGCCTGTAACCATAGCACTTTGGGAGGTCGAGGCAGGTGGATCACCTGAGGTGAGGAGTTTGAAACCAACCTGGCCAACATGGCAAAAACCCCGTCTCTACTAAAAATACAAAAAATTAGCTGGGCGTGGTGGCAGGCGTCTTTAATCCCAGCTACTCGGGAGGCTGAGTCAGGAGAATGGCTTGAATCTGGGAGGCGGAGCTTGTAGTGAGCTGAGATGGCACCATGGCACTCCAACCTAGATGACAGAGCAAGACACTGTCTCAAAAAAAAAAAAAAAGAAATGAAGAATGATCAGGATGATGAACAGCTTATCTATGTGGGTGTCTCCTCACCAGGGGTTTAAAGAAGGAGACATTTGGACAGAAGACACAGAACTCTGACACTGCTTATAGACCAACAAGCATAGGAGGACGTCTCAAGGGACGTGATTGCAGAAAGCACACCCAAGTCTTGGGAAAACGGGAAATTCCTCCCGGATTTACTCTCCTCCTTCTCTCCCCTCTCTGTGTCTGCTTCTGTCCTACTCTCGCTCATCTCCATTCACTCACTGGCATGTACACCCCTCACCGTTGTCCCTAAGTGGTACCTGAGGCCCTAATGCTCACACAGCCTTGCAGGTCTGCTCTTCTCATCTGTGTTATATTTTGTATTCTATTTATTTTCTTCCTTCCTCCCTCCCTCCCTCTCTTTCTCTCTTTCTTTCTTTCTTTCTTTCTGACAGGGTCTTTCTCTGCTGCCCAGGCTAGAGTGCAGTAGCATAATCATAACTCACTGAAGTCCCAAACTCCTGGACTTGAGAGGTCCTCCCATCTCAGCCTCCTGAGTAGCTCAGACCACAGACATGTGCTACCATGTCTAGCTAATTATTTACTTATTTATTCATTTTTTATAGAGATGGGGGTCTCAGTATTTTTCCCAGGCTGGTCTCAAACCATCCTCCTGGCCTCAAGTGATCCTCCTGCTTCAGCCTCCCAAAGTCCTGGGATTACAGGTGTGAGCCACCATGCTACATTCTATTTTCAAATGCCCTAAAAGGAGACAGGGTCAGCTCAGTCTGGGTGAGATCACCTGCTCCTGGTCCATCAGCTAAGGTCTGGGGACCTGGCTCATGCTGAATATCATCCACCCCCAACTAGGATGTGGGGAGGGCCAACTGTAGTGCATGCAGGGGAGAAAGGGAGGTCCAAGGCAGTCCTTGCCGTGCTGGTGTATCAGTCCTGAAGAGTGTTACCCTTGGAAGCACCATTTAATGCATGGGCTCCCTTTGCTCATGAACGGTATTCTCCAAGGCTGATGGTGGAGGAAAGATCAAAGAAACTAATGACTCACAATGGAAGTGGAGAACTGTTGCCTGACGTGACATCAGGAGATTAGGTGTCTAGACAGAACTTAGCTTGGGGACACTGTTGGCCAATCACTAAACAGGGTTTCTGGTCTCCTCCCTTGTCTGTTGAAATACCTGTGTTATTTAGGGGAGGGCCAGCTGCTGGAAAAAGTAAATGCCAGAGTGTTGGTGGTTTAACATGATACAGGTTTATTTATGACTCACACATGAATCCAAGGTGGGCCCGTGGCTGGAGGCTTGGTCTCCTGCACATGGCCATTCAACTCACATCTTGGAGTTTGCCCACTCCCTAGGACCTCGGTGTCCTCTGTATCTAGCCACAGATAAGGAGGGAGGGAGTAGGGAAGGCACACAAATGGGGCACAGAAGCAACACAGGCCAGCTCTGCTCACATTAGATGGACAAGAGCTGGTGTGTATCTCATGGCACACCGAGATGGGAGAGGAACGGGGAACACAGGCTCTAGCCAGGCAGGCCCTTCCAGGGACATGCTTCAATAAGAAAACGGAAGCATGGGCTGGGCGAGGTGGGTCACACCTGTAATCTCAGCACTTTGGGAGGCCGAGGTGGGTGGATCACCTGAGGTCAGGAGTTCCAGACCAGCCTGGCCAACATGACGAAACCCCATCTCTACTAAAAATACAAAAATTAGCCAGGCGAGGTGGTGCATGCCTGTAATCCCAGCTACTCGGGAGGCTGAGGCAGGAGAATCACTTGAACCCAGGAGGCGGAGGTAGCAGTGAGCTGAGATCGCGTCATTGCACTCCAGCCCGGGCAACAAGAGAGAAACTCCGTCTCGAAAAGAAAAAGAAAAGAGAAGCATGAGTTTTTGGTAAACCACCATCCCTGCCATCATAGATGCTGAAAGAAGAAAGTACCAACTTCCCCAGCTTCTACAGCAAGCAGATGAGGCCATCTGATATAATTGCGGTAGGTTATATATAAAGATGAGGCCATGTGATATAATTGCAGTTGGTGATATATAATTGGAGGTAGCCGGAAGACCTCCAGGCTAGCTTTTGCTTTTCTGATAAGAATAAAAGTCATAGCTTTGGCCAGGATGTCTCCTCTCCTCCTGCTTGAATGTCAGCTTGGAGTCTGTAGCAGCCGTCTGCAGCCACGAGCCAGACACCAAGTGCATGGCAGATACAAGAATCAAAGCCTGGATGTGGCTGGGCTGTTCAGCTGGGGCTACATACCTCCAGGTGTATTGATCTATGAGAAAAACAACCCACTATTTGTTTAAACTGCTGTTATTGGGGAGTTCTGGTACTTGCAGCCAAAAGCATTCCTAACTGTTGCACCCACACTGGGGCTCTCATCTTCTTTCTCTTCCTCCAAAATAGGTATTACAGACCTTCATCAAGGTTACAAGCATTCCTTTTTGTGGCTTACGCATATATGGGCCTGTGGACATTTTTGCTCCCCCTACTACTGATTTAGGGACTTTATACTTTTCTAAATGAAGTAAAATACAACAATAAAACAAGAAGAGATCAAAGAGTTAGAGTGTGGCTTTCCTTCAGGAGGAAGAGCTCCGAAGAATGCCAGATCCTTTCATGTCTTCACCGTGGTGAAGTTTTGTTTCTATAAAAATATTCAGGTTTTCGACTTCACATTACAAACAATTTTGGGAAAACCAGAAATAAATACACAAGAACGCAAGGGAAACCAGGAATGCTCAAACAGGGAAATAAAAAGTCTGACTACATCCTCAGGTCCGCTGATACCTCCACTGTCTCCCTGTTGGAATTCCACCTTTACTTTGGGAGGCCGAGGCCAGCGGATCCCCTGAGGTTGGGAGTTTGAGACCAGCTTGACCAACGTGGAGAAATCCCGTCTCTACTAAAAAATACAAAAATGAGTAGGGTGTGGTGGCTGGCACTTGCAATCCTAGCTACTAGGAGGCTGACGCAGGGAAAATTGCTTGAACCCAGGAGGTGGAGGTTGCAGTGAGCTGAGATTGCACCACTGCACTCCAGCCTGGGTGACAGAGCGAGACTCTGTCTCAAAAAAACAAAACAAAACAAAACAAACAAATAAAATAACAGATGCAAAGCAGAAGCTGTATTCATTCCCAGAGCTCCAAGGAGGCTGGATTTCACAGTGAAGAAGGCACCCACCTTCTGCTGAACACACAGAAAATGAGGCACCCGCTCCAATCCGATTGTGTTTGCAACACAAGCTTTTGCGGTTAGAATGAGGTGTCATCCAAATAGCACTGAAATCTCTGCCTGAGAAGCCTTTTTATGAGCAGGTCCTAGGTTAGGAACTCCATCACCCCTGGAGAATGGAGTTCTGGAAGGTGGGGCTTGGGAATTGAAGCAAAATAAAGGTAGAGGCCTTTGCTGGGGGCTTTGATAGAGAGTGACACACCACTATCACCACTATCACACACATCAACTTTGAATGAATTACTCAAAAAATTTCCCTGGGTGGGCACAGGCCTATGAGATCCTGACCTGGTGAACAATGAGGTGGGCTGGACATCAGTACCCATCATTCCCTCAATGGAGCCTGCTGGAGCAGTGAACAACCTGTACAACTGTGCACAGCAGTCCTGGGCCATGAGGAAGGAGCTCCCGGAAATGAGGAACAATAAAAACTTTGCTTCCCCTTTTAAGGGTCTCCCACTGACAGTCTTCAGGCCAAGTCCCTTTCTCAGACTGTTTTCTTTTTGTTTGTTTTGTTTGTTTGTTTTTGTGGGTGGGATGGGGTGGGGTGGTGATCTACACAGAGTTTCAAAATAACTCAAAGTATTTGAAAATGTCTTCGGATGGGGTCTGTGTGCACTTATCAATTGTCCATAGGCCTCCCCCACCCACAATGCTCCTTGTTCATGACGCTCCCTGCAGTGCACAGTTCTATGTCCCTTGTCTGGACTCCTGCGGCACCTGATGCAAGAGAATCAGAACATGTAGATTTTAAAATGCCAACTGCCTCTTCTTCCCCTCTTTGAATTAATAGCTGCCAGGAGCAAACTTTGAGGTGCAAGTTACACACAGAGAAGATAAATGGCTTTTAAATTTGGGTCACTGACAAGGTCAGCAATAGAATTCTGTTATTGTTATTTTTTTCTTTTTTTGCAAACATGCCTTCATTAACTTTCTTTTAAAAAACAACACAAAGAAGTCCCAGGCTTTTGATGAACACGCATCCTCTCCCTAGCTACTCATTTTCAAGTTAAGTCACCGTGGCAGGCCTGAGCCCTGGGTAGCTGGGGGCTGCCTCTGGTTTGCTGCCTTTTTTTCTTGGTAAGGTCTCTATCAAGCATTCCCCCCACCCAGCTGCTGAGCTGGGAAAAGCTCCAATGGCAAAATCCCAAACCTACTGATGATTGAGTATGCCAAGAGTGGAGTCCTGCGGGTTAGGACAGGAGGGTGCATGAATCTCCCTGATCAAATATGGCCACATGGAAAGCAGCTGCCCCTCCCTGCAAACTTGCATTCATTGACCAACATCTGTAGCTTTGGCTTGTCCAACGCCCATTCTCCCTTTTTCTGGTGACAACTTTTATTTTCTTTTGGGTAGCCATTGCTACTCAGTGGGGTGGCAATGAGTGGCACCGCCTGGGGCACTGGGACTGACCCATACTGTAGCTCTCGGGGTGAGAACGATACTAAAGCCAGGTAAAGTCATTCACAGGAATTGGTTCAGGAATAGCTGCATGGACTAATAGAAGCCACTAGGAAGCAGCTCCAAGACTTTGGCTTGAACAAGTGGACTTACTAAGTTGAAAAGACATAGGTCTGGATTTGCTGGTGGCCACCTGGCTACCCTGTGAGGAGAGGCTGCCTGAGAATGAAGCCATCACAGAAGAAAGCAGGGGTGAGAGATGGGTCTAAAGGCAGTCCTGGTGACACTGTCATTGGCCTTGATCCAGCCATGCCTGAAGTTTGTTCTACCACAGTTTTTATTTAGATGACCCACTATTTCCCCCTTCTTCTCCCCTAAGCCAGCTTGATTTGGGTTTCTGTCACTTATAAGTGAAATCACTCTAGCTAGTTATTCTATCTCCCAACGAGTTCTCTTCTGCAGAATTCACTGGGAAATTCTGACTAGTAATCTCCAAATTTGTTAACTACTAATATGAACCTTTATTACTTTTCAATCTGAGACTCCAGACTCTGCCCTCCCTGGACCTTCAGGCCTTATTTCAACACTTGCTGGATACCACTCGGAGGTGCCAAGAGAATCTCAAATTCAAATAAATTTAAGAGAGCATTCTTTTTTTTTTTTTTTTTTTTTTGAGACAGAGTCTTGCTCTGTTGCCCGGGCTGGAGTGCAGTGGCACAATCTCGGCTCACTGCAACCTCCCACTCCCTGGTTCAAGTGATTCCCCTGCCTCAGCCTCCCGAATAGCTGGGATTACAGGCACTCACCACCACACCTGGCTAATTTTTGTATTTTTAGTAGAGACAGGGTTTCACCATCTCGGCCAGGCTGGTCTTGAATTCCTCGTGATCCACCCGCCTTGGTCTCCTAAAGTGCTGGGATTACAGGTGTGAGCCACCGCGCCTGGCCCAAGAGAGCATTCATTACCTTCCCCTCAAAACTTGGTCTTCTGTCTGTTTTTCTTATTTTCACCAATGACACCACTATCATCCAGGAGAGAGACTTCCGAGTCATGCTCTATCTTCTAACTCCTTTTAACCCTGACATCCTACCACCAACTTCTATCAACCAACAACCAAATCCTAAAGAGCCCACTTCCTTGGTCTCTCAAACCCAGGTCCTCTTCTCTACCCCAGCCACAGTGAGCTCATTCAGGCCCTCCTGATCTCTCAGCATGGGTACCAGGCTCCTGAGGGAGGCTTTCATATGGCCAGCAGTGCAGAACAAAGACTCTGGTTCACATTCATGGAACTTAGATCCTTACTAACTGTGTGATCCAGGGCTCTCAATGGCTACATTCTCTCATCAGTCAAATATGGAAATTAGAGGTATGCAGAGAATGCTTACCTCCGCCTCCACTATTCCCCATTCTCTCCAAAGGGGCTGCTGGTCCAGTCTTCCCCTTCCATGCCTCCTCCAAGGCTGCAGTGGGACCTTCTAAATCCAGTTGTAATAACCTGATACTCCCCTGTCTAAAACCTCTTGTACTGCAGACTTCCAGTGGTCTCAATGATTTACCCTCAATTTCTTCTATAAGAAAAGAACCTTCAGTTTGTAGCTGGGCCACCTGGCCACTGGACTTAATGTCAACGAAAAACTACATTCCCCAGCCTCCCTTGCAGACAGGTGTCTAATTCTGGAGATGTTGGTGGAAGTGAAAGAGGCAATGTGTAGATGGAGCTCTTAAAACAGTGACGTGCCAGAGCAGCAAAGCCCAGCCTGTACTGTGAGTATCCCTTCCAGACTCCACATTCAGTTTACCTCATGTTGGTAGCTTGAAACTGGCGATGGTGGGAATATGTACACCATGGAAACTGGCAAAAGCAACCAATCAATCTCCCTGCCCCCCAGCAGAGATCTGGTTGTTAAATGCTTACTGGTGCACCACGGCTTTTATGTGAAGGGATGAGCCCTTCCTGTCCCATTTCTCCTCCTTCCCCATGATGGGAAAGGTGCCTGGTGGTAGTCACCGGGCAAAGGGGACCATGTTCCGGGGACAATGGAACAAGAATGAGAGGAATCCTGCGTCCCCAGCACCACGAAGTGATTACACAACCCTAAACTGCTCACAGCTGGATGGTATGTGAGCAAGAAAGAAGGAAATAAAATTAAGAAACTAAATTGTATTTTGTCCAAATCATTATTATTTTGGGTTTCTGTTATAGCAGTGTTTATAATATATACTATAATAAATATGTAATATATAATTTTAGTATAATTATATAATTACAATACTAAATATTATAATTATATAATTATAATACTAAATATTATATTATAATACTCACTCCATGATATATTATAATTATATAATTATAATACTAAAATATAAATATGAGATATTCTAATTATATATAATGATACAGAAAATGAATTATGATATATAATCAATCTACTAACTGTAATATCTCCCTATTGTGTACGACAGATATTTTTAAAAATGGGGTTCACTGCTAGGCTTTGTCTGGCTTATTCAGCAGATAAAAACAAATTGTTGAACTAAAATTGACATACTGTATTTTAAATATATGGATTTCTGGCTTCTTAGGAGAAACTGAAAGATTTGACAACTCCCACTGTCATGTGGCCGGCAGTGCAAAACAGGGACTCTGGTCCACATTCGTTGAACTTAGATCCTTACTAACTGCATGATCCAGGGCTCTCAATGGCTGGATTCTCTCATCAGTTGAATATGAAAATTAGAGGTAGGCAGAAAATGCTTATCTCCATCCCACTATTCCTCATTTTCTTAAACTTGGCCCATTTCTCTTGGACCTTTGAAGTTTGGCTGTATGACCTTGACCTGTAACCTCTCAGTGCCCAGCATTAACCTCAGTAAACTCTGCATAGCACTAGTGCCTACTTCATAGGTTGGCTTTGAGAGCTAAATAAAATATATACCATTAGGCATCACTAGACTGCCTAATTTTTTTTTTTTTTTTTGAGATGGAGTCTCGCTCTGTCACCCAGGCTGGAGTGCAGTGGCGCGATCTCGGCTCACTGCAAGCTCCGTCTCCCAGGTTCATGCCATTCTCCTGCCTCAGCCTCCCGAGTAGCTGGGACTACAGGTGCCCGCCACCACACCTGGCTAATTTTTTGTATTTTTTTTAGTAGAGAAGGGGTTTCACCGTGTTAGCCAGGATGGTCTTGATCTCCTGACCTCATGAGCTGCCTGCCTCGGCCTCCCAAAGCGCTGTTTTTTTTTTTTTTTTTACAGATGGAGAATCTCAAATTTTGATGACAGAATGCTGCAATCAAAACTCTCAAATAATGTTGGTGGTAGTGCCAAGTGGTGTAAAACCACTTTGAAAAACTGGCAGTTCCTAAAAAAAGTGAAAAATATGCTTGCTTACCCTATGAGCAGCAATTTCACTCCACAATATATGAAAACATGTATCCACACAAAAACATGCATATAAATATTCATAGCAGCTTTATGCATAATAGCCCAAACTGGAGGCCACCAGATGAATGACAAGCAAATCATAGTGTATTCATATAAGGAAGTGAGCTCTGCAATAGAGGAATGATATACTCACACATGCAACAACATGGATGAATCCCCAAAACACGCGGAGCTAAGGAAGCCAGCGAAAATAGTGTATTATGTAAGAATCCACTTATATGAAGTTAAAGAAGAGGCAAAACTCAACCATGGTGATAGAAATCAGGACAGTGGTTGCTTCGGCATGGAGCAGATGGGGTTATCTGGCAGGGAACATGGAGGGATTTACTGGAATAATGAAATTGTTCTATGTCTTCTTAGAGGTATGGGTTACATGGGTGTATGCTTTTGTCAAAAGTAATCAGAGGCTAGGAGTGGTGGCTCACGCCTGTAATCCCTGCACTTTGAAAGGCCAATGTGGGCGAATCACTTGAGCACAAGAGTTTGCAACTGGCCTGGGTAACATTGTGAAATCCCATCTCTACCAAAAATACAAAAAATTAGCCGGGCACGGTAGCAGGCACCTGTGGTCCCAGCTACTTGGGAGGCTGAGCTGGGAGAATCACTTGAGCCTGGGACATTGAGGCTGCAGTGAGCCAATATCGAGCCACTGAACTCCAGCCTAGGTAACAGAGCAAGACCTTTGCTAAAAAAAAAAAAAAAAAAAAAAAAAAAAAAAAAAAAAAAAAAAAAAAAAAAAAAAAAAAGGCTAATCAGACCATAGAATTAAGGTCTGTGCAATTTAATGTAGTAAATTATGTTAATAAAAATAAGGAAAAATATGAAACAAGAAAAGTCCACGCAAATCACGCAAACATCTCTGAAGACTGCATCGGGTCTCAGATTTAGTCTTTGTGTGTCTGCTGTCAAGATTCTGTTGCCTGAAACTAAGAGAGTTGGTTCCTGAAAGAGCCCACGTGGTGTGTAGGCTGCCATTCTCCCTCTGGTGCAGGGCAGATGTCAACAATCAACGTCCTCCTCTCTCCTTCACTCAGGCATGGCCTCAGAATCCTCCTCAACACATCATCCCAAGCATTTACTCCAAATAGAGCAAAGCTGACGTATTTGCCATCTGGTAGTAGAAACGTGAGCTTCCAGAGTACAAGACTGAAATCTCATTTATCTTTGTTTTATAAACACTCAGCACAAGATGTGACACAGATGTTTTCTGAATCCATGCTGCAGTGAACTTCCTCTCCTTGCTGCTGGGGCCACAGTCTGAGCTCACAGGAGCCAATCTACCCCCGGGCTCCCCCACAGCCCGTAAGTCGGCCTGGATTACTGTGCCCTGGCCCACACCTGTTTTGTCTTCGTTTCCTTGGCTGTTCTCTCCTAGGGCTGGGAGTGCACAACCTGTCATCTATAAACACCAATACAATGGATGTCATGTTTACTTATCACCCACAGAACAAGATCATACGTTTCTATTATAATATGTTTCTATTCATGATCAAAATGACTTGTAGTGGAAAATCTGCTTTCCCCAGCAATGGGAGTAAGGAGCACTCTCTCCTGAACACGTTTACGGTCACATACATATCTCAGTGGGAGAAAGGGTGTTTCTCTCACGATGAATAAGGCTGCTCAGCCCCATCCTGCTTACTGGTTCCCTTGTCATCTTTCAGGACCACAATACTGCTTCAGTAGGTCACATATTCCCCTCCTGAACCTGAGCACAGACGGCCGGGCTGCAAAGCATGCACTTGCCTCCAACCTTCCCACTTCTGTTTCAGAAATTAACCACCTCCTCCGTGTGGGTAGAGCCTGGTCTCGAGTGAAACTGAATTCAGTTGGCAGACCCAGTCACTGCAGACCCACTTAATTGGATTTGACCACCATGATTTATTTACCCAGCAGCTCTTTGCTTCAAGCTGTAATCACACCTTAGACTCATCTTCTCTTGAGCTTGCTTGGAGTACCAAAAATTCAGATTTTTCTTGACACTCTGTAGTCACAGCAGAAAAGGGAAGGGCAAGGGAGAAATCATGAAGGACTTAGTTATATGGCCTCAACTTTCTACCTTTCACACTTAATTTGGCTGATTTTGTGGACATGAGGAGGAAGAAAATCAGCATACAGTATCTGAACCCTGCCACTGCCCACAGGCAAGTCAACCCCACCTGCTCTATGCCTCTCGGCCAATTTTAACAGGGGACAGGATCAACTGCCTTCTTCAGAGAGACTGCAGGCTCCTGTCTCTGTGACAACCCGTCCTCAGGACCAGGGCAGGTGAGACATCAGAACTCAAGCATGTGTTGGAAGCCAGGGTACCTGTGAATATCGGTTTGCACACAAACCTCTTCTTGAATCTGTCTGCTATCTTTGCTTTGATTCTCCTGTTTTGGGGTTGGATCACACATGGTGGAAAGTCCAGCTCAGCATCCAGCCAAGGGTCAGTGTCAACTCCAAGCCATATAAGCGCTCCATCCTGGAGGTCCTATCCAGGGGGTCTCTCAGGAAACTTCAGCCCCGGCGAACACCTCTGCATCCTCCCTCATGGGAGACCCCAAGTGAGAATTGCCCAGCCAAGCCTTGCCCCACAAAGTTAGAGGCAAAACCAAATGGTCATTTTAACCTTCTATATTTCTGAGTAATTTGTAAACAACAATAGGAATCAGAAGACCAATCACATCAACTTCTGGAGCTGGGGGTGAGATTCACGTTTCCTGAAGTATAGGGATAGGTGAGAAAGAGCAAATCCATGGACCTGAACTTCATTAGGATTCTGCTAAGATGAAGGAAGTGGATGCTGGGTAGGCCACCAGTAGTATTTTCCGTAACTTTGAAAAATTCAGAGCATTAACCTCCTGTGGATTAATATGTGCAAAGCATTAACACACTGCAGGCATATAATAAGGACTTGATAAATGATAGTTATTTCTATTATTATTATTCGATGTGTGAATGTGCTTAAGAGTTTCTTATATACCTTCCCAAGGAGCTCACGAGTACACTTTGGTTATCTTGTCTATATCCTTGTGGACCTAGATGGGCAAATATATGCAGAAGGAAAGAAGCATAAATCTTCCTTTCAAATCAAAAGGGCCCCCTTCGCTAGATCTTTTTCATGTTAGGTCTTTTGCCTCCTTCTGTACCTTCTGACCTGTGGTCTCCACACATCTCCTTCACGTGTCACAGCTGTCTCTCCCCATACTGGGATTTTTTTAAAAATCGAACATAATTGTTGAGATGTTGAGGCTTGTCGTACAAAACCTATCATCTTTCTTGGCTTTCTATAGATGGCCAAAGAGCCAATTTTTCTCCCCTTCCTTCTTCTTATTCTGAAACTGCCCCAGCCCCTGCGGGGTGGTGCCTCACCTCCCAACACACACACAACCAGCCAGAGTCATCCACTTTTTTCTATATGCTTCCAACCTGCATGCGCTGGTTTGCTCCCAGCTCCAGAAGGTGGATCATAGTAGATTTTTACCAAAGATGGCTGCCGCCCTCTTTCCCACCCTTCTTGTCTGCTTGCAACATGACTTTGTCACTGCTCCCATCCAGAGTCAAATATCCCTTTCCTTGATTCTGGGCTGGCTCAGTGTGACTCTTTGAGCCCAGCAGTGTCTACATTTGTTCTCCTGGAACACCGTGCGGCCATGTCAAGAAGCCCAGGTACAAAGCTGGTGAGACACAGGAAGGGAGAAACTAGAGAGGTTGAAAGACCACAAAGGGAGAAGCTCAGCAGTCCAGCCACTCCCGTGGGAGACCAGACACAGGGTGAGGTCATCTGAAATCCTTCACCTTAGATTGCAGCTGCATGAGAAAATCCAGCCTATGCCACATGGAGCAGAGACAAGACTGCCAGTTGAGCCCTGCCTGGCCAACCCAGAGAATCAAGAGCCGGTGAAGCAGCTGCTTGTTGAATCCACTGTGCTCTGGAGTGGCTGCTATGCAGCACTAGAAAACGGAGTCAGGCAAACCACCTTCGCAGGGACACTCCGTCACACTGCAGTCACTAAAGAATCAACACGGTCTTGTCTGCCATTTCCTTCTTCAGTTATTATTTTTGGAATAGAAGGCAGGTATTAGAAGCCCCCTGGAAGAGCCAGGTGTGTATCCCCATCTTTCTATATCCATATACTACCATTTCTGTAGTTTACATAATGTTTTTCTTTACAGTGTGCCTTTCTAACTTACACATTTACTACAAAATACAACTTCATATTATCTTCATAAATGAAAAACTCATGCTACTTGATAAAAAATGAAAGTCCACCCTAACGATACATATGTAATTATGACCATTTAATTATTAAATGGTATACTTATAATTAATATCATTTAAAGATCTGGATCGGTGGACAGCCAGAAATGCACAAATCACATTCTGGAAACATTGCCTTAAGTTTTGTTTTTGGTTTTTTTTTGAGATGGAGTCTCACTCTGTCGCCCAGGCTGGAGTGCAGTGGTGTGATCTCAGCTCACTGAAATCTCTGCCTCCCGGGTTCAAGCGATTCTCCTACCTCAGCACCCGGCCCCCTACAACCCCCCCACCAACAGCAGCTGCGACGAGAGGCACATCACCATGCCTGGCTAATTTTTGTATTTTTAGTAGACACAGTGGATCAAGTGATCCACCCACCCCGGCCTCCCAGAGTGTTGGGATTACAGGTGTGAGCCACCATGCCCAGCCCACATTGCCTTAAGTATTAACACACTTGTGAAAATTGCGACCAGGCGTGGTGGCTCACACCTGTAATCCCAGCATTTTGGGAGGCCGAGGTGGGAGAATCGCTTGAGTCCAGGCTTTCTATAGATCAGCCTGGGCAACACGGCAAAACCCTGTCTCTAAAAAAAACACAAAAATTAGCTGGGTGTGGTGGCGCATGCCTGTAGTTCGAGCTATTACTCGGGAGCCTGAGGTGAGAGGATCGCTTGAGTCTTGGGAAGTGAAGGATGCAGTGAGCCATGATCGCACCACTGTACTCCAGCCTGGGTGACAGAGTGAGAGAGACCCTGTATCAAAAATAATCATAATCATAATTGCATTTTTTTATTTTTTAAAAAATAAAAGAAAATTGCTTGGCCTGCATTTCGACTTCCTTCTCTTTTTCAAATTGTTTCTGGATATAAGACTTGGTAAATAATACTTAAAATTTAATTTTTGTTCTTTCAACTTATCACTGTATTTTTAAGTGATTTTATTTTGTTGTCTGGTGGTCGTCCACCTACCCATAAAGTGTAAGCTCCACTGGGTCCCTTTTTTTGTCTGTTCTGCTCACTCTTGACTGCCCAAGGTGGAGAGCTAACACTTAGTAGCTGCTTAATAAATATGTATTGACTAAAGGAATGAGTGAATAAATTAATGACTTGTGGCACAAAGCCTCAAACTCACCCCACCCATCAGGAGGAAACTTGTTTGATTTTTAAAGACTCTCCTGGGAATTTCTTTTTCATAAATCAATATTGTTTGTACAGACCGAAAGTGCAATGCTTACTCCCCTTCAAATTTTAGTCAGTGTCGCAATACATTTTTGATGGTGTATTTATTTTCTGCCAAGTAACAATAGGTCTCATGAAAAATGAGTGGCCCTGCACATTGGAATGTGTGAGGAAGAATAATGGGTTGATTAATGAACCTCACAAAATATGCAGCCCTCTTTCCTGCCGGGGGTAGCAGGCGGAGACTCACACAAATTAAAAAGGATGAAGAGGATCAATTTTCTAGAAATCAGAAAGTAAAGGAAGCCTGGGAAAAATCAAAGGCACATTTTTAGCTGTAGATGCTTGTGTCTTTTCTTTCTCTTGAACTTAGGACAAACAGGAAAAACAATATTTCTCCCTTTTTTTCATTTATTATTTTATCTTGTCTTCCTCTGGTGCTCAAGGATAGAAAAGGGCAGTCTAGAAACGTAATACTGGTTTATTTTTGTATTTTTTTTCTAAAACAGACTAACCCCTTAGTAGCCAAACATCTACATTTTTAGCAAAAGTAAACAGCAAAGAACCCAAATCTCTGATACCAATCTTTCAATGGGGCTTTTACTCTCTGGCTAGAGAGCCACAAACAAGAAACTTTGAATCTGTTTTTGTTTTCAATAAAAATCTTGTTTAACAGCATCATGAATATTCATGCTTTCGGCTTACTTCCAAATAAAAACAAGAGAAGCCAAATGAAACAAGAAAAAAAGAAAAAGTAGTTCACTCAGCTGCACAAAGGTTTGAAGGACAAGATTTTATGTTTTGAGGCATATGCGCCAATTAATAAAAAAGAAAAATAAGGAGAAAAATAACTCGTCATAATCAGAGCACAAAGGGTGCCAGCATCCACAGCAGAATTCCTTGAATTTCCGTAATTGCCTTATTCATTTTGCAGTATTTGCTATATTTGAGAACCAACTATCTCATTATTTATATATTTTTCTGTATACCGAATTCAACCAAACTCACTTTTAAAACATGCAGCCTCACTTCCTTCTGTGCCATCAATAAATTTGATAAGTGAATTATATTTTTTCTTATGCATATGAATACAAATCATAATTAGTAAATAAAAGAAGTGTAACTAAAATTTGGTATCTTACCAGTGGCATGCCTACCATGTTTTTGGAATTATTTACCATAGCCTAGGGCATTTTATTGGTCTTTAATCATTCAACTGTCATTGATGGGTGACCCTCATCTGCTGAGGGAATTGGAAATAAAACAGTGAGAAACATAGGGTCCCTGATCTCAAAGGCTCTCTCTTTGGTGCAACTCCAACTATAAAATGAGTTGGTCTTATTCTATCATTTATTTTTGACCTTGAACACCCAGAAGTCAGGAGTTCAAGGTAGGGCTTCTTAATGTTCCCTGCTATCCAATATGATAGCCAGTAGCCACAAGTGACTCTTAAATTTAAATTAATTAAAATTAAATAAAATTAAAAGTTTAGTTCCTCCGTCAAATGAGCCATGTCAAATGCTCAATAACTACCTGCAGCAAGTGACTGCTTATACCAGGCAGCACTGATATAGACTATTACCACCACTACACAATGTTTGACTGGCTAGCTCTGCTCCAGAAAGCACAGTGCCTTCCTTTCACACCACTGAGCTACTTTTAGTAACTCACTTGTGAAACTCAGGGCCCTACATCCCTCTCTAGGCAGGCTGGGATCGTCAAATCTTCATAGGTCTTGTGGACATTTCCCTAGAAAATTCTAGCATCTATTGCATGTTAAACTTGATTCCACTTCCTAGTAAGTTGCCTTGTTTCTGCTTCTGTGTGTCAAATGCACTTCCTTCCCTGGCAAAGAGTTTCGACATGGAAACGTCTAGTCACCTTCCTGGGAAGCAGCAGCTTTATTTACTTTAATCACTGCATAGCTAAGGAGACACCTGTCAAAAAAAACCACTGCTATTTTTGAGACAATGGGATTCTTTACAGCATGATTAGTTTGTACTCTGATGGGTGACACTGTAACAGAGTCATAGCCAAGCCCAGTAAGATTGCATCTTCACGCCTTGCACATTGGAAAACTGTCATGACATCCTTCATAATGGAATTATGATAACATCAGACAAGGATGAGGTTTCATCTTGGCTTCAGTCCAAATGGAGAAGTCATCCTAATAAACTGTAAACAGACCCAAAGCATGAACTAATAAGAAGTTATCTGGTCTACTTGTTTCTAGCAGTGGAGTAGGTTAACACAATTAACTTAATGAAGTCAAAGACTTAGGCACTGAAATACTATAGTAGACACTGTAAACAAAAACGCCTCCGGGGACCAGGAAAGTAATTTCAGTAAATGAGCAGGCTTGTCTGGGAGGCACTATAGGGAGTGACTGGAGCTACGATGGAGCCGAGAGCACATGCCCCCCAGAGCAGCCTTCTGGCTCCAAACTCTTGGAGCAGAAAAATGGGCTCAGTTTTCAGACCCTCTGATTTTTAAGGTAAAATAAGAAAACAGATTCTAAATAAAATTTCTTTTTTTTTTTTTTTTTTTTTTTTGAGACAGAGTCTCGCTCTGCCTCCCAGGCTGGAGTACAGTGGCGTGATCTCGGCTCACTGCAAGCTCTGCCTCCCGGGTTCACGCCGTTCTCCTGTCTCAGCCTCCCGAGTAGCTGGGACTACAGGTGCCCGCCACCGCGCCTGGCTAATTTTTTGTATTTTTAGTAGAGACAGGGTTTCGCCGTGTTAGCCAGGATGGTCTCGATCTCCTGACCTCGTGATCCGCCCGCCTCGGCCTATAAAATTTCTTAATTTTTAAAATATGACACAGGCCCAACAAAACACTCCTTCAAGCCACCAGACTCTAACCCATGTGCTAAGCAAAGTTAATACGAATTGGTTAATAAATAAGAAACGAAGAGTATAATTGCATGTTCAGGTTATCCCTTATGGTAGATTATAAAAGAGGGCGTATTTTGCCTTCCCTGTATCCAAAAGTCCCTTAGCAGTTTGACTCTGAAGCTCCTCCTATTAAGAAGTGGGATCTGTTTCCCCATTCCATAAACATGGGATGGACTTGTGATTTGTTGTGGCCGAAAGAAGGTGGCAAAAGCAGTGTTATACCAGTTCCAATCCCGGGCATTGGCTCGACTCTTTCTCTTGGAGCCCTGGGACTTCCATGCAAACAAGCCCAGGCTGGCCCGCTAGAGTAGGACACACAGATGGCCCTGAGGCCCCCATCATCCCAGATGATAGCCAGTCGACCCCTATAAGCAGAGCTGCCTAGCTGACTGGCAGTTGACCTCAGACAAATGAGTGAGCCCGGCCAAGAGCAGAAGACCTGCCCAGCGGAGCACAGCACAAATGACAGACACGGAATTGCAAGGTAAAGAAATAGTTGTTGCTCTAAGTCATGTGGTTTTCGGAGTGGTTTGTTAGGCAAAAAGCTGCATAACAGTTCAGTAGCTATATCATTAGGGTTCAAATCCCAGCTCCACCAACTACTAGTTATGTGATTTTGAAACAGTGATGTAACCTTCAATGCCTCCCACCAATTTTCACCAGTGACAACAACAACAAAAAAAATTGTCTTACTTTTACCACATCTAACATTCAGCAGGTTATTTGTTTCAGAAATGGGAGAATGCGGTGGGATCGTTTTAGGAATTATATTACTATGCTTTTCTAAAAAGCACTTGACCCAGCACTTTGGGAGGCCGAGGCGGGTGGATCATGAGGTCAGGAGATCGAGACCATCCTGGCTAACAAGGTGAAACCCCGTCTCTACTAAAAATACAAAAAATTAGCCGGGCGCGGTGGCGGGCGCCTGTAGTCCCAGCTACTCTGGAGGCTGAGGCAGGAGAATGGCGTGAACCCGGGAGGCGGAGCTTGCAGTGAGCCGAGATTGCGCCACTGCAGTCCGCAGTCCGGCCTGGGCGACAGAGCGAGACTCCGTCTCAAAAAAAAAAAAAAAAAAAAAAAAAAAAAAAAGCACTTGAAATAATATCATACGTCTAGGAGTGTGGTGACTCTGACTCTTACTCGCTTATGAAGGCCAAACGTTAAATGAGAAATTCAGTGAGCCAGTTGGCAATTTGAAATTAATCATAGTGGGAGTATTTACACCTGAGAAATGGGCAAATGCTATGCATAAGGGTTTCTATTTTCCCCTCCCTGAAGAGCAGGTTGTTAAATATTGACCAGAAAACCTCTGTATGCCTTCCTTATATACTAATCAAGGCAACAGGTATAGCCTTTTCTTTCATAAACATTTGTTTTAGAACCTCAGCATCCATTTCCTTCCCTGATGGCACCAAATTATTTTCAGGGAATTACCTCTTGCCTGTTGTATAACGTCTTGATAAGACAGTAATTTTAAGGGACCGGAGGTGGAAAGAGCCGTATTCTTTCTCTCCCTGCCACAGGACAGCCAAAGGATGGTGTGTGGCCAAACTCAGCCAATCATGCTTCTTCCCTGGGAGCATGATGATTAAGTAAGTGGACACAGGCGCAGGAGGGACAGGGGCGATCACTGGTCACAACAGCTACAAGCAAGTGGCCATTTTTGAGCCCCAGCTTTCCAGCACTGCCCTGAGAGCTGTTTCCACGGCCCTGAGAGCTGATTCCACTCCTTCCATGCACTGCCCAGTATGCTTCCCAAAAGTTCCCTTTTCCTTAGCACACGTGTACCAATTGCTGTTGCTTGCAACAAGAGAGACCTCAAAACTGGATTTGGAGACATTTCTCCTACCTTACTCTAGGCCTAGTTCCTTGGACTTTTGCATCCCACAGGCTCTGTATTCATTTATGCATTTTGTATCTGTCTATGCAGCAATGAAACCACTTCTTAGAAAACAGCAGAGCAATCAGTCCCCAGAGGCAAAGTATGATGGCATTATTAGGTCATTTCATAATATATCGCTGCTTCAGTAATGACTGAATGCAGGTTGGAGTGGCTGAATTACCCCAGCCCTTCTGAAGCATGGGGTCCCATGCCTGATATAATGGGAGATGCAAAAGCAATCAAGGACAAAGACAGCCTCAGAATTTAGAGGTCTGCAAAGCTAATCTACTTAAAGTGCAAACCCATGCTGTTTTCTTTTAAGGTTACTATTGACTCCAGTCAATAGGTGTTTGCTAAATAGTTGATTAAAGAACTGAGATGGAGAAATTTAAATGCCTTTGAGAAAAAGGGAGAATGGACAACTCATGATCAGGAAAGTTTGGCATTTGCAAATGTGTGGCCTCCAGAGTCAGGAGTTAGACTTTCTTACGGAAGACGCTTGGCATTTGTGGGCTCAGGGACATCCTACATTCTGTCTGAGCCCTAGCAGTTGTCTGTGGCTCATGCCACCAAAAGGCTGGTGCACCTGTCTGCATCCCTCATGGCCCAGCATCTAGAACTTCTTAGATCTGAGACTTGAGCTCAGCATATAATGACGACCTCAGAAGGAGGTAGCTCTTCCCCACTGTCACTGCCCTGTGAGTTTGACTGCTGTGAAATTGCCGCTGATTTCACCCTGGTCATGGGGAGAATCCGGCATTCACGCTGATTGAAAATGGGGCCTCCTTACTGAATCTGAGAAGGCAAATAATTTCGGCTGAAGATACATGTCCAAATACTGACAAGTCTCACACCATCCCCCGTTGCTTTTCTTTTTTCATAGCATGAGTGGGGAAAAGGACATAAAGGAAAATGCCGCATGATGAAGTTGTCAGAGGCTTTGTAGATGACAGAGATTAAGTATCTCACGTTCATTATGACTCAATTATTGTGGTTCTCTGGTGCTTTGTGGCCTCTGCTTTCATGTTCTACAAACAGGGGCTTGGCTGCCTGTCTGAAGATAGAGCATTCTAGAAGCAGCGTGAAGTCCCCAGGGGTGAGGGGTGGGGGGCTTTTAAATCACCATTTACTCTATTATGGACAGTTACTCTTATTCCCCGCAGACTTTTCAGCAAGTGCCAGGGCACTGAAAGAGATGCTCCCTGGAGGTTTGTAAACACCAGGCACTCAGAGTGAGCCCTTCATGAACAAGCCTGGGAAGTGTCTCCAGCGGCAGCCGCCTGGGTGCTCAGCAGAGAGACTGGGGATGGTCCGCGGAGCTGAAGAGGAAGAAGCTTGTCTCCCACCGTGGACAGGCAGCTTCCCAGGGCTCCTGGGCTCTTGGCTGGACACACGGACACCCCAGGACCAAGATATAGCACCTCCAATAGTGACAACCCCTGACCCATCACACACGGGGCTGGCTCTGCCTAATGTTTACTGAGGGCTTTGAAAGTGCCTCGCAAAAAGACAACAAGAGCAGCAGCAAGCTAAGAGTACACAACCACAGGAGAGGCAATGAGAGGAAAAGAGGCCACTCGAATCTTCTAAATAGCACCCTCTCTTTTAATGTTGCTTTGTTCAATTCAGTTCAAATGTGCACGCCGCTGAACTGTTTAAATTAGATGGCCAAATGATAGCAATCTGGAGGGAAAAAAGTTGTAGTTTTTTTTTTTATGTAACATTTTAACTTTTTCTATGCAAAAGAAAAAAAGTCGACAATTTCCATAGCAACAGGCCTGTTCTCTGCTTTTTTGGAAACAGTTCAAGAATTAATTTCAGAATTTTGTATGAGGCTTTTCCAGATACAGGTTAACTCTTAATTGTTTTTTATTTTTTTGAGTAATGCTCTTAGTGGCTTCAATTAACCCCAACGGCGGGAAAGCCCGATATATTTGCCTTTAAACCTCCGTACAAGGTTCAAACACCTTCCTTTTAGTCTCGCCTATCTCCGTCAGATTGAAAAATATAATTTCTTAATGAGTTCTTTGGTCTTGACTTAAGACCACTTCCTAATGGTCGTTCCTCACAGAGTTAATTGCAGAAACAGCATTCGAGTGCAATCAGAGAGGGAACAGAGAGAGAAACCTCATCAAATACCACCCGCGCCAAGGACGTGGGGCCACGCAAGACTTGCTGAGTCTTTGCTCAGAACAAACAGGGAAGATATTTATTGCCACTATCTTTAGCCAAAGAAGACTGGAGTTTGTTTTCTTCTAGGAGTCAGTTGCCTGAATGTGGCCCGACTTGAAAACCAGAGTTTAAGGTTCTGCCCACATTTGCTACACACATCCCTTCCCAAGTATTTCCCCGTGTGACTGTCATCAACAGGCCAATGAGAAGAGAATCTGAAAATGCGCTTAATTCACTACCAGTCTGCTCCCTCCCTGCCTGCAAACATCAAGGGCATCTTTACAAAAAGTTCCCCATGTGGTCACAGCACCCCTCTGGACGCAGACCCTTGCTCCATCCGGAGCCTTCCACCTGGGGAGAAGCACCTTGAGATGCTGTGGGGAATAAAAAGGCACAGCTATGGCTGGAAATGAAGCACAGAGGGGTATTTCCACACTCACAAATCCACGGTGCAAAGATGACAAATGACAAAAGGTTGGTCCAAAGAGAACGCTACAAAGAACTTGAAGAAGGAGAGATCGGGCTGGGCGCGGTGGCTCCCTCCTGCAATCCCAGCACTTTGGGAGGCTGAGGCGGGAGGATCGCTTGAGCACAGGAGTTCAAGACCAGTCTGGGCAACACAGCAAAGGCCTATCCTACAAAAAATTTAATTAGCTGCGCGTGGTGGTGTGTGCCTGTAGTTTCAGGTACTTACAAGGCTGAGGCAGGAGAATCACTTGAGTCCAGGAGTTTGAGGCTACAGTGAGCTATGACTGGTACCACAGCACTGCAGCCTGGGTGAAACAGTGAGATTCCAGCTTTACAAAAAAAGGTGAGTTCATACCTGGCTTGAAGAAAGGGGAACAGGGATGAGAACCAGCAGGAGGCAATCCTGAATGGCAGGAAGAAGCCCACTTTGTGAAGACAGAGGACGGAGCATTCCGGGCAGCTGGAACAGCAATACAAAGGCCCCCAGGTAGGAATGAGCTCTGTGTGTTGCAGCAGGAGACAGCGAGCCTTTAGGACTAGCAGTGTGGGGAAGCGGGATGAAAAACGAGGCTGCAGATGGAGGCTGGTCTCAGGCTGTGGATTTTAGCCTTGTCCGTTCATCAGAGCCATCCAGAGAGAGACTTTAAAATACAAATAATATCCAGGTGGGTCCCAGAGATTCTGATTTCACTGGATTAGGGCAAGGTTCAGGCATTGCTGTTCTTAATTTTTCAAAACATATTATAAAACTATAGAAAAATTAGAAGAATAGTATCATAAATGCCTCCAGCTAAATTTAAAAACTTTAAAAATGTTTAAATGTATGCTTTTAAACATTTTTATTAATTTTTATTTCTGTAGCTTTTGGGGTACTGGTGGTTTTTGGTTTCATGGTTAAGTTCTTTAGTGGTGATTTCTGAGATTTCATTGCACCTGTGACCTGAGCAGTGTACACTGTACCCAATATGTAGTCTTTTGTCCCTCACCTACCTCCCAGCCTTCCCCCTCCAAGTCCCCAATGTCCATTTTATCATTTTTATGCCTTTGCATCCTCTAGTTTAGCTCCCACTTGTGAGAACATATGAGTAAATGTTTTGCTTTTGCTTCTCTGTCTCTCTCTCTCTCTCTCTCAATATATATATATGTATACGTATACACACACATACAATATATATCCATTTTTTTAATGAGCCATTTGAAAGTAACATTTAGACACCATGACATTTCACTCCTAAACACTCCACATGCATCTCCTGAGAACAAGAAACTTCTCCTATGACGGCAATGACCTAATCATACGCAAGGCAGTTTTTATTCATTCAAAAATATCACTTAATATATAGTTTATAGTCAAATTTCTCCAATTGCCAGGAACTGGGGGTAGAAACAGGTGGGAAGTCATTGTTTAATAGGAATGGAGTTTCTTTTTGGGGTGATGAAAATGTTCTGAAACTATTAGTAGAGATAGTAGTTGCACAACATCGTGAATACAGTAAGTGCCACTGAAGCGGTCACTTTAAAATGGTGAATTTTATGTCATGTGAATTTCACCTTAATTTTTAAAATCTCAAAGTGTTCAAAAAATACCCTTTGTAGCATGATTTTCCCCTAATGTTTGCATCCAGGATCGTGAATTGCATTTGTCACCGTTCTTTTGTTTCTGTCCCTCACCTTTTTTTTTTTTTTAAAACACTGACATTACAAAAAGTCCAGGCCAGACCAAATTAAAATTCTTTTAATTTTTTAACAGTTTTATACCTAAAAGTGAACAAAAATACCAATGCCTGAACCTCACCCTAATCCAATTAAATCAGTATCTCAGGGTCCACCTGGATATTACTGGGATTTCACTCTCTCTCTCCAGATGGTTCTAATGAATAGTCAGGGCGAGGGCCATGGCCCCAGGTTTACCAGCATCTGCAAACTGCATGTGCATATGCCCTGGAGAATAACCCACACACTGGATCTGTCTCATTCAACTCTAGTTTAACATTTTTGGCAAGAACAGAAGCCATATGAAGGAGAAATCAATCAGAAACCAACAGCAGTTCTTACTTCTGGAGGGGAGGGAGCAAGTGATGACGAGGCTAAACAGACAGGGAGGGGACTGAGGTTTCAGGATCTTGAAGCCAGATTCCTTTTTCACAGAAGAAAAGACTGAGGCCCAGGAGGCATGACTCCTCAGAACTGCCTAAGATTGCAAAGCTGAGCCAGGGTGAGCCCTGCATAGTATCATTGTTTAATTTTTTAATTTTAATTTATTTATTAATTAGAGATGGAGTCTTGCTCTGTCACCCAGGCTGAGTGCCATGGTGCGATCCCGGCTCAGTGCAACCTCTGCCTCTCCGGTTCAAGTGATTCTCCTGCCTCAGCCTCCCAAGTAGCTGGGATTACAGGCGCCCACCACCACACCTGGCTAATTTTTATTTTTTTTGTATTTTTAGTAGACATGTGTTTCGCCATGTTGGCAAGCTGGTCTCGAACTCCTGACCTCAAATGATCTGCCCGCCTCGGCCTCCCAAAATGGCTAATGCCATTTAAATCACAGGGAAGGCAAGAGCAGGAACATAGGCTGTTCAGGTTGAGCCTCCAACACCAGTTCCTGGAAATATTCCCTCCACTGTCACCAAATGTCTAGTGTTTCACAGACATTGAGAATAAGCTACCTGGCAATGACTCACCTGTCTGCAGGTGACTGCAGGGGACACAAAGTATCTCGGCATGCCACCGAGTCTCCCATATGTGTGAGGAGCCAAAGTCCCTTTGCTGGAAGTATATCTTTGGATGCTATTTCAGCCAAAGCTGCAGATTTGGAAGCAGCTATGCTTTTAGCAGTGGAACCAACTGTTTACTAAGCCATCGCCTTGTAGCAAGCCATGTATGACTTGAGGGGAAATGAAGAAATGCCAGTAGGTAGGCAGTAGCCAGAATCTGGGCTCACTGGACAGGCCCACAGAGGTCAGTCAGGTGGGTACTATGTGAGTGAAGTGGACTGAGAGTAGTCCAGTGAACTGGATGCATGTGCCCTGTCTGATGAGGTTGACCGTGGCTCTGCTCCTCGCACTCATCGCCGTGCAGAACTGCTGACCTGCCAGACCTCAGTTTTCAAGAAGAGCTGAATGCCTGACTTTCTTTGTGACATCTCTTGGGTTTTTAGAACAGTGTTAGCAACTAGGGTAGACATTGTTCTTGCTTTTTGTTTTTACTGTTTGCTTGTTTGTTTTTTGTTTTGAGATGGAGTTTCGCTCTTGTCGCCCATGCTGGAGTGCAGTGGCGCGATCTGAGCTCACTGCAACCTCTGTCTCCCAGATTCAAGCGATTGTCCTGCCTCAGCCTCCCAAGTAGCTGAGACTACACCACGACGCCTGGATAATTTTTGTATTTTTGGTAGAGATGGGGTTTCACCATGTTGGCCAGGCTGGTCTTGAACTCTTCATCTCAAGTTTTCTGCCCACCTCAGCCTCCCAAAGTGCTGGGATTACAGGTGTGAGCCAACGTGCCTGGCTGTTCTTGCTTTTTGTATATCCACCATCATATCAGGAGAATGGTCCCCATTGTCATCTTCACAAGACAGAAGCTAGAAACTCACTTTCCCAGACTCCTTTGCTGCTAGCAAGAAGTCATGTGACCAGGTCTCAACCAATCAGATCTGGCCATGTGATATACTGATTCAGAAGAGAATAAAAAGATGTATTCCTTGGCAAGAGGGGATGATTTTGGAGGGCAGCAGAGATGTGGTCCCAGTATTTAGTGTTGGTAGTGACAGCTGCAAGGTCTCATTCAGGGGCCGTGGCAGCAGGCCCTTTCCTGGAGATGTCCCCACAGAGGGATTTGGCTATTACTCTGGGCATGGTGGGTCCTAACCCTGGCTCTGTTTCTCATGAAGATTTTGTGAGCTACCTACCATTTTTTTCTACATTCATTTTCTGTCTAACCCAGCTAGAGTGGATTCTGTTGTTTGCAGTTGAGAACTACAACTAAAAGAGCACCTAATTCATCTTATGTTTAAAGCCTTGTAGAGACAAAATAAAACACAATTGCTAGACTGATATAGCCAGAAGCCACTAGTTGTGACCTTTGAGTTGGAGTTAGCACCTGACTCCAACACGGATAGCCCCAGACAGGAGAATGGGAGAAATATCCTTTGACTGAGCAAATTCTTTCAAATTGTGGTTATTCATAAGGATATCAGAGAGAGCTATAAGTAGACATTTCCTCCCTTCAAATGACACCTCCAAACAGAAAGAGAAAAGCAAAAGCTCTCATGTTGTTTTGCAATAGATGGTGCAACATACCCTATGAAGCAGCCAGACATGCCCTCGAGGAGGCTGGATGTGAAATGGTCCCTCAAGGGTACAATCCCATATGACCATTCTCGAAGGAGGCTCACAGACTGCTGGGAGCACTATCAGAATCACTCATTCTGCTGCTCCATCATCTGCGGCTCATACGCCTGCTGCCTGCCTTTCCCTTACTGTAGGGGATGCTGTCAAATCCAATTGTGCCCTCCCTTTGACCCCCTCCCCACTACAGTCAGCTACAGAGAGTAAAGATAAAAATACTGCTTAGGAGAGAGGGCCTCTGGGTCTCCAGATGGCCTTGTGTAGGGTGTGCTGAAAGCTGGCAGCTGAATCATTGCTTCATCCTGCTGAAAAAAAGAAAGGTTCTTCTTCACAAATTTTCTGGAAGTTCCTAAGATATAAAGTATTGAATGAAATAGCTCCAGATAGTATCTCTACTGAAAACACTGTCAAACACTAGGCAATTTCTTTTTCCTGGATAATAAGTCTAACATGCACAGATCTCATTCTACAAACTCAGAATTTGCTCCCCCATATCTCCATAATTGAACTAATTTTTCTTTCTGGCCATTATTTCAAAAGCTGATAAAACTGAGCCTCAGGGAGGTGGCAATATCCTGTATTCAAGAGACAGCACTCTGCTTTGTGGCTGAGTGGACCCTAGCGTTGTCTGGGCAGCATGTACCCAGCCTCAAAAGATGCACAAGAAATAACTTACATTTTTTTTTTCATGGTGTTGTGGAGGCAAATAGATGCTTCAAGGTAAAGATGGGCAGCTCCTTCCTTGCCATTGGCTGTCAGAAACTCATTGAAGTGGATGAATGACAACTTTGTACCTCTGCTTTGGACCATACGCTTATGAGAAGCATATGGCCACAGAAGTTGTTGTTGACACTCTGGGTGAAATGTGAAAAGGTCCCAGTGTCTGAGTCTATGATAACAACCAATATATCTTCCCCATAAAGCAGGGTATCTTGACCTTGCCCACCTGCTACTGAATGAGGGGCACTCCTATTACAGCAGACCCAGGAGAACTGGGGGGAAAAAAAGAGGAAGTCTGCTCAGGCTTACATTGGCGTGCATAGATCCAAATCTGAGTGTTCTCAACTTGAATACTGGGAAAAAAATGAAGTGGAGAGAAATGCAAAATAGGAAATCCAGAGGCAGAAAGCAGATTGGTGGCTTCCAGAGGCTTTGGGGAGACAGGAGGGATGAGTAACTACTTAGGGTATGAGATTTTCTTTTGGAATGACAAAAATGCTTTGGGACTAGGTAGAAATGGTGATCACACAAAATCGTGAATGTACTAAATACCACCATATTTTTCACTTTAAAATAGTTAATTTATGTTATGAGAATTTAACCTGAATTTTAAAAGTGGGTGTTCTTAGTACATTTTGTGTTGCTGTAACACAATACCTGAGACTGGGTAGTTTATAAAGATAAAGTTTATTTGGCTTACAATTCTGATGACTGGAAAGTTCAGGATTGGGCATCTGAATCTGGTGAGGACCTCAGGCTGCTTCCACGCATGTGGAAGGTGAAGAGGAGCCGGTGTGTGCAGAGATCACATGGCAAGAGAGGAAGCATGAGAGAATGAGGTATGGAGGAGGTGCCAGGCTCTTTTAAACAACCAGCTCTCATGGTAACTAACAGAGCAAGCACTCATTCCCACCCCACCCTGAACATTAATCTATTCATGATGAATCTACCCCCATGACCCAAACACCCCCCATTAGGCCCCAACTCCAACACTGGGGTTCAAATATCAACATGAGGTTTGAAGAAGACAAACACTCAAACCATAGTAGGGGTTTTAAGAAGGAATTTTTTTTGGACTGACTGATATTACTGTGCCTTGTCACTTGAGGACTAAAAGAGCTAACAGAATCTGCAAACTTTCAGTCACCCCAAAGAAGATTATTTCCACCAGTACATTTTCAGAAAGCCCCTGAACATAGAAGATAATAAACCAAGGACCAAAGCTCCCAAGATTCACCATTTTATTACTCCACTTTTCCTAGAACACAATGTCAATGTATTGCTCTGAAGAGACAATGTACTAAGAAAAGCACAAAGAGATCAGAGTACACTAAGCTTCTGACCAAAAGAATAAAACAGGGTCAAAGAAAAATATCAGAAACAGATTGCCAAGAGATGGGGGCTGTCCTCTCTGAGAGTTTCTACTCCAAGTCTAGTCAGAAATAAGATTTTCTAAGGGAAACAAATAAATAAGATCAAACAATTAAGAAAAGACATAACTTACGATGGCATAACCTCCCTTTCCCTTCTGCTAGAGATGGTATAAATATGCTCACAGAACAAGTTCTAGCCAATGTAATGTAATAGGAAGTCTGCTGCCAGGCTTGTAGGCAAGATTTTCCTCCTTGAAAAGGCAGAGACATACAAGCACACAGCCCTTTATTTTCCATCTTTGCCCCCTTCCTTCCTGCATGGAACACTCACAGTTGGTGAGTTTATCTTGGTGGTGGTAGTGGCCATCTTGTGAGCCCTGGGGCATCCTGGGTAAGTACAGAGGAAGGCAGTGGAGCATGATGGGAAGATCCTGAGTTCATGACAGCATGGAGCTGCTGAACTCATGCCCAGCCTCCTTGTTCAGTAAGCAATTAATGTCCTTATATTTATAAGTCAGTGGTTTGTTTATTTATTTATTTTATTAAACTTTAAGTTCTAGGGTACATGTGCACAACGTGCAGGTTTGTTCCATATGTATACATGTGCCATGTTGGTTTGCTGTACCTATTAACTTGTCATTTACATTAGGTATTTCTCCTAATACTATCCCTCCCCCAGCCCCCCACCACATGACATGCCCCAGTGTGTGATGTTCCCCGCCCTGTGTCCAAGTGTTCTCATTGTTCAATTCCCACCTATGATTGAGAACATGTGGTGTCTGGTTTTCTGTCCTTGTGATAGTTTGCTCAGAATGATGGTTTCCAGCTTCATCCATGTCCCTACAAAGGACATGAACTCATCCTTTTTTATGGCTGCATAGTATTCCATGGTGTATATGTGCCACATTTTCTTAATCCAGTCTATCATTGACGGACGTTTGGTTTGGTTCCAAGTCTTTGCTATTGTGAATAGTGCCGCAATAAACATACGTGTGCATGTGTCTTTATAGTAGTATGATTTATAATCCTTTGGGTATATACCCAGTAATGGGATGGCTGGGTCAGATGGTATTTCTAGTTCTAGATCCTTGAGGAATCGCCACACTGTCTACCACAATGATTGAACTAGTTTACACTCCCACCAACAGTGTAAAAGCGTTCCTATTTCTCCACATCCTCTCCAGCACCTGTTGTTTCCTGACTTTTTAATGACTGCCATTCTAACTGGTGTGAGATGGTATCTCATTGTGTTTTTGATTTGCATTTCTCTGATGACCAGTGATGATGAGCATTTTTTCATGTGTCTGTTGGCTGCATAAATGTCTTCTTTTGAGAAGTGTCTGTTCATATCCTTTGCCCACTTTTTGATGGGGTTGATTTTTTCTTGTAAATTTGTTTAAGTTCTTTGTAGATTCTGGATATTAGCCCTTTGTCAGATGGGGAGATTGCAAAAATTTTCTCCCATTCTGTAGGTTGCCTGTTCATGCTGATGGTAGTTTCTTTTGCTGTGCAGAAGCTCTTTAGTTTAATTAGATCCCATTTGTCTATTTTGGCTTTTGTTGCCATTGCTCTTGGTGTTTTAGTCATGAAGTCCTTGCCCATGCCTATGTCCTGAATGGTATTGCCTAGGTTTTCTTCTAGGGTTTTTATGGTTTTAGGTCTAACATTTAAGTCTTTAATCCATCTTGAATTAATTTTTGTATAAGGTGTAAGGAAGGGATCCAGTTTCAGCTTTCTACATATGGCTAGCCAGTTTTCCCAGCACCATTTATTAAATAGGGAATCCTTTCCCCATTTCTTGTTTTTGTCAGGTTTGTCAAAGATCAGATGGTTTTAGATGTGCGGTGTTATTTCTGAGGCCTCTGTTCTGTTCCATTGGTCTATATCTCTGATTTGAGTACCAGTACCGTGCTGTTTTGGTTACTGTAGCCTTGTAGTATAGTTTGAAGTCAGGTAGCTTGATGCCTCCAGCTTTGTTCTTTTTGCTTAGGATTGTCTTCGCAATGTGGGCTCTTTTTTGGTTCCATATAAACTTTAAAGTAGTTTTTTTCCAGTTCTGTGAAGAAAGTAATTGGTAGCTTGATGGGGATGGCACTGAATCTATAAATTACCTTGAGCAGTATGGCCATTTTCATGATATTGATTCTTCCTATCCATGAGCATGGAATGTTCTTCCATTTGTTTGTGTCCTGTTTTATTTCGTTGAGCAGTGGTTTGTAGTTCTCCTTGAAGAGGTCCTTCATATCCCTTGTAAGTTGGATTCCTAGGTATTTTATTCTCTTTGTAGCAATTGTGAATGGGGGTTCACACATGATTTGGCTGTTTGTCTGTTATTGGTGTATAAGAATGCTTGTGATTTCTGCACATTGATTTTGTATCCTGAGACTTTGCCAAAGTTGCTTATCAGCTTAAGGAGATTTTGAGCTGAGATGATGGCATTTTCTAAATATCCAATCATGTCATCTGTGAACAGGGACAATTTGACTTCCTCTTTTCCTAATTGAAACACCAGTGGTTCTTAATGTTGGGTCACCGGACTGGCAACAGCAGCAGCACCTGGTGCACTAGTTTCTTAGGGCTGCCATCACAGAGTACCACTCACTGGGTGGTTTAAACAATGGACATGTATTGTTTGACAGTTCTGGATGGCAGAGGTCCAAGATGAAGGTATTGGCAAAGTTGGTTCCTTCTTAGGACTTCTGGTAGTTTGCTGTTAACCTGTGACATTACCAATCTCTGCCTTCATCTTCTAAAAGTCATTTTGATCTCTTCTTAACTAATGACATCTGCAATGACTCTATACCAAATGAAGTCACATTCGGAGGGGCTGGAGGTTAGGACTTCAATATATGAATTTTGAGAGACACAATTCAACCCATAATACCTAGGAACTCATTAGAAATATAAATTATATGGGCCGGCTGCGGTGGCTCACACCTGCAATCCCAGCACTTTGGGAGGTCGAGGCAGGCAGATTGCCTGAGCTCAGGAGTTTGAGACCAGCCTAGGCAACACGGTGAAACCCCGTCTCTACTAAAATACCAAAAATAAAAAATTTAAAAAAAAATTAGCCGGGCATAGTGGCATGTGCCTGTAGTCCCAGCTACTTGGGAGGCTGAGGCAGAATAATTGCTTGAACCCCGGAGGCAGAGGTTGCAGTGAGCCGAGATCATGCCACTGCACACGAGGCTGGGTGACAGAGGGAGACTTCCCCTCCAAAACAAACAAAAAAGAAATATAAATTATCCAGGCCAGGTGCGGTGGCTCACACCTGTAATCCCAGCACTTTGAGAGGCCGAGGCAGGCGGATCACTTGAGGTCAGGAGTTCAAGACCAGCCTGGACAACATGGTGAAACCCCATCTCCACTAAAAATACAAAAATTAGCAGGCACCTGTAATCCTGGCTACTTGGGAGGCTGACGCAGGAGAATCTCTTGAACCCGGGAGGCAGAGGTTGCAGGGAGCTGAGGTCGCACCAATGCACTCCAGCCTGGGCGACAAGAGAGAAACTCCGTCTCAAAAAATAAAAATAAAATTATCTGGGTTTCCACATACACTGAATCAGAAACTCTAAGAGTGAGGTCCAGCAATGTTTGTTTCAACAGGTGTTTCTGGTACTCACTCAACTTTGAGAACCACTAGTTTGAGCTACTGTTGGTTAAGCATTGTTAGCTGCAGCTGAAGGCATTTTAGTTCATTCTAGCTGATGATCTCCCACCCTAGGAGAGCAGCCACATTCTTTGAAGGCTGGAGGCGAGTGGTGGCATCCAGCTCTTGTGGATGGAGTCACACTGGCATCGGCTTGCTGCCCGTGTTGCTATCCAGGAACATACATCCTAAAAGAATATTCCCAAATCAATGGAGCTCCTTCAAGGCAGCCCACTGACGCCTTCTTTTTCTGATAACAAAGCCAGAATTTTCTCTTAGTTCCATCTCTGTCTTTTGTACTGCACAGGAAACATAGGGGATTGTGTGGGGGCTATGGCCCTTTTGCCTAGGCATCTCACTGCCATTCCCACTACTGTCCTTCCATGCTAGCCAGGAGGACTCTGAGATCTTGCTTGCTCCCTGTGTTTTATCCAAAGACAGAGAAAAATAAAATCCATTGCCTTCCTTTCTGATTTTCCAAATTTCCCAGGGGGTTTCTCAGATCCTCAGAGCCTGAGGATCCTCTGAGGGTCCTATCAACACTTAAGTTTTCCCAAGTCCCGTCTGACACTCTTTTTCATTTTACCTCCAGTTTAGGAAAACTTATCTAATTTTTTGCAATAAGAAAAATCCTGATGACAGTTTCCCAAATTTTTGCCCAGTTCCAAAGTCAAGGGTGTTAAAAGGTAAACTGAGGCAGGATAATTTTTTTCTTAAAGTTTATTTAAGCAAATAATTCATGAATTGGGCAGCATCAAGCCAGAAGCAGTTCAGAGCTTATGGAGGGAGCAGAAGGGGAAAGCTTTCACAAGAAAGACACAGAAGTAAAGCAAAGAAAATATTGGATTGTTTAGTTACACAGTCGTCTTTTTGTTCTGTTCCACTGGAAAGTCCCTAATTATATACACACACCTCAGTGATACTGCAAATTTGGTTCTAGACCAGTGAAATAAAGTGAATATCACAATAAAGTGAGTCAAACATTTTTTTTTTGTTTCCCAGTGCATATAAAAGCTATGTTTATCCTTACTGTAGGCTATTAAGTGTGCAACAGCATGGTGTCTAAAAATAATGTACATAATTTAAAAATGTTTTATTGCTAAAAATGCTAATGATCAACTGAGCTTTTAACAAGTCACAATTTTATTTATTTATTTATTTATTTATTTATTTATTTATTTATTTTTTGGCTGGTGGAGGGTCTTGCCTCAATATTGATGGCTGCTGACTGATCAGGGTGGTGGTTGCTGAAGGCTGGGGTGGCTGTAGCAGTGTCTTAAAATAAGACAACAATGAGGCTTGCTGAATCCATTGACTCTTCCTTTCATGAATCACTTCTCTGTAGTACGCGATGCTGTTTGATAGCATTTTACTCATAGCAGAACTTCTTTCATAATTGGAGTTAACCCTCTCAAAACCTCCTGCTGTTTTAACTAAGTTTATGTACTATTACAAATCTTTTATTGTCATTTTGACAATGTTCCAGTATCTTCACCAGGAGTAGATTCTATCTCAGAAAACACTTTCTTTGCTCATCTGCAAGAAGTCATTCTTCATTTTCCAAATTTTATCATGAGATTGCAGCAATTCAGTCACATCTTCAGGCTCCACTTCTGATATCTAATTCTTTTGCTATTTCTACCACATCTGGAGGTACTTCCTCTAGTGAATTCTTGAACCCCTCAAAGCCATCCAAGATGCTGGGACAAACGTCTTCTAAAACCCTGTTAATATTGATATTTGACTTCCTCCCATGAATCACAAATGTTCTTAATGGAATCTAGAATGGTGAATCCTTTCCAGAAGGTTTTCCATTTACTTTGCTTAGATTCCTCAGGGGAATTACTATCTATGGCAGCTACAGCCATACAAAGTGTCTTTCTTAAATAATAAGACTCAAAAGTCAAAATGACTCCTTGATCCACGGGCTGTGGAACAGATGTTGTGTTAGCAATGGATGTTGTGTTAGCAATGGATGTTACGTTAGCAGGTATGTAAACAGCATTCATCCCCCTGCACATATCCATCAGAACTCTTGGGTGATTAAGTGCATTGTCAGTGAGCAGTCATATTTTGAGAAGAATAGTTTTTCTGAGCGCTGGGTCTCAACAGTGGGCCTAAAATATTTAGTAAGCCGTCCTATAAACAAATGTGCTGTTACAGGCTTTGTGGTTCCATTTATCGACACAGACAGAGCAGATTGAGCATAATTCTTAAGGGTCCTGGGATTTAGGGGTTGATAAATGAGCAACTGAAAGTCACCAGCTGCATTAGCTCCTAAGGAGAGAGTTAGCCTGCTCTTTGAAGCTTTAAAGCCAGGCATTGTCTTCTCCCTTCTAGCTACTAAAGTGCTAGATGGTCGAAGCACTTTGGGGGGCCAAGGCAGGTGAATCACTTGTGGTCAGGAGTTTACAACCAGCCTGGCCAACATGGTGAAACCCCGTCTCTAATAAAAATACAGAAAAATTAGCAAGGCGTGGTGGCCAGCACCTGTAATCCCAACTCCTCGGCAGGCAGAGGTAGGAGAATCGCTTGAACCCGAGAGGCAGAGGTTGCAGTGAGCCGAGATCGTGCCACTGCACTCCAGCTTGGGTGACAGAGTGAGACTCTGTCTCAAAAAAAAAAAAAAAAAAAAAAGTCCTAGATGGGATCGTCATCCAAGAGATCCAAGAGGAAGCTATTTCACCTGCACTGAAGATCTGCTGTTTAGTGCAGCCACCTCATCGACGATCTTAGCTAGATCTTCTGGATCAATTGCTGCAGCTTCTTCATCAGCACTTGCTGCCTCACCTTGCACTTTTATGTTATGGAGATGATTTCTTTCCATTAGCCTCAAGAACCAACCTCTGTAAGCTTCAAACTTTTCTTCTGCAGCTTCCTCACCTCCCTCAGCCTTCACAGAATTCTTTTTCACAGAACTAGAGCCATGCTCTGGATTAGGCTTTGGCTTAAAGAAAAGTTGTGGATGGTTTGATTTTCCATCCAGACCCCTAAAACTTTCTCCATATCAGCCAGAGGGCTGTTTTGCCTTCGTATCACTTCTGTGTTCACTGGAGTCGCACGTTTCATTTCCTTCCAGAACTTTCCTTTGCGTTCGCAACTTGGGTAACTGGCATAAGAGGCCTAGCCTTTGGCCTCCCCACTTTCCACATGCCTTCCTCATGAAGCTTCATCATTTCTAGCTTTTGACTGAAAGTGAAAGATGTGGGACCCTTCCTTTCACTGAAACACTTAGAGGCCCGTGTAGGGTTATTCATTAGCCTAATTTCAATATTGTTACATCTTAGGGAATAGGGAGGCCTAAGGAGAGGGAGAGGGATGCAACAGTGGCCAGTCAGTGGAGCAGTCAAAACACACACAACATTTATTAAATTTGTCATCTTATATGGGCACAGTTCATGGTGCCCCAAAACAATACAATAGTAACATCACAGATCACCTATCACAGATCTCCATAACACATATAATAATAATAATGTTTGAAATATTCCAAGAATTGTCAAAATGTGACACGGAGACAGGAAGTGAGCACGTGCTGTTGGAAAAATAGTGCTGGTAGACTTGCTCAATGCAGGGTTACCACAAACCTTCAGCTTTTAAACAACACATTATCTGTGAAATGCAGTAAACTGAAGCACAACCAAACAACATATGCCTGTATAATTATAAGTTTGTTGGCTGCTTCTGATTGATTGAGCTTAAGTTCTATTTTTTCTTTAATATATGCATTTACAAGAAATGGTTCCAGTTAAGTTCTCATTATGTTTGCAAATCAAGCAAGGTTAAGGTCACGTAAGAGGCCTAACTGGTTTTGTCTGCTCAGGGATTATTCAGGCCTGGTCTGCATTTAATTTTCTAGAACAACAGTTTCACCCTCCCATCCGTCATTTGTGCTATGGTATCCAATGCCATAGGGACATCAATAGAACTTGCTTGCCCTATGGCTGGAAGCTTGGCAAGAACCACTGTGTCATACGAAGCGAAGTGGGGTGAAAAATCAATTACATCAAAATAAGGTAGGCTGGTGGGTGGTTAAATGCCCACTGCAGGCTTACTAGGAATGTTGTGGGTCAAAGTCTCTTGAACTCTCTGGAGACTCTGTAGCTCGCTGGGTTACTGAGAAGGAGGCCGAGCTGCCCCCAGCACCCTGCAGCCACCAGCCCAGTGAGGTAAAAATGGTGCCTTCCCCCATCCACCGTGATGTGCAGCCATGCCTGGTCCTCCTCTCCCCAATGTGCATCTCAGGATGGCATAATTGTGTCTGTCCGCTGCACCCTTTAGCTCTCCCATCTGAGATACGGAGCAGTGGCCCCACATTTTTAAGAGCCAGTCCCATGCCTGGGCACCCTGTTTTGGGATGTAGTCATTAGGAACTAATGAAATGCATCATAATGAAGGTGTGACACTCTTTCTGCCAGTGTGTTATCCAAGGTAAGCCCCATCTTTGAATACCCCTCTCTGATGTTATCAAAGCCCTGTTCTTCTTGTTTTCTAACAGAAGGGATATTAAGATATACTTATTACAAAGTATAGGCTAACTAGGTTAGCTCCTTGCTCCTTGGTGAACATGAAAATTGGCCTTGATTTCCATGGCTGGTCAACACATGACCTGCAGCCAACATCTGGGAGGAGCATTTCAAAGAGACAGAGCTCCTTGCATTGTCAGGAAAGGCTGCCAGGTTCCCAGCAGAGAGCTCTTAGCAGCCCATGTTCCCGGGCACATTCGTGATCCACAGAGAAGCACGGTGGCTTTTCAGCCTGATAAGCAATTGGTTATAACCTATGGCTGTGGTCATCTACCTAGCCACACGGCAATCAACCATTTATTCATCTCAGGGTTTCTCCATCGCTGCACGTTGACTGGCATTTGGGATTAGAATATTCTTTGTGGGGTTAGTGGGGAGGCTGTCTTGCACATTGTAGGATATCTAGCACTATCTCTAATCTCTGTTTACTAGATGCCAGTAGCACCTCCCTCGCCAATTTTGACAACCAAAAATGTCTCCAGACATTGCAGATATCTCCGGGAAAGTGAGTTTAGGTAAAACTCTTCCCCTGTTGAAAAACCTGTCTTACCTCAATGAAAGCAATGGCATCCCTCCTCCCAAAGAAGGTAGATGCTGCTACAGAGATGGGAGTTCATCAATTAGAATGCTTTCAGCTGCAATCCACAGCACTCAGTCAAGCATAGTTGCAATAGACTCTCTGTGTAATGTCCAGAAAAATACATGTAATAAAAATAATAATGCATTGAAAATGGAGTTAATATTAAGTGCTTAATATGTGCAAATATGTTAAAATTATCTTACTGAAGTCTCACAATAACCCTGAGCTGGTGTTACTGTTATCATCTCTATGTAGAAACTGAAGCACAGAAAGGCTGGGGAACCCGTCCTGGTGGCACAGCTAGAAAACTGTAGGTGCAGGATTTGGACTCAGTTGTCCATCTCTGAATTTACAGCCATCCTCTATGCCATAGGTGTGGGCATCTACAGCTACTTCCTGCACGTGACATGAACCCTTCTCCTTCCAGCACCTGCACCCCGATTTTCTCTTTTCCAAACCACTCTGTCTACACTTACAGACAGCATGTTTTTGGTGGGATTAATCTACCACTTCCAGTTCTAAGGGTAGCCTGGAAAATAGGTATGTTGATAGTTGCTGGCCACAATAAATGGATGACAGTTGGGTGTATGACTCATACCAAGCTGAGACAACTCAATCTGAGGACATTTATTGCACCTATTATAAAAAAGAGGCCTACTTTAAACTCTGAGCAGGGTCGAAGCTGGGAACCCTTGGGGTGACCATGTAGAGAACCAGCAGGAGAAGGAGAACAATGTGGGCGAATGGAGTTGCACAAATAAGTGAGGGAGACTGAGTCCCAGGAACATCATTCATGCCCTGATGCATTTGTACCTGAAACTCCCAAAAGTTTTATAGGGAAAAAAAATTCCTTTTTAAGTCTAAGTCAGTTAGAGTAGCAACCAAAATAAGCTTGACAAATGCATTCCTCTTCTCTCAGGCCTTCGGTTTCCTCATCTGTAGAACGGGTTGTTGAGAGGATTGCATGGCGTATCAGGAATGCATGACCTGCCAAACCCCACACAAATAGGATTGTCTGGAAGCCCAATAGGATAGCCCAAGCAGCAGCCCCCGGAGGAGCCAGCACTCTGGCTCTTGGGACCGACAGGTCCCATCCTGGCAGCACTGGGTAAGCACAGCTGAAAAGGCTGCGCACTCCTTTATTTTGTTCTAGCAAATTCTGCTTTTAAAGGTCCCTCTGGAAAATTCAACAGAAAGAAGCCTTCATCAAGAAAGCATGTCCGCAGTGCTTGCAATATCAGAGCAAAATGACAATGGGCACTGGTATTTTCGAGGAACATCAGAGATGGCCTCTGTCTCCTGCACATTGTACTGAGGAGTGCTTTCATCTGAGTGAGAGCCACAAGCTGGGGGTGAGGATGCCGGGCTTCTCCAGCCGAGTGCCTTAACGGGAAGGTGATGGAGGAAGAAAGTCCTGGTGGATGTGCGTTCACCTAACGTAGCTGGATGGAGTATCGAGAGCTTGGATCTCACCCTGGAGGAAAGTGGGGAAGGGGAGTCTGGAGGATCCAGCCCTGGGGGAAGTGTCCTAGGCTGAGCCTGAGACCCACAGCCTGCCTCTTCCCTCCCTCTCAATCCCATCTACACTGCATCCTCCTCTTGTGTTCCTGGATGTCCCCACTTCCAGGCCACCACCCTCCTTAAATATATATACACACACACACACACACACACACACACACACACACACACACCCCTTTGGAAGTAGAAACTAAAAGGACTAATAAATACAAAAAAACACACCCCACTTCTCTAGGAGCACAGGAAATGGGAGCTGATACAGCAAGGTGGTTCCAGGAAAGACTTTCAACAAGCACGATGCAATCAAAATGCTTTTGAAATAGGGATGCCTGTTTTTTTCCTTTCTATCCAAGATTTTAATTCAGTTAATGACTTTTGGAGTTTCAAGACATAAATGGTGCAGGTTTGCAATATTCAGGAACCCTGGAGCAACGACACGACCACAAACAAGTGCCAGCAGACGGGACTCTAAAGATGCCTTAGTACCCAGAATACTGGAGTACCCAGCATGTTTCTGAAATCATCACTTGCCACCTTATCCTGCCTCTCCTCCACACAAATTTTTAGATAGAAAGGGACTATATGTCACAGGTCCACTAATTCATGTGTTAAATCTTTCACAACAGACAAAGCTGTGATTTGGAGAACTCGAAAACTAAGACGACACTTAAATGGGCTAAAGAACGTGGAAGCAAGAAGGCAGAATTCGGGTCAGAAAGCCTCTGGTTCCTTTCTGTTTTCACAGAGCTGGAGTCAATTCTATGTTTAAATGTTTCCCACAACAGTAAAATCACTCTCCAATGTTTCACGGGAGCTGGGCTGCCTGGCAACCCAGATGTGTTATGGGGAGCTGCGGAGGGGGACAGGGGATGTAGCAGGAAACATTATTTCTTTACTTCTTCCCAAGCAGAAAGAAAATTGTTCCTTTTCTCTGTTCCAGAAGAATACATTTAAAATGACAAGCTGAAGAAAATGAAAACAAACCCTTCCTTTGGAGACATTCAACAGGGGAAATGAATTTCAGACAGACTGTGGGAAAATGAGTTTCCAGAGTTCTCTGAATTAGCTCCAAATCTGCAGTCAATGCAAACTTGGTCGTGTTTTAGGGTCTCTTCTGCTAATGAGGAGTCTGGGAACAGTCAGCTTGCTCCTGAGGAATCCACTCGATCCTGCAGATTTATTATGCCCAGTAGGAAAGAAAGAGCCAACGATCATGCAGGGCAAGCCAGGTATGTGGACAATGCCTTCGAGGGTTTCTCATATCCTCAGATATCAAATAGGTAAGAAAAAACTTCGCTCCCTGAAATGAAGCTATAACGGCATGCATGCAGACTGTGCTCAGTAATTAGAAGAGTGGATTTAAGAGTGCGGTCTAGACTCCTCCGGCGGAGAGGAGTTTATTCTCCACGTGGCGAAGGTCCAGATTCCCATTTGTAACTTTGCTTTTCCACCACAGGGAACACGGCCTGGTGTTGCCAAGGGGCATGTGGCAATTGAAAAGAACCAGGGAAAGACTGAGTGGCAGGCTCTGAAGCACGTCAGGCAGTCTGTATTCTCGGCCATGGGTCAATGCTGCCTTTCACCCACCCCCAAATTCACATCAAACGGGGAACTTCAGAACGCAACCTGATTTGGAAACAGGTCCTTTGCAGATGGAATTAGTTAAGGATCTCCAAATGAGAGCCTTCTGGATCCTTCTGGATGAGGGTGGGTCTCAAATTCAAAGACAGATGTCCTAGTAAGAGAAAGGACAGGGATATTGAGACACAGGAGAAACACAGAGGGAAAATTCACACGAAGACAGGGGCAGGCGTTGGAGAGATGTGGCCACAAGCCAAGGACCATCGAGGACAGCTGGCGAAGGCAAGGAAGGGCCTTCTCTAGAGCCTTCGGAGGGAGCATGGCCTTGCTGGCACCCTCATCTCAGGCTTCTGGCCTCTAGAAACGTGAGAGAACAAAGTTCTGTTGTTTCAAGCCACCAAGTTTGGGACAATTTGTTATGGCAGCCGCAGGGAGCTAATGCATCCTTCTGCTTTGAGGCATGATTTAAACCGAGAGACACAGTCAAGTCCCCCAAACTGCGCAGTGGTGGTCGAGAAGCGATTCTGCTGTCAGCTTCCATTTCTAATTTCTCTTTAGAGCCAGTAACTCTGGTTGCTATGTTCTTGGGTTCTGGCATGTCTGACATCAAGGAGACTTGTCATGTGGCTGCTCCCTTTAACAGGGCACATGTGTGAGTGCCATTCACTACGGCCCCTCCCAGATGAGCGCCAAGGGGCAGGGGATGGGGTGTACCAAAGGCTGGCCGCGGTGTGCAGGTGGGGAGTTTGCATCAGAACTGCGTCTGCATCATGGAGATAGTGTCTTCATTAGATTATGTGTTGATCTGGGCGGCCTGAGGGCCTGGCTAATGGAGATTATGGTGGGGGATGCTGAGGCCCTTTCAAGTATCCTCTTACCACTACCTCTCCCTCTCCCCTGGGAGCTTCCCTCACCTATATCCCTGGCCAGCCATATAGGCGCAGAAGTGTGCTACCTTCAACCCACATATCTGATTGAAGTTGACTGGTCCTTGTTTTGGCCATTCTCACTAATCAACAATGTTGAGGGGGTTTCTAAATGTGATACAGTACAAAGCATAATAATAAATTAGAAAGAGTGGTCTGGTCCTAAGAACCTTGTCAAGTAATGGGCAAAGCAAAACATGTGGCCACCTAATGGAAAAACCATCTGTAGAATAAATTTTTGAAAATTGGCTCAATGTTCAACGTGTAGTTAGTTTAGAGGCAATAAAGAAAAGTCAAGGACAATAGCCTTTTCCATGACACACATCATCTCTTGGGATATCACTTTGTCAAGTATACAATTCAGTATTTAGTATATTCACAAAGTTGTGCAACCATCACCACTACTTAATTTCAGCATGTGTTTATCACCCCAGAAAGAAACCCCAAACCCATTGGCAATCACTCCCCACATGCCACCTCCCGTTGTCCTGGCAACAACTAATCTACTTTCTGTCTCTATGGATTTGCCTATTTTAGGCATTGCATATAAATGGATTCATGTATTACGTGACTTTTTGTGCCTGGCTTTTTTTTTTTTTCCACTTAGCATCATGTTTTTAAGGTTCATCCATATTGTAGCATGTACCAGTGGTTTATTCCTTTTATGGCTGAATAATATATCATTGCATGTAAATATCACATTTTGCTCATTTGTTCATGAGGTGATCTACGCATACAGTGGTATATTATTCAGCCATCAAAAGGAAAGCTGATGTGAACATTTATGTGTTTTGTAATCATGTATATTTTGTGCATAAGTAGGAGACTCACATCTGAGCAGCCATGATTGGCGTTTGTCTATTAGAACAGGTATGTTCCATGAATCCCACCTCTCACCCTCCCATGGGAATCTGTGACTCTGCCCTTTGCCCTGAGCTGGTTAGAAACTCAGGATTAGTCTGCAATGGATTAGCCTCCCAAAGTTTTTTTTTTTTTTTTTTTTTTTTGAGACAGAGTCTCGCTCTGTTGCCCAGGCTGGAGTGCAGTGGCATGATCTCGGCTCACTGCAAGCTCCGCCTCCTGGGTTCATGCCATTCTCCTGCCTCAGCACCCCCAAGTAGCTGGGACTACAGGTACCTGCCACCACGCCCAGCTAATTTTTTTCCCTTTCTTTCTTTCTTTTAAGTAGAGATGGGGTTTCACCATGTTAGCCAGGATGGTCTCGATCTCCTGACCTCATGATCCGCCCGCCTCAGCCTCCCAAAGTTCTGGGATTACAGGTGTGAGCCACCATCACTGGCCCCAAAGTCCTTTTAAAGGAGGTGAAATCCACTTTTCTCTTTTTTTTAAGAGACAGGGTCTCGCTATGTTGCCCAGGCTGGACTTGAACTCCTGGGTTCACACAATCCTCCCACCTTAGCCTCCAGAGTAGCTGGGACTACAGGCAAAAGCCAGTCTTTCAACTCTACCTGAATTTCCTTGACATACAGTGAGATTCTAGAAGTGAATCCACCTATAAACCTCATCCTGTTTGGAAAAATAATACTTCTCTCAGTATTCTTGCATAAATCTTGCACATTTCTTCAAAGGCTTTCTTCCCTGTGTCCACCCTTCATCCTGTTTGTTTATTGGAACATGGTGAGAGCATACGCAGCTGTTAGGCACATGCAGCATGGTGTTGGCTTGGTTGGGGGAGATTTAGTGACTGATAAAATGACTGGGCCTCATCCACCAGTCAAAGCAGGACAGAACTAATGAACCAGGAGGTCCCCATACCCCACAGCTAGGAAAGAACATCACCTTCTGTGCCGAAGCTGAGAAGCAGCTCCTTGCTCTCTTATTTTCTGAGTGCACCCCTACAAAGCAAGGGCTATTAAAGACTGCACGCTTGGCATCTAGTCTCTCTTTCGTTCTGTCTTTATTCGTGAGAGAGGACTACCTCCTTATTTCACAGTGTTTAACTTCAAAAACAAATCTCTTAGGATTTATGTCCTGAAGGCTCCATTATCAGTCCTGACACACAAAACCCACCCAGCAAAGGACAAAGAAGCCATGTAATTGCTGTTCTATTTTCAGTTATGTTTGAGGGACCATCACAAGGCCCACATCCCACAGACCACCCAGATATCTCTATTCTCTGCAAGTCAAGGGTGTAGGCTCATGGTTGTCAACCAGGGTGATTTTGTCCCCCAAAGAAGACTTAGCAATGTCTGGAGACATTTTGGTTGTCAGACCTGGAGCAGAGGTGGAGGTGCTACTGGACTTTTTCTACTGAGTAGAGTCCAGGGATGCTGCTCCATATTTTACAATGCACCAGACAGCCCAACACAAAAGAATTAGCTGGCCCCAAACGCTGATGATATTGAGATTGAGAAGCCAGTCCCTATGCTAAGCATCTCTCTTCACTGCGTTGAGACATGGGGATGTGTCTATTTACTACACATAAATTCACGTTAGCAGCAGAGTATAATCTCCCAGTCAGGAGTGACGCTTTATGACTCTCTTAGCATCCCTAATGCAGGGTTTGGAATTGGTTACAAGTAGAGAACAAATCTCTTCCATGTCTATGAATCACACTGTTCAATTAAGTGGGCTTATTTTAAGTTGGAGAGGATGAATGATCACCGCCTCTGCTCTTTAGGTATCAATTTCATTGCTTACTGACAAGGCCAAACATTCACACCCCCTACCCGCAAGTTCTTCACGTTAATAACCTGCAGGGTCAAGACTGACCTACCTACTTACAACCTGCAACTTGAGTCAAACTAACACTGATTTTGGCAGCAGAGTGATTCTGTGAGCTCAGTCTAAGCTAGGCTTTGGGGAGGCAGTCAGTGGAAGTCATCCCATCCTCAGCATCCCCAGGGGTTCAGGAGCACAGAGGTACACTGAGGTGGCAGTGGGAATTTTCAGAACTGATGACCTCCATTGTCAATATATTTTGAACATCCTTGGAAAAGTAAATAATGCCTATGCTTTCTCTGAGGAATCCTGATCTTTATTTCAAGAAGACTCAGTTAATTATGAAAGAAAACATCCATGAAAAGGAATGTTTATGAAATAGGTTTGATATTAGGCATTTGGTTTTGCATTTATTCAATAAATGTTTAGTGGGGCTTTATTTTTTGCCAAGTCATACACCAAGGGCTGGGGATATAGCAGTGAACAGAGAGATGGAAAAAGGGCTTACCCTCATGAGCCAACCCACTTATATTTGTAAAACCTATCTGCATATGTGTTTTTCATTTCTGTTGGTAATTATTTTATTTTTTATTTTTTAAAATCGGCTTCCAAAATAATGTTATAGCTACAAGAAACAAAGGTTCCATCTTCCACACCTTGACTTTTGGGTCTCATGAACTAATTTGATTATAAAGCGAGGGTTGCCTTTGAATTCACTTTGTGAAGTTGCAAACAAAATCCAGTCTGCTTCTTTTGGCTCACGGAAGAGCGTCCTTTGTGAAAATGATCTTGCCAAGAAGGTTCACGCCAAGTTTCCATGTATGTTATTAGTCCCATAAACATTTCCAAGAAGTCCAGGCCCTCTCAGTGAAACCATTGTGCGAAGACCCATTGGAGAAAGTCTTTGGGTTTCTCAGTGAGGAGACATCATTCAAGGTCTCCCTGCATGTCCTCCATGAATTTCCCAATAGAAAAGATCCAGCAATGGACCTCGATGATCCAACATTCTGTGACCTGGGTGGATTTCTCCTGTGATCTAACCGGCAGCCATAGGTGGAGGCAGCTGGAGAGATATGGATGATATATACACCACATGTTCTTTATTCACTCATTGGCTGATGGGCATTTAGGTCGATTCCATATCTCTGCAATTAGCTATGCATACACAGAGGCATACAGAGTGCTAGAATGGATGCTAGAGACTCGGAAGGGGAGAGGGTGAGAGGTGGTTCATGGATGAAAAGTTACCTATTGGGTACAATGTACGCCAGTTGGGTGACAGGTGCACTAAAATCCCAGACTTCACCACCGTGTACTTCATCCCTATAACCAAAAACCACTTGTACCTCTAAAGCTACTGCAATGAAAAAATACAGTGTTGGTTCCCAAACTTCAGCGAGACTCATGCCAACTTCACTGTTATTCCCACATCTGTGCCCATCCTCTTATATTATTCGCTTCTTGAATATTTTTTCCTTAAAACGATGATTTTAAGTATTAAAGTATATTTTAATTACATTAAAATTATAATACACTATCTAGAAAGGGAAAACCTGCCTCTCCCACAGGCTTTCCATCACAGGAATGGCAGCTCTGTCCTTCATCCCCAACATCCTGATGCTGTGTCTCCTTCACACAAGTGTGCCCACAAATCTCATCAGTCCTAGCTTTAAATTTAATCCAGAATCTGCACACTCACTTACACCTCTGCTGCTGCTATCCTGATCCAAGTCCCTGTCTTCTCTCACCTAGATTACTGCAATACATAAAAATAAGTTACATCGTGACATTCCTTCTTCAAAACCTTCCGGTAATCCCCATCTCACCTGGAACAAAAGTCTTTACAATGGCTCACAAAGTTCAAGGTGATGTGAATCCCAGCTCCCCTCTGAGCTCGCCTCCCCCTACCTCTCCAATCTTCCATTCTGTTTCAGCCACATTTGTCTCCTTACTGTTCCTGTAACAAACCAAGCAAGCATCCCCAGGACCTTTGCACGTGTTTCCCTGCCAAGACCATGCTTGATTCAAATGCCACTTTTTCAACAAAGCCTGCCTTGACTGTCACCTTAAATTGTATTACCAGCACTTTCCATTCTTCCTCCCTTGTCCATTTTTTCCTAAGCCACTTATTACTATCCATTGTATTTACTTGGTAATTATATTATTTCATTTTTTGAGACAGAGTGTCACTCTTGTCACCCAGGCTGGACTTCACTGGCATGATCTTGGCTCACTGCAACCTCCACCTCCCAGGTTCAAGCCATTCTCCTGCCTCAGCCTCCCAAGTAGCTGGGATTACCTGTGCCCGCCATCATGCCCAGCTATTTTTTTTTTTATTTTTAGTAGAGACAGGGTTTCACCACGTTGGCTAGGCTGGTCTTGAACTCCTGACCTCAGGCGATCTGCCCACCTCGGCCTCCCAAAGTGCTGGGATTACAGGTGTGAGCTACCATACCCAACCCAATTTTGATTATTTTTATCTCCCCTAACTAGGAAATCAGCTTCATGCAGGCAGGAAATTTTGCCTGTTTCATTCAGTGCTGTAGAACAATGCCTGGCAAATGGGCAGGGGTCAGTACACATTAATTGAGTCAATATTTACCAAGTGAATGAAAAGAAATATTGTATCCACAGTGAAAATGGAAAACCACTGTTTTGTTTGTTTTGTATTTGGGCTATCAAAAGAAAATAACCATAAACAATGAAAGCAGAACAAAGTTCTAAAATTCCAGATAGAAAAGAAGAAGACTTGGAAACAGTGACCTGTCTTTCCTTTCGCCAAAAAAAAAAAAAAAACAAGATTAGTAGGTGCTGTCAGGATGTTAGAGGTATGCTAGCAGAGAACAAGACTTTTCACTGTAGCATTAGAAGAACTGAATGACAACTGAACACAAAGCCTGTGTACACTGTGCAATTCCATGGTGCTTAGTGTCTAGCATTGTACATCTCTTGTACACAGCTGTGAGCCAACACACAGAAGTCCAGAGCCTTCGCACTCATCCTAGAGAGTTTGCTGTTCATAATGCTCATTTTATGCAGGATGGAATTCCAGGGACTCTGTCTTTGCCAGCTGGCTTGAGGCTAAGCTCTCTGAGGGCCTCTCGGATGTTATCTAGCTTAAGGCAGACGGTGCCCAAATACCTATTGGTTTCTTGACAAATACCAGATTCAGAAAGAAGGGCGTGCAGTCTTGGAGGCTGTACTAACTATGCCCTTTGGTTGTGTCACTTCTTGGCACACATGCACATTTTGATTATTTTTATCTTGCCTACTAGAACATAAGCTTCACTTGGGCAGGAAGTGTTGCCTGTTTCATTCACTGCTGTAGAACAATGCCTGGCAAATGGTCATGGTTGGATACTTGCACATTGCATTGATGATACAGAAACACACAACGTATCTAGGGGCCTGCGAAGATGGCATCTCTGCACAGGAAGGAAGTTCTCTGTATTCCTTAAAAAAAATAAAATAAAAAAATACAGGAGAAGCAGACCGAGCTCATCTTTTCCTAACGGACACTAAAAAGACTCTGGCAGGTGTTCAAGGAACTAATTTTCCAACTGAACTTCCTTGCCTTTGAAAATGTCTTCAGTCACACAGATAAGCTGGAAAGAGATAAGGTACCCTAAAACCTACATTCTGACCCAAACATCCTCTGTAGTTCGGTTAACAATGTTATGCCAATGCCAGTTTCCTGGCCTCAATATTGTACTATGGTTATATGAGGTGGTACCACCAGCGGAAGCTGGGGGAGGGGTCTACGAGCAATCACTGTACTATTTTTGCAACTTCTTACAAATCTGTAATTATTTAAAAACATAAAACGTTAATTTGTTTAAAGAAGCGCCTTCAGTCATGTTGGAGAAACAGGAGAATTGGACAGAGGGGGAGAGAAAGAGGGAGATTAAGGGAAGGAGAGAAACAGAGAGACTCCACATAGAGCAAAATTCCATTTGCCACACTGTTGCCTGCCAATCATTTTGGCAACTCAAATTAAGCCGAGACTCTGAAATGTGTACGCCGTCCGTAACATCCCCTTTTTAATCAGTGAAATTCCATCTTCAGAATGAGAATGAACCTCCAAGACGGGTCTTCAGATGGTTTGTTTGTTCCCTATTCGTTGAATTCCGACACGCCTGAGACACAAGGACTTGCATTTGCACACGTGTTTGGGGAACGTCTGCTGCTCAGACTTTCTCATGAGCAATTGCTTTTAGCCCTTAGGAAATTTGCTTCGAATTTAAAATCTGAAGTAAGGAAATATAACACGTGCCATATCTTGGTGAACAGGGAGTGAGGTGGATCTTCTCTCCCCAGGACTTTGATCTGTGATGGCAAAGATCGGAAGGGAGGGAATACGGCTGCTGCGCTCCACGGCACCAAGCAGTACCCTTTAATGTGACTAAGTCTTACACCCCAGAGCCACGCCATTAGTAACCTCTGTGCTACAAATACTCCTGTCATTATACAAAGACACTGCTTTTTAAACAAAATCATAGTACAATGGGAATAATAGAATTTTGAGAATAAACTTGGTAGTTGTTTTACACAACACACAATGTCTGTTTACTGCGAAGATACAATTCAATGCTTATTGAAGGTTTGACGGGTGTTTAAAAACAGCCCTGTTAGTAATATTCAATATTGACAGAGAAGTTTCAGTGCACCAGACACTGTTATGAGCACCCTGCAAATAAATATTAGCCCACTGAATCCTCACAACCCCATCGAAGCAGGTACTACAATTACATCTGCTTTAGAGAGGAGGAAACTGAGGCACACAGAGGTTAGTTAACTTGCCTACCAACACACAGGCTGTAAGTAGAACAGATAGGATCAGAATTGAGGTCAGCTGGTTGGAAGACCTTTGTTCACCACCACCATGCCTATCTTTGTGATGAAAATTTCAGAAAACAGATCCTCCTCTCTGAAGAGCCCCATCTAAGCATCCCTTCCAGGTACAGCTGTAAGGTTGTGGACCTTAGACCTAGGGACCCAGGTGGCTTGGCTCATGCTCACCCTGGTAGACGCTAGAGACTACATTTTCTGAAGAGGGACATTAACAAAGTGCAAGGGGGAAGATGATCACTCTAAAATTTTACAACTACTTAGCATGCCATGCTGGAGACGTTCTGTCTCCAGCTTCCAAAGCCAGGGATAGATGCATTTATTTCATGATTGATCTGAAACTCAGGGGGCAAGAGGACTTACCAAAAATTAAACTCAGAGCTCCCAGATCAGCATCTTTTCAAATCCAAGCCATGGGGAAACAAACCCAGTATTCAGACCCTTTTTCTGAATATTGACTCTCCCGGCTCCTCAGTCACAAGGTCATGATACTTTCAATAAGCCGCCGATACGCTGACAGCGAGACCTGTCCCTCCCCACCATGATGTCAGCATGTCCCTCACTGACCACCAAGGTTCACAATGCAAATGCAATGAGAATCCCTTGTACAGTAAATCTCATAAAAAGATGTAAGAGTTCATGACGTCGCTGAAAGGGGTGTCATAGCAGTCCTCCAAGCGTATCCAGAAAACATTAGCAAATGAAGATCTGCAAAATTAGTCTACTTAAAAATTGAAAGGAAAAACTATAGAGATCATGACAAGATGCATACTTCAGAAGACAATTATTTGAATCTGTAGGATTAAGATGAGAAACTAATGGAAACCTCTGAACCTTTTTGTAAATGAAAAAACAAAAAACTTTAAAAATAAGCATCCTTATAGCTATATTACAAAAGTTAAACAGAAATGAAATATGCTATGATAGGCTATCATTCTAGCTTGCAAATATTTTTCCAAGCAACTCATTCAAAATGTGATTAGGGCTGAATTCTAACAAGAGCCAAAGCATAGCTGCAATTACAACCTAACTCCTTCTTAACTATAACAAGAAAAAAACATTTTTATCCCATTTATTTTTTAAACAAATTTAAAACAAATACTTCTTTCATTATTATGACATTCTAGTACACATTGTAAGAGGATTTGCTTTAAATGAATTTTAGCCCCGTATTAATTATCCTCAGAAAACATGTGCTCCTGTACCAAATTCTAGAATCATTATACAGAGTGACAGAGCAGCCCTGTCACAGCTCAGATGCTGCTCTCTGTTGAACCCGCCATGGTGACAGTAGGTGGATTATGCTGCTGCTTTGTTTATTTGTATTATAAGATGGAATACCTTTGCTGAAGAGTTTTATGCCCGGCATGTTTGCTTAATTATTGCTAAGCTGTACTCATGCAGTAAGGCCTCCCAGACACTAACTGGCAATCTTTAACACCACCTAATTAAAAAAAAGGGTACTATGTTTGGCTCTTTTCACATATATACCCAAAGTGAGATCTCATCTCTCCCCTGCCTTTTCTTGGGCTTCTTGAACGTAGACTTTCAATCAAGCAACTCAAATGGTATCTCATCAAAGGATTCACAGCAGAAGAAAAATCACATCCCTCTCCAAGTGTGAGGATAACTGAAGGTCTAGAGAGGCGGATTACTCTCATCTTGCTCCTTTTGGAAATAATTTCTGCCCGCCCTTTGCCTCTTCTTCCCTCCATAACCCACGGTGTAAGGAGGGCTGTTGAGAGCATGTGGGCAGGTGCATAATTTGCCTTCCCCTGTTAATGCCAAACGGTCCCTGAAGGTAGTGAAAATCGATGCTTCCTGAATATCTATCTGCCACGCATGGAACCCAGTCTCACACCAGGCATGCCAAAGATGATCAGGGGCAAGCATGGGCACCTACCTCAAGATGAAGAGGTCCACAGAGGAATTGCTCGAGATGGTGACATAGGCCGTGACCACCTCTCCCTGCTTGACTGGCCTGGAAGGCAGCCAGATGACCACGTTACCATCCAAACGCAGCTCGCTGAGCTGGGCGCTGTCCTGGGCCCGGTAAAGGCCGACGGTGCCGATCCTCTGCAGGTGGGACGTGGTTTCCTCCAGCCCATCCTTTCCTGGACGGATGGCGTTGCCCTTCCTGAAGTCACCCCCGGCACAGTCCCCTCGCTCGTTTCCTGGGTGCACGGTGTAGTAGAGCTCCACAGGGGTCCCCTCCGGCTGGTCCATGGACTTCTTCCTCCCGGCACCCACCGTCGGGGCACTGAACCAGCTGGACAGGAGCTCCAGCTCAGCCACACACAGCCCCAGGTCCCCCTTCAGCCGGCAGCTGCCCCGCACCTCTCTGGTTTCTCGGAAAGCAAAGACCCTCAGGCATGGCAGCTTCTCCCCGGCGCCGTGGTCATCCCAGTCTCTGCCCATGATGTGGAAAAGAACCTGCACTTTGGGCCGGCTCAGGTAGACTTTGTCCCGCAGGATGTGGGCTTTTAGTTTCCAATCAAAACTAAACTTATTGGTTGGACCTAAAAAGTTTGAAGTCAACATCAAGTCCAGAGGCACAACCTTCTCCACAGAAAAGGGTCCATAGCTGGCATTGAGCACTGGGGGCTGCCTGGTTTTGTAGGTAAAGAAGGACTCCACCCTCGCCTGCAGGCTGGAGTTCCGCAGCAGGTCCTGGTTGGCTTCCTTGAGGAAGAAGGAGGTCTCTGCTCTGAGGATGTGGTAGCTCACAGGTAGGTAAGGTGGCAGTGAGGAGAATCTCTGTATGTTGTCTGTGACCCCGTGACCCTCTATCACTAAAAAGGGAAAAAGAAAGAAAAGAAAAAGACAAAGACAGGATTATTAATGGGCTGCTCATTAGCTGTTAGGTCTGTAAGCCATTTAGAAATGAGGGATAGAAATTCTGAAGCCCACTTGGCTAGAATTTTTATATTCTTCCTGGAATAAGTCATTAAACGATTCTACATGGTCCACGAATTATGCATATAGTTATATTAGGTTGAAACATATGAAAATGAGAATTCTGTAGAGTAAGATTCATTGAATGGTGGCAGTTTCATAGAGTTCAACTTAACAGAATGATGGTAAATTACCTATAGGAGTAAAGTGGGTATTTTATTAATAATTTGCATGAGTTTAAAATGTACTTAATGGCACTGGTACATGAATAGCAAAACAGGCCAATGAATGAAGTCCATATATAAACTCAAGAACATATGGAAGTTTAGTCAGTGATAAAGGTAGCATCTCAAATCCTGAGGTAAACATAGACTGTTTTTTTTCTTCTTTATAATATTTTTTTTAATAGAGATGGGGTCTCACTATTTTGCCCAGTCTGGTCTTGAACTCCTGGGGTCAAGCAGTCTTCCAACCCCAGCCTCCTAAAGTGTTGGGATTACAGGCACAAGCCACCACACCTGCTGCAAATGTTGACTTTTAAATCACTGGTGCTAGGACAACTGTACAGCCATTAAGAAAAAAGTAGATCCACACTCCACACCGTACATAAGACCAAACTTCAAATGGATCAGCAATATAAATCAAAGAAGTTACATCTTTCAAGCACTAAAGAAAACATGGATGAATTCCTCTATAACCTGGGTTTAGGAAGAGCTTCACAATTATGACTCAAAATCTAAATGCAATTTAAAAAATAATAAATTTGCCTGTATAATTAAAAAATTTGCATTACAAAAATACCATAAATAAAGTCAAAAGGAAAATAACAGGCTGGGAGTAAATATTTGCAACACATATATCACATTAAAAGGGCTAATGGCCCTAATATACAGATCTTGAAATTTGAGGAAAAAGATTTTTAAAAATTGAGAGAGAAGTGAGTAAAGGATATGAACAGATATTCACAAAAATATATTAAAATTATTTATATATATATATTTACAACTATTGAGCCTCACTCACAATTAGAGAAACACAGATGAAAACTACAAATACCACCTCTTACCTATAAGACTGACAAAAATTACCAAGTATAACACACAATGTTGGGAAGTCGACAGGCAATAGACAGTCTTAGTATATTGCTGCTGAGAATGAAAAGCGGTACGACCTTTCTGGAAGGGAACTTGGCATTACATTTGCACTTTTCTTTGACTCTTTCATCTTACTTCTAGGAATCTACTCTGAAGATACACCTCTGGCAATCAGAAAACACATACACACAAGATCATTTATTGCAACATTGGTTTTTTTTTTTTTTTTTTTTTTTGAGACAGAGTCTCGCTCTGTCGCCCAGGCTGGAGTGCAGTGGCGCGATCTCGGCTCACTGCAAGCTCCGCCTCCCGGGTTCACACCATTCTCCTGCCTCGGCCTCCCGAGTAGCTGGGACTACAGGTGCCCACCACCATGCCTGGCTAATTTTTTTGTATTTTTAGTAGAGATGGAGTTTCACCATGTTAGCCAGGAGGGTCTAGATCTCCTGACCTCATGATCCACCTGCCTCAGCCTCCCAAAGTGCTGGGATTACATATGTGAGCCACCGTGCCTGGCCTCAACATTGGTTTTAAATGCAAAATATTTTGACACAACATTCATACCTCTATGCAGAAAAATGGCTGAATGAACTACAGTAAATACACACAGTGGAGTATCATGAACTGCAATAAGAAAAGGAAGAAGATCTGTATGAAGCAATATGGAGTGCTTTCAAAAATATACTGCTAAGTGAAAAAGCATGGTGCAGAAGGCTGAGTATACTAACTTCTGTGTAAGAAAGAAGCAGAGTATATTAGCCTGTTTTCACACTGCTAATAAAGACATACCCCAGACTGGGTAATTTAAAAAAGAAAGAGGTTTAATGGACTCACAGTACCACATGGCTGGGAGGCCTCACAATCATGGTGGAAGGCAAAGGAAGAGCAAAGGGATGTCTTACATGGTGGCAGGCAAGCGAGCTTGTGCAGGAGAACTCCCATTTACAAAACCATCAGATCTTGTGAGACTTACTCACTACCCCGAGAACAATATAGGGGAAACTACCCCCATGATTCAATTATCTCCACCTGGTCCTGCCCTTGAAACATGTGGATTGTTACAATTCAAGGTGAGATTTGAGTGGGGACAGAACCAAACCATAGCAGGGAGATAAGCAAATGTCTCATTCATGTAACACACATGAACTCACATGAAAAGAAATCAGAGTCTACAAGGTTGGTTATTAACAGGGATTGGGTGAGAACCAGGCAGAAATAAAGGGGGCTGAAGATGGGGAGAAAAGATGGAGGGTGTTGCTTTTTTGTATAGTTCTGACCTTTGGAATCATGTTAATGTTTGACATATGATAATAATATCAACACGGGTGAGTAAAAACCCTGAATTGGTTACAAATGGAAAGAAATGAACTTAATTGTATTAATGAATATCAAAACCACATTGCAGGAGGGTAAGGGAGAACTAATCCAAGTAATTTTGGACACATATTTTGGCTATAAATCCTGAGGCTAAAGACAACAGAGAATCATAGACAAACATTGAATGATAGTGAGTAAATTTGTTTTGGACAAAAGTACGAATTAGCAATTCTGAAACTACTTTCTGTATATTTCTTATCAAGTAGATAAGAAACATATTGTGAACCCGGGAGCCTGGTGTCTCACCGTAAGGGAAGGGGTTACAAATATAGAAAGGGACATGGGCAAAATGAAACCTGCAGTGGGTTAGAATGGGATTGGTATATATAAACTCCAGTTTATAATATATATATTCAGATAAAGAAATAGAGGTAGATTGTGTACACATATGTATGTGTGCATGTGTATGTACATAGATGTTTTTCTTAACTCTGTCCTCAATGAGATCCCAAGAGCAATAATCACATCTAGTACCCAGATATTGGTTTCTAAATACCATTCTTCACTAAAAGAAACCAGGATTCCTTGGAAAAGTGTCTCATTCCTAGTACAAGAAGAACCTGGAACACCTATCTTATTGTGTCAGAAAAGAGGAAGGGCCCTTAGAATGATCAGAATATGTCCAAAGGATGCAGGAACAGCAGCACTGAACACACTGAAGATAATTTGAGCATCAAAATAAATAATGATGTTAAAAGATTGTAAGCCATTAAATGAAATAAGAATCTATGACTCGATGATACTGTCATAAAGTCAGATCGAAGCGACAGTTTTTCCTTATGATATGATCCAAACTGATCATTGACAACATTCACAGTAGTGATTGATCCAGGCAAAGGTCATAAGAGGATGCTAAAACTATCCGGTGAGGGTTTCATGAGTAACAGGAGATTCACATCATCTTAAATTGTCTTCCAACAAGTTAGCCCCAAGTTGTTCACTGAATTACAAAGGACACACAGGTAGGTTTCGGTGGAGAAATCTGCCAGGCAGTGCTTTAACCAAGTGACCAAAATTGACATCACCAGGAATGCAGCCAACAGAGAACTGTCCCCCAACATGCACACACAGAGAATAAGACAATATCGGTTCCCTAGTATTTCTGCTTAAATTTGCATAATTTGCATCTAATCATGAGGAAATGTCTAAGGTTCATTCTATGAAGTAATTGGCCTATACTCATCAAAAATGTTGAGGTCATGAATTAAGAAGAAAGTTGAAAGAACTGTTCCAGATTTGTGGATAAAAAGACGTCTAAAGGTACACAAAACTGAAGGCAACACATGATTAGAAATTTTATTTTCCTATAAAGAATATTTTTGAGACCATTGGCAAAATTTGCAATAAGCCTCTAAAGTAGCTAATAATTTTGTATCAATGTTAATTTCTTCATTTTGATAATTGTACTATACTTATATAAGAGAACATCTTTATTTTAAAAAACACATATTCAGGGCCAGGCGCGGTGGCTCACGCCTGTAATCCCAGCACTTTGGGAGGCTGAGGTGGGTGGATCACGAGGTCAAGAGATCGAGACCATCCTGGCCAACATGGTGAAACCCCGTCTCTACTAAAAATACAAAAAAAATCAGCGGGGTGTGGTGGGGTGCACCTGTAGTCCCAGCTACTTGGGAGGCTGAGGCAGGAGAATCACTTGAACCCTGGAGGTGGAGGTTGCAGTGAGCCGAGAGCATGCCACTGCACTCTAGCCTGGAGACAGAGTGAGACTCTGTCTCAAAATACATACATACAAACATATACATATACATATATATGTGTGTGTGTATATATATTCAGAACTAGTGATAAAGTGGCATTATGTTTGCTTGCAATTTACTCTCAAACAGCTTGGGGTGGAGGGGAACTCAGGTGAAAGGAAACATGGTCAAATGTCACCATTTGAGGAACCTGAGTGAAGGGTATATGAAAATTCCTTTCACTATTCTTGTAACTCTTCTTTAAGACTCCAACTGTATCAAAATAAAACTGTTCGTTGAAATAAATAAAATGTAAGCAAGACATCTTGGTCTTTTTTTAATTCCTCATTTCTTCCTTAGAGATTTTTCCTGTTTATATTTATTCATTTGTTGGAAAAAATAGTAATAAGATAAGCCATTTTTCCCATGTTACTCAAAAATAATGAGTCAATGCCCCACCATATTATTATTCCTAAATTCGTTAGATTCTTTGATAATCTTGATCCATTTGGGTGGAGAGTGTCTTTTAGTCATTGATCACCAAAGACACTATCTTGTCATCATCGTCTTCTTTCTTAGCCGGGGAGAAAGTGTTCATTATTAACTCTTCCAGGTAAAATGAGTTAGCAGAATGAATAAGCATGCCACCCTCTCTCCACTGGGTGGGAGCCCAGTTCCAAGGCTCGGGTCCCTCTGGCCCCCTACTGAGATTCAGCACACCGAGTGGCGATACTGATTGGGGTGTAAACTACATGCCTCTGGGCTCTGCATCTGTTGAGACCCGACATCGCAGACTGCTCACTCTGGGGCTCCACCCAGCCTGCAGGTAGGTTTTGCTTGGCCCACAGTGTTTTTTAAAAAAATCTTTATAAAGTGAAACTCAATTTTTTAAAACTGGGGAGTCTCTGGGTTTCCAGCTTGTCTTTGAAGATGGGAGGAACTGGAAACATTTGGGATTTCTCCCCCCATGGTGATGATGGGAGGAGGTGACTTACAGCCCCAGTGTTGCTGTCATCCTACACTGAGCCCGCTGTGCGCCATGGACCGGCCTGCTTGTCTGTCAGGTGCTTTTGAGTTTGAGATTCCTGATTTACAAGATTCAGCTGGCTAAGTTGCTGAATACTGGGGGCTCACAGGCTCAACTCCAAGGTAGGAAAGTGCAGCATGTCACCCCTTGCTTCCAGGGTTATTTGAACCATCCCTGACATCAACAGAAGGACCACAAGCAACCTCCTTGCTATTTGAATATTTTCTTTGCTAAGATCCCCCATGAGCTTATGCTACATGAGGGCACGGCTAAGAACTTGCTACACACTCATGACCCAGACACTTCAACTGCCGCAATTGCTAACTTTGAAAACCCAAGAAAGCCCATCTCCTTGCTTCTGTTTTTTAAAACCCCCAGAAAACCCAAACAAGCCTGCATTCGTATATTGAGAGAGGAGACGGGAGTTGCTCTCTCTCCTTCTTTCCAGCCTTCCCTGCTGTCCCTTCCTCTCAGTGCAGCCTGTGCAACCCGCCAGCATATGGGGCAGCCTGGCTCTGCTGTCCTCTGGAAGGACCCTAATCCTTTTCCCGGCAGGGACACTGGCGAGCAGATCAAAGCTGCCTTTGGTGCTGCAGCCAAACGGACTTGGATTGTCAAGATGGCTTTTCAAAGAAATAACATTCTCTCCTGTTCTCAGCCCAGAGGCCTTGTTCTGGGGTCACCAGCAACAAGGGCACATTCGCCTCCCTCTCTTTAGGGATGGCTCGGCGCTTCCATTTTAACCCCCTAATTTCAGAATCAGCTTAAAACATGCACAAAAGGCCCTGCCGAGGTATGACATTCCAGAAAGAGCTCTGGCTCTATGTCCTTAAACACGGACTATTTAGGCAACTTGTAATATTTTGTAAAAACCAAAAGCCACATCTGATGCTTTTATTTTGAGGTATTTATCCCAATCCAAAAAAATACTCTTAAATCTTGAAGTGTAGGGACTTAGAGACTCATCTGCTTGGAGAAGGTTGTGAGCCAAGGGCTCTGTGAAGGGGCGGGGCACAGGATTCCAGGCCCATCTGCAGTGGGAGCATTCACCAACAGGAAGTATTTGTCAACAAGCTGTCTTGTCATTCATTCTTCATTCTTCCTAGACATAAAGATTCCTTTTCTCTCCTTTTCTTAACTGGAAAAAAGTCTAAAGGAAACCCGTTTGCTTTTAAGCAAATGCTGAGTTTATTTTCTATAAAATACAGATGGAGTGGGCTTGTGGTCTCACCTCCTGTCTTAGGGTTCTTCCATTCTTTGAACAGGTCACTCTTTATCCTTCACATGAGGAAAAGTGAGAAGGGATGAAGTGAAGTGAAGCCTAGCTCATCCCTTCCTGTTGAGCCTCATTCTGAATTCTTCCAGCTCCTGAGAGATTTGACTTGAGTTAAGAAGAGACAGACCATAAAGAAAGGAGCAAGGCCTTGTATAGTGGCTAAGGGAGCTTCACTTTCCATAAAGAGGAGAGAGAGACAGAGACAGAGAAAGAGAGATTGAGACCTGTTGATCTAGATATGTAGCATAATAACAATAGAAGAGCAATTAAAAAATGGCACCCCATCTCCTGTATCTACACGCTTATCTACAACCTTTGCATAAGACTTTGCAGTTCTCCCATCAAGAGGTGGAGTCAGTTTCCCCACTCTTTGAATCTGGGCTGCCTTGTGATTTGCTTTGGCCAAGAAAATATGGAAGAAGTGACAGCGTGCCTCTTCTGGGCGCAGGTCTCAAGGGGCCTTGCACATTTCCACTCTGCCTCTTTTGGACACCTGATAGTAGGAAGAAGAACAAGCCTGGGCCAACCTGGAGAAGAGACCATGTGGAGGCGAGCGGTGCGATCCCAGCTGAGGCCATCCTGCATCAGGCAGCCCATGCCCAGCCCCAAACAAGTGAGCAAGTCCAGCCAAGATCAGAAGTCCTGAGACTCAGGAGGCCTTGAACATGATCAAGCCTCTACATTTCAGGGTGTTTCATCATGAAACAATCCCTCACAGAGCAGCCAGCAGTCATCAAGAATTGACCGTATGATTAGTCCACTTTCATACTGCTATGAAGAAATACCCGAGACTGGGTAATTTATAAAAGAAAAAGAGGTTTAATGGATTCTCAGTTCCACATGGCTGGGGAGGCCTCACAATCATGGTGGAAGGTAAAGGAGAAGCAAAGGCACATCTTACATGGTGGCAGGCAAGAGTGTGTGTGCAGGGGAAGTGCCCTTTATAAAACCATTAGATCTTGTGAGACTTATTCACTATCATGAGAACAGCACAAAAACCTGCCCTGATGATTCAATTACCTCCCACCAGTTTCCTCCCATGATATGTGGGGATTACGGGAGATACAATTCGAGATGAGATTTGGGTGGGGACATGGCCAAACCATATCACCATGTTCTAGGTGTGTTTTTAAATGCTTTCCATGTGGAATGTCAATTAGCTCTTCACAACAATCTTATGGGGTATCATGATGCTCACTTTTTATAGAAGGGGAAATTGAGGAATAGGGAAGGTAAGTAATGTTGCCCAAGATCTCCTGGTTGTAAGTGATGTAGCTGAAACTCATGCCTGGCTGTGTGGTTCTAGATGTTCTGGTCCACTTGGCAACAGGGCTCACCTTGCTCTACTCCCTGCCTCCCAAGTGCATGAGCGTTCATTGAGATGATGCCTACAAAGTGTTCAGCAAGTGCCTGACTCGTAATAAGGGTGCAAGTAGGGTTATATCTTAATTATATCTTAGTACATCCTTGTTCCAGAGTTTTAAATTTATTATCGAAGTTTAAATACATCTTGCTCCTTCATATCTCCAGGGTCTCACACATGGCCACTCCTTCAGCCTAATTAATTTCCATTCGGTTCCCAGATCCACCTCACCTCTTCTATTAATAGGAAGCCTCCCTGACTTCCACACTAGGTCCAGTGCCCCTCCCAAAACACCATGCACCTCTTTTTTATATCTTTTCACACAGCTGTAATTTTATATTTGTTTGTGTGCATGTTTGGTTAATGACCATCTTCCCTAACAGACTGGAAGCTCCATGGGAAAAAGGATAGTGTGTTTATCCAGCAGGGTACCCTTCTGTCTTGAATACCATGTGACTCAGTGACGACTCATTCAACACTTGAGGAATGCATCAAGTTTGACCAATAGCCCAAACATGAAGCAAGCCAGATGGGGGACGAAGCCACTTCACACAGCAGTAAGGTGTACAATGAGGGAAAATGTAGACACCATTTGCTGGAAGGCAGAACTTCTCACGTGTGGTAGGAAGAATTGGAGCCAATGTCCATGGACATTCTGACATCCAGTACCAGGGGATGGCAACCCTCTGCAGCCATTCAGTGTCAGTGCATCAGAGGTGTTAAGGAAACTTCACCTTCATGTAAGTACCTTCTTTGCCTCACATTTGCATACTTTTAGAGCATATGGTCACCCAGAAGTAAACTAACAATTGTTGCAGCAGACAAGAACAATCATTCCTTTCCCCAGTAAAATAATGCACTAGCACCTGTCCATGGGGGCTGCTGAGAATTTATCAAGAACTTCTTGAGTACATACATGCCCAAGACTGCCTAGTGCAGCTCTCTGTACACAGAGCTTTCAACTGAGGGTGGTGTTTCCTAAGCTTCACACCTCCCTCAATCTCATGACATGAACCAGATAATGTATGCACTGTTAATCAGTCCAGGAGCTTACTAATAATTGATAACTTCATAAATTAAAATTGTAATAAATAATGTACTAATATAAATGAATAGTTCTGTTTAAATAATCTCACTGTAAATAAAAAACCAAGGTCACATCCCCTATTTGCTGCCTGTCTATAGCTCTGAGCCATAGTTTGCCATTTCTTTGTTAAGCAGGGAGATTATCAAGTGTTGGTTGCTGAAGATACAGCGGCTGCAAAATGAGATTTTCTCTTAGATAGACTCAGAATAATTCAAATAATTAAGCAGGAAATTCCCACTTTCTCATATGGTTGAACAGGCGATTTTGCGCCATGTCCAGGAACCTCCAACAGCCAACCACAGAGGTGCCCACATGAACGACTCCTCGACGAACCTGTGCAGGGTCCATCTGCACCCACACAGGCTGCAGCACCCTGTACGCTCCCTAAACTTACCTCTCATCTTGGGAAGCCCAGAGGTAGCAGATTAAGGAATCATAAGTGGTTGCCAGCCTTTGCCGTGTGTTTTCTCCCGGAAACGTTATCTCCTGACTGCAAGGAAACAATTCCAGGGCTGCCATGGCATTGCGAGTTCTGACAAATGTCTTTCCTCTTACTCCAGTTCATCTGCTTGCACCAACATCTCCCAGAAAGATAGGATAATTGAGTCATTTTTATTGACCTGAAACAATACCCCTGGAAAAGTCCAATGCTGGTTTCCTACGGCCACGGGAGACAGCCTGGAGAGCAGGTGACAGCTGCACCTGCCTATCTGGCCTCCATGTGGACAGCACGTTCATTGCTGTCTCCCTTCCTGTTTATCCATTTTCTTTATCTGTACCTGCCTGTCAGTGTTGGGGATATTGTGTCCTCCACCGGTTGTTCATCGGAGAACTCTACCACAAAGCTGCAGTCAGAAATTGAGTTTTTCAGATTCTGAGATGGTGGACACCGGAGATGGCCACGTCACTCAGTGCCCAGACAGGATAACACTGGGAGAACGAGCCTTTCCACTAACACGATGCACTGCTTTCATCGCAATGCTCACTTTCAGACGTGTTGACCAGGGATGGATTCTTTAGAGCTGATGTTCTCTGGGCTGGGACATAAAGGATGGTTAGGGCCTGAGGAGGTTGAATGGAATATGGCAAGGCCACGTCACTCAGTGCCCAGACAGGATAACACTGGGAGAATGAGCCTTCCCACTAACGTGATGCCCTGCCTTCATCACAACGCTCACTTTCAGACATGTTGACCAGAGATAGATTCTTTACAGTTGATGTTCTCTAAGCTGGGACATAAAGGATGGGTAGGACCTGCGGAGATTGAATGGGGTACAGCAAGAATTCTAGGATGAAGAACAACATAACCAAAAGATTGGGGAGGGAAAGCTCAGAATCCCAGCATGTGAGGAGTGGGAAGTCTATCCAGGCAGATGGGATGAAGCCAGGGGTTATTCTAAATGGGGTAGGCAGTGGATGCCCACAAATATACAAATATGCCCACAAATATAGTATTTTTACTAGGTCCTGCTTCCCTCTTGAATTGGATAAAAATAAAAATAACATCCCCTGAAATAATCCACAGGCACAAGTGGAATTGTTTTAGGGTGTGCAAGGGGCTTTCAAGAACAGCATCTAAGTCAGGGTTAAGGGTGATTTTCTTGAGAAACACTTGGTGACGTCTGCAGACATTTTTTGGTTGTCACAACTGGGAGGGGGCTGTTATTGACATCTAGTCGGTAGGAGCCAGGGATGGTTCTAAACATCTTACAATGCACAAGACAGTGCCCCCACCACAAATAATTATCCAGCCTACAATGTCAATAGCACTGAGGTTGACAAACCCTGATCTAACTTGATCCACATAGAAAGCCTGAGGTAGTTTGTCAGATATTACATACATAGGAAGAAACAGGGGAAGGACTTTAATCAAAGCCTTCTCCAGCCCAGAAAGAAGAAATGTATCACAGTGGTTAGGAGTTCATGGAGTGACACGAAGTTCAACAATGAATCCTTGTCCCACAACTTCCTAGATGAGGATTTTGTTTTGTTTTGTTTTTGTCTTTTGGAAAATACCTTAAACTCTTGAGCCTCAGAATTCTCATGTCGATGATGGGAATCACATAAGACCGCCTCACTTAAAGCAATAAACTAAGCACTCAGCATGCTTAACAATTGGGAATTGTTGTTGCTATTATCATAATCATTACCATTATTTCAAATGTGTTCATCAGTTATAGTAACAAGCTTTTAAAACTACAGAAATGTTGGGGGTAAGGGTGATATCCACATGCGAAAAAAAAATTGGGTGATGTCTACGTGAGAAAGAAAAATCTGAAATTAAGGGAAGTGGGCTCTTTTCAGGACTTTGGAGGTGTCTCCTGCATCAGACATCTCTGGTTTACTCATATGATATCAGACACCTGCAAAACAGGACTTGCCTTTCTCCATATGCCTCAAGGAGAGCCCTGACTGGATTTTCCTTCCAAGTCACTGCAGCTTACTTGAAACACAAGCAAGCCTGAATATTTTTTCCTCTCTCCATTGGTGATTTATTAACATTCCCCAGACACAGAATGTCTCTCTCTCTGCTAAATATGGCTCATTGTTTCCTTTTTATTGAAACAAAAGGCACCTTGATAAATGGATTATTTGATTTCAATGCCTCTTCTGAACAAAGCCTGAATATCCTTTGCTGAAATTACATAGCGCGGTTTGCAATTTCGTAACCGTCAAGCTCTCCTTTAAAAGAGCAGGTACTTATATTCCCCTCTGAGCCCCTGGGGGGATAGTTCCCCCCTTTTCTCTGGGAGCGCTCCATAATCACTCTCAGATGCTACTCAGTCAGACTCCTAGAAGTACAGCAAAGGAACTGTGCCTTTCAAAGACGAATGCTCTAAAATCTTCAGAGTCTTGGACTTCATCAGCACAAGAAGGGTGCCCTAGGTAGGCACAGAGGGAAATATTTACCAGGCGAAGTTACAAGTCTAACATGGGCTGCTTTAACTGCATGGTGTCAGTGTTTCCGCAAGTTAAGCTCAGCCAATGGCTTGCCTGGTGGCCACGTGGCCGATTCCTCCACATCCTCCACCTGCCCTCCCCCGCTGACCACCCACAATGTGGCTTGGAACCGAGGTCCGTCTGCAGGTGGGTTCTGATTGGCTCAGGCTGGGGCTCTCCCAGGACAGGTGCTCCTCTAAGGGACGGTGTGTCAGTTTCCTACGCTGCTGGAACGAATTACTACAAACTTAGCCATTTAAAACAACACATATGTATTTTTTCTTTTTATATAGTCCTGGAGGTCAGAAGTCTAAAATCAAAGTGTCACTAGGGAAACAACACACACTGGGGCCTAACGGAGGATGGAGGGTGGAAGGAGGGAGAGGATCAGGAAAAGTTACTAATGGATACTGGGCTTAATACCTGGGTGATGAACTAATCTATAAAACAAACCCACATGACTCATGGCTACCTATGTAACAAACCTGCACATCCCTCACATATACCCATGAACTTAAAATAAAAGCTAAAACAAACAAACAAAAAAACCCTGAAGTGTCAGTAGGGTTGTGATCCTTCTGGAGGCTTCAGGGAAGAATCTGTTCCCTTTTCCATTTTCTGGAGGTCACCTGCAGTCCTCGGCTTGGAGTCTCTCTCTTCTAAGCCAATATCTCGGCAGCTTCTCTCGCCCCTGACTTCCTGTCTCCCTCTACAGGGACCCCTGTGATGACATCAGGGCCACCTGGATGATCCAGGATAGTCCCCCCATCTCAAGAGCCTTACCTTAATCACATCTGCAAAGTTCCTTTCCCCATGCAGGTCACATATTTGCAGCCTCTGGCGATAGGGATGTAAACATCTATGGGGAGGGTGGCATTTTGATTATCACAATGACTAGAGGGAGGAACACCACTGGCATGTAGAGATCACAGCCAGTTCTGCTAGGTTTTCTGCACAGCACGAGACTGTTCTACAACCACAAAGAATTGCCCAGATTCTGCATGACGCTGCCCCACTGGACATTCACAGAGGTGAGGAACCCACTTACAGTGATCCAAGCAAAGAGCCGATCTTAAACATCCACTAAATAACTGGGAGAAGGGCAATGATTCCACATACTGTATGTGTTCCAGAATTGCAACTACTGGGGTGGAGATCAGACTTTGATGAAACTTATCTAAAAAGTCGTTGATCCTTTCCGAAAATTACATCACAATGTCCAATCTGCATGTGAAATGCAACTTGCTCCAACATAGCTATACCAGTCTGCGTCTGTGGCTGACACACCCATGGTGACTCTAAATACAGGAGCAAGTATCTGACTACTTCATTCGGCCTTCTAGATATATCTGTTAAAATATTACTTGACTTTGAATTGTTTCTCCTGCCTATGACAGAGCACTATACTGATTTGTTTTTAATTATGTACATATGAAGGTTATCAAATCAGAGATTTCGTTTCATGGCTCATAAAGGTGAGGGTTGAGAATGATTGGTGTTAATCCAGGGGTTGGCAAACTTTTTCTTAAAGGACCATATAGTAAATGTCTTAGGTTTTTGCAGGCTAGAAGACAAAAATCAACATTCTATATAGGTACTTACATAATCTTTAAAAATGTAAATACCGTATTTAGCTTGCAGCCTGTACCAAAACAGGTGACAGGCTGGATTTGACCCATGGTCTGTAGTTTGCCATTCCCTGGTCTAAATCAAACAGGGCAATTCCAAGCTCATTCCCATTACCTGGTTCAGTTACACATAGGCCTAAACCCGTGATTCTCAGAGGCAGTTTTGCTCCCAAGGGTACATTTTACAATGTCTGGAGATTTTTTCTGTTGTCAAGAATGGGGCTGGGGGGCAGGCAGGTGCGGTGGCTTAAGCCTGTAATATCAGCACTTTGGGAGGCTAAGGCGGTGGATCCCTTGAGGTCAGGAGTTTGAGACCAGCCTGGCCAACATGGTGAAACCCCATCTCCACAAAAAAATGCAAAAATTAGCCAGGTATGGTGGTGCGTGCCTGTAAGCCCAGCTACTCAGGAGGCTGAGTAAAGAGAATCGCTTGAACCCGGGAAGCAGAGGGTGCAATGAGCCGAGATTGTGCCAGTGCACTCCAGCCTGGGCAACAGAGCGAGACTCCATCCCCACCCTGCAAACAAAAAAAAAAAAAAACAAAAGAATGGGGTTGGGGGGCATCCTGTTAGCATCTAGCGGGCAGTCAGAGGCCAGGGATGCTGTTCAACATCCTACACTGTGCAGAACAGCCCGCCCACAGAATTATCCAGCCCCAAAGATCACTGTGCTGGGCTGGGAAAGCCCTGCCCCTGGCCAAACTGGGCCAAGGACCTATGAGGAGAAGTGTGTTAGGACTTCTGGGAAAGAAGGTCCCTCACTCTTAAGCAAACGCCTTTCACCCCAGGGGCCAATGAGTGAGCCAGTCTCCCCATAAATACTGTTATCCATCTGGAATCTATGCATGAGTGCCCAGAGACAAGCTCAGCCACGGGTGGGCACAGTGAGGGAAGGGGCTGTGCTTTTATCCCAGGGGTTGGCCCAGTGAGGGGCCCGGGAGAAGCTCGCCTGGATCTCACCTTGCCGCTGCCCTTCCAGCCATGTGAGCCAGTGGACTTCCTCAGTGCGCGAGGGTTTTCTCTCACTATCAGCCAAAAGCTTCTAAGAGGACACACCTTTCTTGATCCAAACTGTGGTAACTCTGCTTTGCAAGTCATATAAAGAAGGAGTCAGCATACTATTTTCCGTAAAGGCCCAGGCAGTAGATAGTTCAGCCTTCGTGGGCCAAATGGTCTCCATTGCAACTCCTCAACCCTCCTGTGACGCAGCCAGAGACAAATGTAAACAAATGACTCTTTCTGTGTTCTAATAAAACTTTACTTTTAAACACTAGAATTTGAATTTCACATGTCAAAAACACTGCCTCTCTATTAAACAACACTTTTCCAACTATCTAAAGACATACAAACATAAAAAAAAAAAGTCTTAGTTTTCAGGCCACCACACAGAAACTGGTGGTGGGCTGTGTTTGACCCACAGGCCATAGTGTGCGGACCCCTGATAGAGAGGAAGTCTTTCCGAGTCATGTTTCATGCATAGGAGAACTTTCTTAGTGTTTCTTCAGTGCATTTTACAATCTGATTTATAGACCAGGTTTACCTCTTTGATTGAAAATGTAAACATGGTTTTTACTGTGCCTCCAAAACAGTTTGGAAATGGAAACCAAAAAGAAAAAAAAATCTGGAGGGATTTAGAGTTGTATAATACAAGCATTTACAGCAGAATTTAAATATGTGCATTTGCTGCTCACATAGCATATGGTTTGAGAATGTTTCGCTGTATCTATTGAAAGAGAGAGGCATCCATTTATCACAGATGGTGGTATTATTTATGATGGAAACTTACATTAACCCTGAGAGTCCCAATTATCTCAATTCATATAAATAAAAAGGACACCATTCCTGTTCTTTATGATGGCCTTTTTCCTCAAAAATAAAGAGCTTATTTTTAATATAGTCCACATATTTTCTTTCCCACTAATTACAGATAATTTTTAAAAACTTGTGTGTACCAAAGAGTCTTCCGCATTTTTCCCCCACATGTGAGTTTCATCTGCTTGCTAGTTAGCATCTGTAGTTTTGTTTGGTTATACCAGCATTTAGAATGATTATATTAATGACAAGTCTTAGGGGACAAAGTAGAAAATGCTTTCCTGATGGTTGAGTAAACAAAAAGAGAAAAGAATACACCAGAAGATAAAAGCAATTTTCTCTTTCATTTTAAAGCCTTTAACGTGTGAAAAGGACATTTAAACTGAGCTTTCCAAGAGGGAATGGGGAATTATAAGGGAGAATTCTGAAAAGTCAGTGGGGAAAAATATCCGTTAAGTGGAAGGTGAAATCTTTTATCCTTGTGACACCTGGATTATCAAGACAGGAGGAGGACAACAGTAAAACCATCACTCAACACCCTGTTGGTCCGGGTGCTGCATATCATATATCGACTTCTTTGTACTTTCAACATCCCTATGCGTGAAGTATCTTTATTATCCCTAATTTTCACATAAAGAGATTGAGGCCCAGAGAGATTGAGTAATTCAGCCAAGGTCACACAGCTAAGAATTCTGAAATCAGAATTTGAACTCAGGATCCCTGTGCCCATTTCTGCGCTATCCTGTCTCAGAGCACAGGCTTTATGTTATGTATTTTTTAAAATTTTATTCATTTCTTATTTTTCACATCAGACGGGCAACGTGCCAACATCATAACAAGGTCTGAGGGAGACATGTCTCACACATGAGGATGAAAACCTTATGAACTACAAAGGTTCACCCTTATGAACTACAAAAGGACCCAGGCTTTATTTCAAATCCGTAACTCACTCCAGCTCCATTTTTCCCTGCGGAGAGAGAGTGTCAGTCCTTGGTAGACACAAAGGTTGCAGAACTATCACTGGCTGATGCCCAGGTCAGTCTAGAGATGCTGAATGCCAGCTTGCACGTATGTACAGCTAGCATCGTGGAAAGAAAGGTCAGGAGATGGAGCCCCTGAATCCAGCAGTGCCTGAAGCTGGAGGCCCCTGTACTTTTCTCCTCCATGGCTTGAGCCAGGCTGAGATGCCTTCTTGTCATTCTTAACTGACTGATGCTCAGCATCCGCTCTGATGGATGAGGCCTCTGAGCTTATCGTGGTTCTTATTTAATATTGCACCAGCAAGACATCCATCTCGGTCTTAACGTTAATCGGGGGAAAAAAATCAACAGAGGGATAGGATAAGGAATGGTCTTCCCTCCATCAACATTAACTAAGAGGCTTGTCTGTACCCCATGCTGCCTTGCTTCTGTAGGGAGCACACAGACAATTAAACTGTGTTTATCAAACTCGTGGGAGGCTGAGCAGAGGGGAGGTGGCCAGTCGCAATAGGGAAGGGCTCAGATGGGAAGAAGACAGCATGGGCGTATGACATGACAGGTGAGGGCAGACTTGCACCCTAATCATTGTTTAGAAGCAGAAGGTGGCCATGTGAGGAGAGAAGCAGGAGGACTCCACGCTGCAGGAGTGCAAGGTTGGAACGCAGAAGAGAAGAAGAAGAGAAAAGCATTGGGACCCAGGCCTTGGAGGAGGCAATGTCCCAAGGGGAGGGGCGAGTGCAATCCACCTCCATGGGGACCAACTTGTTATTTCAAATTGCAAACCCACAGTAAGAGCAAAAAGCAGACCCACTTTTGCTCTGCTTTATGGTGGTTTGTAAGTTTCTCTATGGAATATAGACCCCCTCGTATGACCTTTCACTGCTGCCTGCCTTGCTACACTGCTGCAGCTGGGTGCTGAAGGCCCCTGACCGTTGCAATTGCTCCAGAAAGATGCACCTTCCTTTGCAAACTCACAAACCACAAAAAAAGGCACTCACAAGGGAGACAGAATGGACCATGTTAGAAGACACACGGCGAAGCCCTAACCAGACCTTTCTCTCCCCTCTGTGGGACCAAAGCCTTCAGGTTAAGCAAACCCTATGGCCCCTGGGCACAGGTGGAGACACAGTATGCTGGAGGAAGGGGGAGAAACCACCTTCTACCCGTGGGGGAGTGGCAGAGAGATGTCCTGAGCCCAACTACTAGAAGGCTCCCCCACCCTGGGGCCAGTGAGGCTGTGGGGAGTAGCTGCCAGGGGTCACAGCTGCTGATGTATGGTGGGGGCACCTGATTGGAAGGCACTGAAGCCTCTGAGTGCCATCCGCTGACCTAAGATGCTCCCTGGTCAGTGGCTAACCTAGGGTCACTCTCACTCCTGGGCACAGGCAGACATGTCTAAGGTGTCCACTGCAGCTTTGCGCCTGATTGGAAATAATAGAAGAGGCTATCCACAGTAAACTGCCTGAACACAGCAAACCCCAGGAGAGAATGCAGTGAAGAAAGAAAGAGAAGAGATACAGAGGATAGGGCTCTGTGGAGAGGGCAGCTCCGGGCCAGCCCACCGGGCTCCAATCACAGCCTGGCCACTTCCTAGCTGTGATGGTGGGTGCTCACTTAGCCTGTCTGTGCCTCTGTTCCCATCTATAGGAGCTTCTTAATAGCACACTCCTCTTGGGACCATTTTGAAGATTCAACAACTTACTAAATACAAAGTGCTCAGTCATGCCTGGCACATGATAGGTCCTCAAAAACATTACCTATTATTATTATTATTATTATTTTACTTTAAGTTCTGAGATACATGTGCAGAATGTGCAGGTTTGTTATATAGGTATACATGTGCCATGGTGGTTTGCTGCACCCATCAACCCGTCATCTAGGTTTTAGGCCCCGCGTGCACTAGGTATTTGTCTAATGCATGCGAGCATTTGTAATTCTCTCTCTTCCCCTGCCCCTCACCCCCACGACAGGCCCCAGTCTGTGATGTTCCCCTCCCTGTGACCATGTGTTCTCATTGTTCAACTCCCACTTACAACTACCTATTATTTTTTTACTATTATTAGGAAGCAGTTGGAAAGGAGAACTACATGTACTGGCATAGAAAGATCTCCAAGAAGTGTTATTGGGTGAAAACTAAGTTACAGAACAATGTCAATTATGTAAAAACAAATAACCACAAGTATTTGTAATAATTATGTTTTCTTTGTAGTTTTTTCCCCCACAGAACTTTAGAGAAACACTACCCAGAGCTTATTCAACGGCTCCATGAACTCACTAAGGACCCCGCATCCATGTATCTTTCTGTACCACCAACTCTACTAAAGGGCTTCATGCCTATGACCACGACAAAGCTGCTACCCATCCAGCCATTGCATCTGAGTTCCAGGAGAAACAAATTAAGGGCAAAATGTCTGTATTAGGTAAGTCTGTTTACTTAACCTTTTTTTTTATTGACTCCGGTAACTCAGTGAACATCAGTTTATATATTCTTCCCATCCTGGCTCATAATTGCACCACAAGGAGGTCTAGGCAGGAGATTGCAGTTGGTCCCCAACTTAGGATACTGCAACGTAGGATTTTTCTACTTTATGACGGTGTGAAAGTGATGCCCGTTCAGTAGAAACTGTGCTTTGAATACTCATGCAACCATTTTGCTTTTCACTTTCAGAACAGCGTTCAACAAATTACATGAGATATTCAATACCTTATCATAAAACAGGCTTTGTGTTCGATGATTTTGCCCAGGTGTAGGTTAATGTAAGTGTTCTGAACACGTTTAAGGCAGGCTAGGCTGAGCTGCGATGTTTCATAGGTTAGGTGTATTAAATGTATTTTCAAACTTAGAATATTTTCAATTTACAATGGATTTATCAGCACGTTACCCCATCATAAGTAGAGAAGCATCTGTGTTTTTAACTGGGCACATTGCCACCTCCAACAAATTTAGTATTCTGTAAGTAAGGAGGGAGGCGAGAGTGGATATTATGTAGATAGTTACCATTATTACACAATTATCACATAAGGAACATATCATTTATGCTAAAACAATTATGTTAAAACAACTATATTGATATTAGTAGTTATATATAATAGTATAGTTTAATATTCTATTAAATTAATTTTAATATATTAAAATGAATGAACTATATATTTAATTAAATATGATTTAGTATTCTGTTATTACCATAAAATATTAATAAATTTAATATAATAATTATGTTACAATAACAAGAAACTGAAACACAACGCTATGATTGTATATATGTCTATATGTGTGTTTGTGTGTAAATATGTACTCACACATATACATAAATGTTTAGAAAAAAATTATAAATAGTAAATCACACTTACAAAAGTGATTACCTAAGAGGAGTAGAAGGGAGATGAGATCTTTGGGATGGTCACATGTGTTTTAGCTTTACTAGATTTTTTTTTTTTTTTGGAAAATAAGGGAGAGTGTACTCACACATTAGCTGTGCAATTAACATGCTGCTTTAAGAGAGTGTCCCTTGGCAACAGAGCTGCTATTACCCGATTTGGCTGGCTGAAAAGAGACCAGATATATATACTATCCCGTGTATGGCTCGTATGGTTTTCCGACAGGTGCACAACACACTTTAAAGGTAGAATTTCTTATTTTTTCCCTACTTGTTCTTTGCTATTCTTAAATATCTATCTTCAAAGAAGAGAAAAGGTGATGCACCTAACATGAATATACGAGCATCCAACATCTCTTAGTTTTCTTCTGTGACAAGAAGGAGTCACTAGATGTTGGGCTGAAGGAAAGGACTTTTTCCTTTGTGAGTACCCAGCAGTTCAGATGGGTTAACCCAAGTTGTGCTTGCTTTACATCTCTGGCAACCCCCTTTTTGTGCCTAGCCATGTTATTAAAAGTCCTTACAAAAGTTTGTTCCCTTTCCTGCCTGTAAAGAAGCCCAGAGAGTACCCAGCAGAGGATGCTGTTGGCTTCCCAGGATCAGTTTTCTTCTTGTGTCTGGAATCCGTATGTTCTTGGGGAATGCCATATGGCTGTCTGATGTGGTTTGGCTGTGTCTCCACCCAAATTTCATCTTGAATTTCCATATGTTGTTGGGGGGACCTGGCGGGAGATAATTGAAGCATGGGGGTAGGTCTTTCCTGTGGTGTTCTCATGGTAGTAAGTCTCATGAGATCTGATGGTTTTTAAAAGTGGAGTTTCCTTGCACAAGCTCTCTTCTTTTGTCTGCCGCCATGTAAGACACGCCTTTCACCTTCCCCCACGATTGTGAGGCCTCCCCAGCCTCATGGAACTGTGAGTGCCTTAAACTGCTTTCTTTTGTAAATTACCCAGTCTTGGGTGTGCCTTTATCAGCAGTGTGAAAACGGACTAATACACCGTCTTTAAAGAAGTGTGTATCTCAGCCTCGCATGCACTTAAAGATGGCTGTGTGCCAATATCCAGGCCGGGAGCTACAAAAGGGAGTTGTTGGGTGGAGCTTCAAGGATAGCACCTTAAAAGGAGCACGGCTGAGTCATCATCAGGTACCTTTGCCCATTCGCCCTTTCTTTTTTGCCTGATTGCAATGCTGATCTGATGCTGGAGATGGAGCAGCCTTTTTGTGACCATGAGGCAAGAAGCTCATGCTGAGGATAACTGAATGGAATAACAGCAGGAACTGGGTCCCCCTTGGCACCTCGAAGCATCATGCCAGCCTAGGCTGCCAAACACAAAACTCCTTTCCTTCAGCCCAGCATCTAGCAACCCCTTCCTGTCACAGAAGAAAGCTAAGAGATGTTGGACGCACATATATTTATGTTAATATATGCCAAACACTGAAATTGGAATATAACCTCCTGCCAAACACGGTGCTATCAAAGACAAAATTGATTCTGCAGCAAAATAAACAAGGGCTGTTAATTCATGAGCTTGTGGTGGTGAAGCCTGTTGTCTGTCATTTCCTTTCAGCAAGGATTCAAGAGTTCTAGGAAGGAGAGTCTATTTTATAGAGTAAAAGAGGAAATCCTGAGACGTGTCTGACTGGCAAGGGTCCCATGAAGTTGGGAATTCTGAAAGTGGGGAGAGACTTTCCAATTGGTCTTCATGTACATTTGACGGCCCTGGATTAGCTGCAAGTGAGCAAGGGGGGCAATTTCAGGATATTTCAAAAGAGGAAGATTGTTCAGTGTTATAGGTTGACTGTGGATCGTCATTTCCTAGAACAAGTAGGGGTCAATAAAGCACTATTTTAAAGCAATGATGCTTAGGACAAGTTGCATGCCATGATAGGCATCTCTCAGGACTTTTTGTTCTGCAAGAAAAATATCCCAACTTTGTTTGAACCACCCATTTTTAGGTTTCTGTAACTAGCAGATTCGCACTGTTTGTGCACCTTGATACATCTATGCCTCAGGTTAGAGACCATCATGCAGCTTTTAGCTAGAGAAACGTATCAATCAAGCTTCTCCAACCCACGGCCTGCAGGCCGCAGGTGGCCCAGGATGGCTTTGAATGCAGCCCAAGACAAATTTGTAAACATTTTAAAAACATTAAGACATGTTTTTGTGATTTTTTTTTTTTTTTTTAGCTCATCAGCTATCATTAGTGTTAGTGTATTTTATGTGTGGCCCAAGACAATTCTTCTTCTTCCAGTGTGGCCCAGGGAAGCCAAAAGATTGGATACCCCTGAAATAATATCCTTTTGTATAAGAAAGTTTGAATATCACCTGTTTGCCTGTCTTTGCTACCCCACCTCCTCCAGGAAGTCTTCTTTGATACCCTTGGCCAACACTGGCCCTTCCTTCTCCCTGTGTCTCCTCCCCATCCTTCACCTGGACTACACACTTTGCTCCTTCATGACGTTCTGGGGTCAGGCTCTCTCACACTCAAATCTTATTTGAGAAACTGGAATAGAAGCTCTTTCAAACCACACTGTGCTCCTCCATGACGTTCTGGGGTCAGGCTCTCTCACACTCAAATGTTATTTGAGAAACTGGAATATAAGCTCTTTCAAACCAGGCAGGCAGTTGAGAAGGAGGAATATGCTTTTGCATCAGGCACGATGAAGGTGCAGTTCCTCACTTGTAAACTCGGCTGCCTGGGCAAGTGGCTCCACCGGTTCAAGCCTTTCTTGATGAATGAAGTGGCAGTGACAACCCACCTCCCCCCAGGAGCTGCTGCAGAGGCTTATTGAAATCCCCACCAGGGTATCTCAAAGCACGGAGCTCCCTGTCTCCATAGAGAAAAGGGTCTGTGTTGCATCCACACATCTCTGAGAGAGAGAGAGAGAGAGAGAGAGAGAGAGAGAAAGAGAGAGAGACAGAGACAGAGAGAGCAGAGGGTGGGGGAGACTGCAAATTTTAATTAGAGGTTCAGGTCATAGATATCAGTGGATAGTAGGTATTTTATGACAAGAGGCAAAATTGAGGATGCTATGTAAGTATTTATGTAACCATTTAAAATGAAACCATTAAAAAATATAAAGACTATTCTTAGTTCGAAGGCCATATAAAAGCAGACGGCAGGGGTTTGGCCCAAGGGTTCTAGTTTGCCAGACCCCTGGTCTAAAGTCTGTGTGGGGACAAAATGCACAGGCTCTGAAGGTTTGTGAATCCTGTTTCTGCCACTTGGCATCTGTGTGACCTAAAGCAAGGAGGTTCATTCTTCGTGCCTTAGTTTTCCTATCTGTGGAATGGGGACAATGATACTAACAATACCTACCTCCTAAGGCTGGTTCATGATGGATAGTTCATAAGGATGAACTATGTCAATGCATATAAAACAATTAAAACAGAATCCAATATGCAGAAAGTGTTCGTTAAATGCTAACTAGGATGGTTCCCTCACCGTGTCTAGCACACAGACCAGGGCTACTTAATCTTTTGCTGGGCTCTGGGGTCCTCGGGGAAAGCTGATGGATATTGAAGGTACCTTTCCTGAGGGGAATACATGTGCCCACTTAACATACACGTGCAAAGGAGGGAGTCAGGGACGCCTCTTCCATCCCACCACAGTGAGCCTCTCACATGAGGTCTGCCCTCAACTCCTGCAAAGGATGCTGAGTAAGTTGTCGGAAAAATGATGAGAAAGGGTCTCCTGGCCTTCAGGCCACTCCTCCAAGGCCATCCTGCTGGCCAGCCGCCAGAGTGGAGTTAGGATTTAAGTGTTAGCACCAATCCTACCGTAGTGGTTCTCAAACTGTGGCATACTGTATGGCCACCACTTGGAGGGAGGGTGACTGCAGGAGTCCCTCCATTAGAGTGGCTTGAGAATTTGCATTTCCAAAGAACTTCTCAGGGCAGTTCTGATGTTGCTGGCCCAGGAACCCCACTTTGAGAACCGCAGCGTTAAGGCATCAGCCTCCACTCACTGGAAGCTGATAAAATGCACCAAGAGGACAGCACACAACTCTTCAAATTACAGCTTCAACATAAAAGCCTGGGAAGCTAGAAGATGATCTGATTCTAAAAGCAACCCTGTATCTGCCTGTGTCTAAAAGCAACCATGTATCTTCTCTCCATGGCCACCACTCAGTCCAGGCCACCTGTGCAGATCACCTGGACAGCGCCACAGCCTTTTCTTGGGCTCCCGGCTTCGCTCTTCCCAGGCTGTGACCCATTTCCCCATTCAGCACAGAGGGATCTTTATACATCAGAAATCAGATTCTGTCCCTGTCTGAACTAAAACCCTGTAGACAGAATAATGTCCCCTCTCCTAGAGAGGGCCTCATCCTAATCCGTGGAGCTTGTGCATACGTAAGTTTGCAGGGAGAGGGAGGCGGAGGTGCGGCTACAGGTGGAGGCAGGTGGCCAGTCGGCTGATAGTAAGCCAGGAGGATCATCCAGAGTGACTGGGTGCTCCCCATGTAACCTGGGGTTCTTAGAGGTGGAGGAGGGAGGTGGCAGAGGAGGCTGCAGGGATGCAAAGTGAGCAGGACCCACCCACAGCTGCCAGCTCTGCAGAATAGGGAAGGGGCCAGGAGCCAAGGTACATGGGCACCTCTAGAAGCTGGAAAAAGCAGGGAAACGCATTTGCCTCCGGAGCTGCCAGGAGGAACATAGCCCTGCCAGCACCTTGCTTTCTGCCCGCTGAGGCCCATGGTGGGCTTCTGGCCTCCAGAACTATAAGGTAATCAATTCTTAATATTTTTAAGCCAAGAAAGTTGTGGCGCTCCATTACAGTAGCCCAGAAAACGAATAACCTGCCGGGTGTGGTGGCTCACACCTGTAATCCCAGCGCTTTGGGAGGCTGGAGTGGGAGGATCACTTGAGCCCATGCATTTGAGATCAGCCTGGGCAAAAGAGCAAGACCCCATCTCCGTGAAAAAATTAGCTTGGCATGGTGGGGCATGCCAGTAGCCCAGATACTCAGGAGACTGGGGTGGGAAGATTGCTTGAGCCCAGGAATTCAATGCTTTAGTGAGCTATGATTGCGCCACTGCACGTCAGCATGGGTGACAGAACAAGACCTTGCCACACACAAAACACAATGAAACAATACAAAACAGAAAAGAAAACTTAACCCTTCAGCAGCTTCTCTTTGAATAAAATCTAAGCTTCTTAATGCGGTGAGGGCTGGGCCTTAATTGGCCTGTGTCTACCTGGATTCATCCAATGCCCCCTACTCAGTGTGCCCCTGCCTTTGGCCACATAGACCAGCATGGAATGTTTATGCCAACTCAGAGGCACAGGGCTGGCCATGTCCTCTTCTTGGATGCTCTTCCCCAAATCCTCATGGAGGCTTTTCATGATGCAAGTGCTCCCTCCATGATCAACACATTGGCTGAGCACCTACTATGTGCCAGGCTCTGTTCTGGGTGGCTGTGAATAAAGCAGAGTTCCTGCTAGCATGGTACCTATGTTCTGGTGGGAGAAAACAGAATGCAGGCATGCGGTGTTGGGTGGTGTTGAGCTCTCTGGAGAAAGATGATGTGCTCTGACAGAAGCCTACTTCCTGACCGTCCCAGCGGAAGCAGCTCTCACCCCATCCCTATCTGTCCCCGTCTGTCCCCATCCACCTCCACTGCACTGTCTTCATGGCTCCTCCTGCTATCTCCAAAATGATCTTTGTTTTTTGCTGTTTTCTTTGCTTAGTGTCTCTCTTTTCCTACTAGACTGGGCAGCCCAGGAAAGAGGGACTTTATCTTGTTTGTCCCCAGTGCCCAGATCAGTATCTGGAATTTGGGCGTGCTTACTAAGTATGGAATGAATGAATGAATGAATGAAGTAGGAACAAAGTAAAGGAGTTAGCACCGCTTGGAGCTCAGGCTGCCAACCCCCTGGGTACCCCGGACTCATTTCTGCATCTCGCCAGGGTCTCTGGTCTTTGTCTCTCCCAGGGGGACTCTTGCAGGGTGTGAAGGTAGCCACAGAGTCTGGCAAAATACAAACTGTCACGGTCTTCTGTTGCCCGCACAGACTTCTTTTGGAGCAGCCTCCTGTGAATTCAGTATCTGGTATGTGTTTAGCCAGCTGCCACTGTTTTCCTCAAGCTACGTGTGAAACCAACACTCTGTTAAGAAGTGGAAACAAGATCCTCCCCGTTATTGCATCAAAACTAGGGCAACCGAAATAAACAACACAAAATCAGCGCCCGGAAGTGGAGGGAAGGAGTGAAGCCAGCCGGCGTCAGCTGCACAGAGCACACGGCCCAAGCCTCCTTGGAGGATGATTGTACCTCTTTGGGGTGGCCCCCACAGCAAGGTGATGGCAGGGCCTGCGGGGCCCTCTCTCACCCGGAACACATGCTCCCAGCCCAGTGCTGGTCCAAGCTGGTCAGAGGCTGCGGAGCTCAGACTCAGCGACACCTTCTCCAGGGAAGCAGTCTCAAACTCTAGGCCCAGGGGGCCTCACTGGCCCTCAGACAGTTTATTGCACACACAGCAGTTAAAAGAATGACAGAGAGGCAGGGAGAGAGGGAAGAGAGAAGAGACAAGGGGAAGAAGAGAGGGAGGGAAGATGCCACTTCTTTAAAATTAGAGACAGCACATAAAAACTGAGATTCTTAGTTTCTTTAGAAAAGTTAAGATTTGGGGCAACAGCAGGCTGGATTCGCTGCCTGGCAGCCATCGGCTGGAGTCAGGGAGGGGCCGTCCCTTGGGTCTTCGGATCACCAGAGGCCCCACCTGGCCGCCCTGGCATTCCAGCCCTGCCTGGCCCTGTATTCTCTGGGTTGGCCACGCCAGCCCAAGAAAAGCCTCTTCCTCTCTCCACACTGACACCACGGATCCCAGAAGAGGAAGCCACTGGCCCAGACGCTTTTCCTGGGCTCGGGCTCTTGGAAGTGGAGGGATCCCCTGGGTGAAATAGAAGCCCTGGCCTCTTGGGACTAAGTCAGACCCATACAGGAACCTGCCGGCCAAGGAGCCAGTGGACATTTCTAAGCTCTGCCACCAGAGGGCGGGGAAGGGCACAGGTGACGGCCGGGCACGGCTGCCCAGGAGCAAGCTGGGTCTGGGGTTCCTGGAGCCAGGCAGGGCGACTCCCGCCTGCACGGGCAGCTGGCCTGCACAAACACCCACGTCTCCACACACAAAAATTGCCTCCGTGATTTTTGTCTTTCTTTTTAGACAGATTCTCACTCTGTTGCCCAGGCTGGAGTGCAATGGTGTGATCTCTGCACTGCAACCTCTGCCTCCTGGGTTCAAGTGATTCTCCTGCCTCGGCCTCCACAGTAGCTGAGATTACAGGCCCCCACCACCATGCCCAGCTAATTTTTGTATTTTTAGCAGAGACGGGGTTTCATCGTGTCAGCCAGGCTGGTCTTGAACTCCTGACCTCGTGATCCACCCGCCTCGGCCTCCCAAAGTGCTAGGATTACAGGTGTGAGCCACCGTGCCCAGCTGATTTTTGTTTTTCATCATAATGAATTGAGAACAATTTGGTTCCTTAGAATTGCCGGAGGAGTCTACAATGGAACTCAGTTACTCAAAGCCTTGCAGGGCAAAGCACTGGGTGTGCGGTTCCCTCCCAGGCACAGGTTTCCCAAGCCTGGTGCTCCAGGTGGACAGCCAACCAGAGGCATCCACACCTCCTGGTGCAGAAGCCCCAGATCTGGGGCAACCTCCACGCCAGCATCCCTGCTAGAGGTAAGGCTCAGCTCAGGACAGCATGCACACATGCTTACTTGTCCTGCGGGTTCCCGAATTGGGGCTTTGCTGAGAGCTTTGCACAGCACAACCCACTGCATTCCCATTCCCAGTTTTTAGTTTCTTTTTTTTTTTTTTTTTTTTTGAGGCAGAGTCTTGCTCTGTTACCCAGGCTGCAGTACAGTGGTACATTCACGGCTCACTGCAGCCTCGAACTCCTAGGCTCAAGCAATCCTTCTGCTTTAGCTTCCCAAGTAGCAGGGACCACAGATGTGCATCAACCATGTCTGGTTAATTTTTTAATGTATTTTTATTTTTTGTAGAGATGTGGGTCTCACTACGTTGCCCGGGTTGGTCTCAAACTCCTGGCTTCAAGGGATTCTCCCGCCTCAGCCTCCCAAGGTACTGGGATCACAGGTGTGAGCCACCACACTGTTCCCATTTCCAGTTTTATCAATCACATCTTCATTCACTCAACAAATACTGAGCATCTACTACGCATCAGGACCTGATCTAGCAGAGCGAATGTAAAGCAAATGTGTCCCCTTTCTCTGCCTCAATGTCCTCATCTAAAAGATGGGGGATAAGAATGAAACCTACTTCACAGTGTTATCAAGAAGATGGGAGGACTTAACGCCTGTCACACGTGTAGAACAATCCCAGCCCAGAGTGGGTACTGCCACGAGATCCCTGCTGTGGCATTTCTATTTTTATTTCTCTTATTTCCTCACTTATCTCCTTATCCAGCCTTCTTGCCCCTGAGTTAATTCTCCACAACCATGAGACCAGGCAGGGTCTGGGTTTGTGGAAGGAGGGATGAGGATTTGGGGAAGCCCAACGGAAAGGGAAAATGTGGAGGGAAGTTTCTGCAGGGACAGCCACCTCTGTGCCTGTGCCCCTGGAGGGGGAAAATCAGGGTGTCTCCCCTGTGGTTCAAAGGCAAGCGTTGGCCCTTCCATCAGTCTAGAAAATAGAGGGTTAAATGTTGGCGAAAGAGAGAAACGGTGCCACTTTCAGAGGCCCACCTGTCAGGTCTGCTGGATGGGTCATAAATGAACATTCTGAGAGGGGTACGTGGGCAGGAGCAAATGAATAAAAGGCCACCTCTGATGAAAACACATCTGGCTAAGGAGTGGCTTTCAGAGTTCTGATGGGGAGGCACTTTCTGCCCATAAAATTCCGAATAACACACAGCCTCATTATGCGTGTCTTCTAGGTCTAAGTGTGAGGGGGTCCTACCAGCAACCCCTTTGAGCCAGCGAGAACCAAATACTTCGTGAGGGGCTGTTCCAGGGGCCATAGCCCAGCTCTCTGTGGGAGCACTGTGATCAAGAGGTAGCCTTCACCCCAAGTTCAGAGTAGGCAGCCGGCTTGGGAGATACAAGCCCTGTCCACCAGCAACTCATGGAGCAGACAGCACCCACGTCACTGGTGTATGACTCTCACTTGCGGCTGCGGCAAATCAGAGCCGCAGATCAAATGTCCTTCCCTAGTTATTTTTGATGGGTTGTGTTTTATGCAACAGAGGTTCAGTTAAGGACTTATACCCAAATTGAATTTCTGACATTTCCTCTTTAACTTTTTAACTTCAGAGATGGTTTCTCATTTCCTTACTCCCTGTTCTCCTCCAATGACTTAAAGGATGCTAAAATGGATCTTTAACGTATCCTGTATAAAGCAGAGTCATGATTTTATACATACTGCAGACAAAGCCCACGGGCTCAGGTCTCTTATAGCGGCCCTCACATCAGTTGAAAACGGAAACATTTTAGGGGCAAAAGGAAATGTGATCATCATGTGCCATGTATCAGGCTCTGTGCGAGGACTTGACGTTTATGTCTCGAATCTTTGCAATGATCCTATCAGGCTCTGTGCGAGGACTCGGCGTTTATGTCTCGAATCTTTGCAATGATCCTATCAGGCTCTGTGCGAGGACTCGGCGTTTATGTCTTAAATCTTTACAATGATCCTATCAGGCTCTGTGCGAGGACTCGGCGATTATGTCTCAAATATTTGCAATGATCCTATCAGGCTCTGTGCGAGGACTCGGCGATTATGTCTCAAATATTTGCAATGATCCTATGCAGCAGGTCTCCTTGCCTCCATTCCACAGATGGGAAGAGGGAGGCTGAGACCATAACCAAGTCTCCAGTCACACAGGATTTCAACACAGACCCATGTAAATTCCAAAGCCGAGCTCTTCTCATCACGCTGTTGCCATCCGAATCTGCAAAGGGGTATGACATCCCATAAAGTTCTCGAATATTTTGAGACAAAGGGACGAACACCAAGACAGGAGGCTGGACTTTGACAGACGTGAATGTGAAGATCACAGGTGGCCGTGAAGGCTTTAGGAGCCCGGAGAGGACCACGTCCTGCGTGGCAGAGGCCTTTGCAGGGACTCTATTTACATGGCATTTGGCATGAGGCTCATTATGTCTCAGTGTGCGCATCTTTGAAGGGAGGGTTGGTGGATACTTACTTGAAAGTAGAAGGTAAAGTCCCCTCACTAAGCCAGCCTTTAGTGCCCCACTGTGGGAGGTGGATTTGGAGCGGACAGAATATTCACTCACTGCATGAGGCCTGATGAAGTGGAACAAAAAGTTTCTAGAAATACATGTAAAAATCAGAACTGAACAAGACTGATCCAACCCTCTGACTTCCAGAAGCTTTAGTGGAGCCTAGGAATGGAGTCCCCAACACAGTGGCCTCACCAAAGGCCATAAAAGAGCCATCCGACCCACCATCACGGGCTTGCTTTGCTTTGAATCCTGGAAACTTTGCTGCCAGACCTTGAACATGAAAACAAAGATCCCTCCCCTAAATGGGGTTCTTAAAACCTCTTGACCCTTCTTCATCTGATAGAAACCAAATGGTACAACCCTGCCTGCCGTTGTCATCGAGGCTGGGGATGGCACAACTGCTGGAGGAGCCACCCCTCCAGAGCCCCTGCCCTGGGAGCTCCTACAACCCACGGTTTCTTCTGCAGGGAGGGTGCGCCCCCAGATCTTTTCCCATCCTGTGGCCCATGCTCACCACCTCCCAAACCAGTGACTTATTTGATCCACTTTACTCTCTAAATTGTCTCCTTTGTCTGTCAAGAAGGAGAAGGTCAGACTTCAGCTCCTCTAATGATTGACGACGGGTTGCCCACCTGACTCTTCCCTTGTCCCCTTTTCTGGAACCTGACCACCTCTTTTTGTTTTGTAGGATTTGTTTGTTTGTTTGTTTGGGTTTCTTTGGTGGTAGTGGAGCTGTTTGTTTTTGTTTTGTTTTTAAACTCTGCAGCTTAGCTAAAACGCACCCTTTGGCATTAGCCATAGGGCCACAGTAGGCCAGCTAAACAGATGCAGTTCTCTTAACAGTTTAAAAAGCGTCGTTATGTAGATAATCCATAACTATCCTGATATGGAAGGACTGCTCAGTAAGAGAGTGGCTACACTACGAGGATTCCTGGAAGCAGAGCAGAACTTTGCAAGCCGTTAAGTAAGCAAAATGGCTTAGCCTTTTCCCTCCCTGGGCTTCTGATTCCTTACTGCATTAATGGTGTCTTTATGGGAAAGTACTCGCCTGGAAAAACTCATTCAAGCAAGCTCCAGAAACACCGATGGTCCCCTGCCCTACAAAGACAAGGACTGGGGAAGGGGAAATAGAAACCCCCTGGGGGCGGAGAGAGAAATTCCGTTTGAACTTAGGAATGATAAGATGATTAGGACAACAGGGGGGCTTTGTGTCATTAATCTGACCTGCTTTATCTTGCCCTGAATCCCGGGACACCCAGGGATTCCCAGTCGGATGCCAGAGCCTGAGCACCATGGGAAACGGCTCAAGCATCCGTCCCTGAGGACAGGTCGACTCAGCACGGCTGCGAGCTCCTTAGCACCCGGAGCGTGTTTCCACGTGAAGTTGATTTCACTGCTTGTGGAAGTGAATTGGCCAACGGGCGGTTGGCCATTGCGAAAGCTGAAAATGCATCCACCCCTTGCCCACTTCTAAGTTCCTGCCCTAGAGGAATACACAGACATGCACGTATATACACAGAGCACAAATACACAGACATGTGTATATGCTCATACACACATGTACACAGGGGTGCACATGCGCACACACTGACACACATGCACAGGTGCACACACATACAGGCACACACCTAAACAACTGCATACACACACATGTATACACATGTACACACAGATGCACATGCATACAGACTCATACACATACATACAGATGCTCACGTGCACACACACAGACATGCATACACACAGATACACAGACGCACTCACAGATACATACAGACACAGAGACAGACCTGTACACACACACATACATACACACACACCCACATACACAGATTCACACACACAAATATGCACACATACACAGATACATATATGGTACACACAGCACAAACACACACATACTCAGATACACATACATACTCAGATATACATACCACATAACACTCAGAAACATAGACCAAGAGGATCACTCTTTTATGTGTTTTAGCAGAAAATTAGAATATCTGTTCTTCTGTCAATAGGAGAAAGGTTAAAACATGTATTTATTTATGTAAAAGAATACCACGGAGAGTTGAAAGGAAGACTCTAGAAACAAGAATGGTGACATTCTTATTACTGAATCATTATTATTAAAGCTGGAGGTTGGGTGCATAGGAATAGGATCCTCTCTTTTTATAGATGTTTGAAAATTTCCCATCATAAAAAAACAATAAAAAGAACGACCTAGAGCTGTGCTACCATCCAACACTGAGCCATTAGCCACATGTGGTTATTGATATTAAAATTAACTAAAATTAAAAATTCAGTTCTTTGGTCACACTCGCCATGGTTCAAGTGCTCAGGGGACATTCCCATTATTGCAGAAGTTCTATCAGTCAGCGCTATCTCGATCTTTGATGTCTGGGATCTTAAAAATACCTTGTGTTTTTATCACAAAGGAAATAATATTCCTACAGTGGCAGTCTGTGCAGTACGTCAGTATGATAGCATTTATATAACTTTTTAAAACTCAGGGAAAAAAATGCATTTTTCTGTGAGCACAAAGCTGTATGTACACAATACGTGAAGGGTCCGGGAGCTCGTGCCAAGCTCAGAACAATGGCTTCTTTCGCCTAAGGAGAGGCTGAAATATTACAGAGCGGCAGTGGGTGGCTGAGCCATGGGGAATCAGCTTCGCCATTAAAGTATGAATGTATTATTTGTGTACCTAAAAAAAAAAAAAAGCGAATAACAAAACCAAAAATGGACATCCCTGGGGGAGGAGTGTTGCGAAGGGTCTTCAACGGGACAAAGAGAAGGAGGTGAGAGGGCAGAGTGTATCCGAGACGGTTTCCCCTTTGCGGGGTTGTCTTCCTCTTAAAAGCAAACTCCCCTTTTCCTCTTAAGAGGTTGCTAGACTGCCCACCGCTTTTCATTGCTGACAAAAAGCAAGGGAAGCTTCCGAGAAGTGCTTCTCTTTGAGCCACTGAAGTTTGTGTCTTGCCACTGGCACTCTTTCAAGCCGCCAGATGCCGTCCCCCTCAAAGCTGCTCTTTGTGGAGGGTATTAAACCCCGGCCAGCCTCCCAGCTGGGACAGCTCCCTCTACTCTGCTGCAGCCCAGTGACTGTGCCTTCCGATGGCATCTTCAGAGCAGCGATTCCCGCAGGAGACCCTAGGAGCCACTCCCTAGGAAGGACTGAGCAGGCTTCCTCTCTCACGTCCATAGGTTTGCTGGTCGGTTATATTATTATTAAGCCCTTTCAAAAGAGCAGCCACAACTAGCTAAACTGAGTCCTCTGTAAACACTCAGATTCGATTCTAGAAAGCCGCTTCTCCCTGAAGACCGGCTCCCAGGGTTGCCACGTGTGTTCGGCATGGACAACTTTAGTTTCCCAGGAGAGGCTGTGGGAAATGAATGGGACAAGCTTCACTCTCCTACTCTGCTCCACCAGATGGATTCACAGTCAAGCCCCATCATTTGTGGGATTCTGTATTTGCAAATCCACCTACTAGCTAAAGTCCATCAGTGCCCCTGGTACTTTCACGGGCATTCCCCCAATAAGGCGGTGCAGAGACAGTTTTGAGTGGCTCAAAGCACGTTCCTACCTGAGGTCAAATATGCCCGCGTTGTACTGTCCTGCTTCAGCCACGATACTACATATAAGCAAGTGGCCTTTCTGCGGTCCTTGTAATTTCATGTTTTTGGTCTTCTGTGCTTTCTTTTGGCGATTTTGCTGTTTCAAACATCCCCTAAGTGTAGGAATAAAGCACTGTCTAGTGTTCCTAAGTGCAAGAAGGCGGCACTGTGCTTTACAGAGACAACACCTGCATTCAATCAGCTTCCTTCAGGCATGAGTTACGGTGCAGTTGGCCATGAGTTCAATGTGAATGAGTCAACAATATGTATCTAATCAGGTGTCTTTAGACAGAAAAATGCATATAATCAGGTTATGCATTAATCCATTGATGAATATGTTATGACCAGAGGCTTGTAGGGACCTAGCTCTGTACTTCCCTTAAAACACTCTTTTTTTTAAAGAGATGGGGTCTTGCTGTGTTGCCCAGGCAGGTTTGCAAGTCCTAGACTCAAAGCCATCCTCTTGCCTCAGCCTCCCAAAATACCAGGATCACAGGTGTGAGCCACCATGCCTGGCTTATATTTCCTTTAGAGCAATGATTCAGTATTTGCTAATTTAGTGTTTATGGAGACTTTATAGAAGATACCTACCGTGAATAATGAAAATGGATTGTACTTCCCTCCAATTTCTCTGTCTTAGAAAAGATGGGATGCTCAAATAATACATCTTGCTCCCTTATTATTTAACATCCTGTTGCATATTTCTTGCTGTGACTCAGTGGCATCCAAGGCATTACAGGTCTGGTACAGAAGAAGTAATTCAGGAAATGGGAGGCGGAAGGGCAGGCACTGGCATTTACACAAGATCTCCTACTACATGGATTCTCTGATTTATTTCTCACAAACATCTGGCCACATGCCCTAGGGCATCTCCAACACTATTCATTCCTTCAACACACAGCTCTTGCTCACCTACTATGAGCCTGAGCCAGAACAATAGACAGAATAGACAAACCATCTTTCTGAAGCTTCCTTTCTGTGTAGTAAAATAAGGACAGGAGTGCATGTTGTTTTAATACGGTGATCAGAGAAGATCTTACAGAAAAGATGACTTGTGAGCAGAAGCTTTGAGGAAAGGAGATTTTACAGATAAGGAAACTGAGGCATGGAGAGATTAAGCTCTTGCTGAAAGTTCTTTGGCTCTTCAGTGGCAGAACTGTGACAAGTGCTTGATCGGCTAGTGTCTCTATCTCCACCCATACTCACGGACTATCCCCAGCTCATAGCACAGGGTGAGGTCTTAGCAAACTATTACTGAACAGAACTCTGTACTCTGACCACAGAAGAGTATGTTTCTCCTCTTGGGTTTAAAGTGGGTTGAATGCTGGTCGCTAAAAGCATATGTCCATGCCCAAGCCCCAGAACATGCAAATGTGGCGTTATTTCCTTGGGAAAGGGGTCTTTACAGATGTAATTAAGGAAGAGATCTTGAGATGAGAGCATTCTGGATTTGGAATGGACTCTTAATCCAATGACAGGTGTCCTTTTCCAGAGGAAGAAAAGATGCAGGAAGAGGAGGAGGTCATGTGAAGATGGAGGCAGAGACTGGAGCAATGCAACCACCAGCCAAAACACCTGGAGCCACCTGAAGATGGGAGAGGCAAGGAAGGGTCCTTCCCTAGCGCCTCTGGAGTGGGTGCAGCTCAGATTTGTTGCCTCTAGAACTGACAGGAATTAAATCCCTGTTGTCTTAAGTCATGCAGTTTGTTGCCATTTGTTATAGCAGTCCCAGGCAACTGGAATAGGTTGTAAAAAGCCTAGCTGAGACAAACCAGGCAGAATCCTCCAAACTGTGTGGGCTGATTGACCAAAACAACATGGGGGAGACAGAGGAGGCAGCTGCTCAGCTAATCTGCACCAACATTACCCAGGAAATCAATATCTTTTTCTCACCAACAACCTACCATGTGACCCCTATCTTTCCTTTCACTGACCAACCATAACCCAACCCCATCTGATGGCATGGTCCATGCATGGTAGGGGATGCAGGGCTGCGATGAACAACCAATCCATCATGGCATCCTCATGTATCAGTCTGTTCTCACGCTGCTAATAAAGACAAACCAAAGACTGGGCCATTTACAAAGAAAAGAGGTTGAATGGACTCACAGTTCCATATGGCTGAGGAGGCCTCACAATCATGGCCGAAGGTGAAAGAGGAGCAAAGGCATGTCTTACATGGTGACAGGCAGGAGAAATGCAAGCAAAAGGGGGAAAAGCTCCTTATAAAATCATCAGATCTCAAGAAAACTCACTATCACAAGAACAGCAGCATGGGGGTAACCACCCTCATGATTCAATTACTTCTCCCTGGGCACTGGGTCCCTCCCACGATACGTGGGATTATGAGAACTATAATTCAAGATGAGATTTGGGTGGGGACACCGACAAACCGTATCACCTCAACCTTCTTGCTGTCCCGAGCAGAGGAGAGCCCCGTCATCTTTTGTGCCTAGTGAACTGTGAATTGACCGTCACCCTACTCACTGGGCATGGAGGAATACGCATTACTATGACAGCTCCTTCCACCAGCAAGGCTCACGTGCGGAGAAAGACACTGTAAAAGTGCCAATTAGTGCTTTGATGTAGGCGTTCCTGAAATTGTGCTCTCCTGTCGAAATCTGTGAGTGGCATCGAATGCATTTGCTCTAGGAAATTTTGATCTCCTCACTGGGTAGTGAAGGTGCAAATGAATAGAGGTACTTAATTTTTTTAAAAAAATCTGCTCTTGGCCAGGCGTGGTGGCTCACGCCTGTAATCCCAGCACTTTGGGAGGCCGAGGCGGGCGGATCATGAAGTCAGGAGATCGAGACCATCCTGGCTAACATGGTCAAACCCCGTCTCTACTAAAAAATACAAAAAAATTAGCCGGGCATGGTGGCAGGCTCCTGTAGTCCCAGCTACTCGGGAGGCTAAGGCAGGAGAATGGCGTGAACCGGGGAGGCGGAGCTTGCAGTGAGCCGAGATTGCGCCACTGCACTCCAGCCTGGGCGACAGAGCGAGACTCCATGTCAAAAAAAAAAAAACAAAAAAAAACTGCTCTATTTTTGCACCTCCAAGTGATCTTCTAAAACGGGCACAGTAACAACCCTAACACGCTGGTGAGGCAGCTTGGGTTCCTGGCTCCGTGCTCCAGGCATTGTCACGTAGCAGGACCGATTCTGGATCTCACACCAGCACAAATAACTTGTCCATGGAAATGACGAGGGCAGAGATACAGAGTTGGAAACATCAGAACCTGCAGTTCCCCTCAAAACTCGGCCAGCCCTGGGGAAGGAGCCCACACTGCTCTTCAGAAAATCTGATGTCAGAGCAATGTTGACGAGTCCGCAGATCTACAAGTCGACTATTCACCAACCCAAATCACACCATGTGTTTTCCTACTTTAAGACCTAACAATGAGGAGCTGGGCAGCGGAGAGGACGGGGATGGTTTACAAACATGCTGGGGTGTGTCCCACGGTTTGAAATATTTTCATCACCATCAGGACACACACCTATATACACATATATGAATTCATCTCACCAAAATAAAAGTCTCATTACACAGCACTGTTTTCTCTTCTACTCTGATACTTCCTGTTGTATTCACTTCCATTTCATTCCATGCTAGTCTGACTCTTAAATACCTGCTGAATTTGTCTCATCTCCTTCTAATGGGTCATTACCTACAATGGGAAAAACACCACCTGACAGTGGTGCAATAGAATCCCAACCTACGTGGTAGGCAGGTTCTGTAGTGAGCCCGCTGAGGCAAAAACAGAGTCAAAAGTATCTATAGAAAAAGATTCTCGGGCCAGGCACAGTGGCTCATGCCTATAATCCCAACCCTTTGGGAGGCCAAGGCAGGCAGATCACGAGGTCAGGAGTTCAAGACCAGCCTGACCAACATAATGAAACCCTGTCACTACTAAAAATACAAAAATTAACTGGGCGTGGTGCTGCATGCCTGTAATCCCAGCTACTTGGGAGTCTGAGGCAGGAGAATCGCTTGAACCTGGAAGGCAGAGGTTGCAGTGAGCTGAGATCACACCACTGCACTCCAGCCTGGGCGACAAAGCAAGACTCCATCTCAAAAAAAAAAAAAATCAAGAAAGCACATGGTAAAGGATGACATAAAAATCTCTTAGTTCAGTGAGTCCAGCATCTCCCTGAAGGGGAGTCCAGTTTCTCCCTCCAGCATCAGAGAGATGGATGTTTCCAGAGCTGGATGTCAGCAGTCACTGGCCTGCTTTGGGGGTCCACGCCATAGCAGCAATGCTTATCTTCCCACAGTAAACCCACTCTATGAAAAGCTCAGGAGAACAGAGACCTGTGAGGAAAAACAGGTTTACATCCCATGCCCACTTCGGGGCACACACCTATGAGCGGAATGGCAAGGAGACTGCTTCTTCTTTTAAGTTTTCTGTTCCTAAATACAAAGTGAGATGCATACCCTTTACTAGACCTGTTCATCTGTAAAATAACATTCATTCATGTAACAACACTCTTTAGCTTTCAAAATTCCAAGAGGCTCGAAATAATCTCATATTTGGATCCATCTTTTAAATGTCATCACATGTTGGCATCCACATCTTGAAACCCCTAGAACTTAAGGGGTTTGCTTCATGCTTCAAGTTCATGAGTTTTTCAGTTGCTTATTTTCTCTTTTGTAGTAATAAATATATCATGATTCTCTTGATATCTAAAGTTGACACTTTATAACAAGAGATGTCCCGAAGGCCTTTTTTTAAACCTATCAAACCCTTGAGTGAATAATCAAAGAAATTTCACTCTCAGACAAGTAGGAAAGTTTCAGATTTCTATGACAACATCCAAGAACAAATTCGATCAGCAGTTTCAAAATTTGGACCCTGAGACCTTCATAAATCAGAAGAAGAAAAATAATCTCTCCAATGCACCTGGTTACTTTAAGCCCAGGAAATAATTAGGGCAGGCTACTGCAGTATTTCTTTGGTTTACTTCCTTCTAAAAATCCTTAACTGATGATTTCAAACATTCTTAGTGATTACAGCTTCCTGATGATTAACAGCTGCAAAGTCATCACTATCTCTGTAAGCCTCCTCCAAAGGGGAAAACGGGAAAGCAGAACAAACCCATAGCAAAGCCCCGCTTGAAACTCTGAAGCTTCCCACCGCAGGCAGCCTCAAACGCAAGGTGCTTCCCATGGGCTCCGACATCCCGCATGAGCTGGCCTTGCCTAGGTATGCAAAGTCACCTTCTAAATCTGCCCTGCTACTGACACTCCAGACCCAGTGGCCACCCTGGATATGCCACCCTCGCTCTTGCCTCAAATCCATCACCTTTGCATCCGTCTCTTTTCCCTGGAACATACCATCCCCAACTCCCAACACACACACTTCTTCAAGTGCCTCATTCCCACACTTCCCTTGGGTTTCATGCCTTAGGGAGTATAGTGTTGAATTATGTCCCTCAAAGAGCTGTGTCCAAGTGCTAAACTCCTGGCACTTATGAATTGATCTTATTTGGAAACAGGGTCTTTGCAGATGTAATTAGTTCAGGAACACGAGATGAAATCATCTTGGATTTAGGGTGGGCCCTAAATCTAATGGCTTGTTTCCTTATAAAAAGAAAGGAGAGGGATATTTGAGATGCACAGACACAGAGGAGAGACACGGAGGGAAACTTCATCTGAAGGAGGTGGCAGAGAAGGGAGAGATGCAGCCACAAGCTAAGAAAGACCAGGTGCTGCCTGGAGCCACCAGAAGCCGGGAGATTCCCCCACAGCCTCTAGGAAGAAGCCACCCTGCCAACACCTGGATTTCAGATTTCTGGCCTCCAGAAATGTCTTTTGTTTCATGCCACCCAGTGCGGGGTCATTGTCACGGCATCCCTAGAAGCTGACAGAGGAGCCCTCCCGTGGCCTTCCTGTGACAACAGCTCCCGCCCACCCCGGTCACACTGTCCCCAGTGCTTTTCAACCAGGACAGCCTGGTTGCTTTTCAACCAGCCATCCCACAGGGGACATTTGGTAAGATCTAAGGGCATCTTTGGTGGCAACTCTGGGGAGATGCTACTGGCATCTGTGGCTAGGGGCCACGGACGCTGCTGAACATTGCATAGTACACAGGATACCCCCCACCCCACCCACCCATCAAAGAAGAATCTGGCCAAGAGCGAATGGTGCTGAGGCTGGGAATGGTTTTCATCCCCTGCTGTCTTTTATTTCTGTCTCTATCCTGCAGCATTTTTTTTTTTTTTTTTTTTGAGACAGACGGAGTTTGTCGCCCAGGCTGGAGTGCAGTGGCGCAATCTCGGCTCACTGCAACCTCCACCCTCCAGGTTCAAACCGATTCTCCTTCCTCAGCCTCCTAAGTAGCTGGGATCACAGGCACCTGCCACCGCACGTGGCTAATTTTTGTATTTTTAGTAGAGATGGGGTTTCACTGTCTTGGCCAGGCTGGCCTTATCTCTGCACTGTGGGTGTTGTATGGTCATTTGTCTTGGGCTCCTGTGTGTCTTACCCTCCTGGCCAGGAGGACAGGGACTGTGTCTTACTCCACAGGGTGCCCAGAGCCTAACACAGCACTTGGCATAAAGGTGCAAAAGACACCAAGTGGAAGAGCCAGTAGCTGTCAGGCGCCAAATAGCCAAACCCACCCACTGCCTGGCACACGTCTGCAAATGGCAGGTGCTGGCTCTCCTTCCCACACCCCTCTGCAGAGTGCTCACTGTGCCCGAGAACTTCATTGACTTGTAGTCACTCCAGGGGCACCGGAAAGCCTGAGTCTGAGGGGTGCCAGCAGCAATGGCTCCGCCCAGACAACAAAGCGCAAACCCCAAGAGCTCATCTTGACACCTCTTCTTCCCTCACACCAGTAATCAGTCAGTTCTGAAACCTGACTTCTTCCATATACAACACACACTCCACCATGGAGGGTCCTAGTTTCAGTCCCGTTGTTTTTCGCATAAACTATGCAATAGTCTCCCGGATGTCCCCCAACCTCTGTGTGTGTCACCGTTATCATTCCCACATGCTGAGCCCCTCCCCACCCGGGCCAGTCATCATCCACAGTGCCCCACCTGCATTTCCTCATCGTGTCTTACACAGCATGGAGCAGGGACTCTTATTATCCCCATTCAATAGAGGAGAAAGTTAAAGCACAGAGGTTACATGAGAGACACAGGATCTTAAGCCAGGGTCCAGGCTGGGTGGCCCATGTCTTAAATCCCACTACTCGCCTGACTGAAGCCAGGGGATGCAGGCAGCTGCTGCAGGAATGGAATCTAAGCTGAAGTGCAGCACGCAAGGCCATCTCTGGCCTTGCCCCTGCATCTCCCTGATGCTCGTGTTAGGATGTTTTCACAGTGAACTGCTTGAGCTTCCTCCAAAACCCTGAACAAATTCAGACCTACCGGTGTTCACTCATGCCTCTATCTGCTGAGTGCTTCCTACCTCCTTCCCCATCCCCCAAAGGAATCCTTTCGTATCCTCTAAGATCTGGCTTAGCAGTCAACAACATGAGATCTTCCTGGATCACCCAGTGGTGCCTGGTGCTGACCTTCTGTGCCCCACGGTCCACTGAACATCCCACTACGCTACGCATGGGAGAGGTGAGCCACCAACGAGGAATTGGTCCCAATCATCACCTTTCCTTTGGCAAACATTACTAGCTCTTACCCAATATTCATTCTCTCTTTCTCCCCTGCAAAGTGAACTTGGTTTTGTTGAATTCAGCAAGGCAATGATAATTGGCCTGTCAGCCAGGAATCCCATTCCCTCTGAACACTTTCTCTCTTTCTCAGGCTACCTTGAAGGTAGAGGCAATCCAATTCTGGCCAATTACAATTAGGGGGATATCTGTTTTGGTGGAAAGCTTTTCCTTCCTTGACAAGAAAGGACAGAGAGGACCAGCTCCACTCCTTCCTTTCTTGACCAAGAGTATGATGCCTGAAGAGGTAGAAATGATTTTTTGATCCTGTGGGAAGAGGACAAAACAGCTGAGTTAAACCAAGCAGAGAGATAGAAAGAATGTGGGTTCCTGAGGACGTTGTTGAGCCCTGCCTGAGTTCCTCCTCCGATAGCTTGTGCTGTTAAAGGCAATTATATGTGTTTATTGCATGACACACCATTACTTGTCTCCAAAAGCAGTCCTGACTGGTCTAATATCCTTTGTAATGGGCAAAAAGCACATGCTCTTTGAACTGAAATCCAGCACTGGATGCTTCTGAATGTGTCATATCAGCCCCTATAAAATTGCTGCTAATGAATTCCACTATGGAGTGGCTCAACAGAGAAATTCAGCACCTACTTGGTTTTAAACGTACAAACTCCAGGTTTCTAGAACGTAAGCATGTTTCCCTCTCACTCTGGTTACGATAAAGCCTAGAATTTGGCTGTCATCAATCTCGGGGGTTGTATACAAGTCCTCAGGTTCAGCTTTCTGTTTACAAAGCTTTCTTTCAGTTCCAACTTCTCTCTCAGCCCACATTTCCCCTTGGCCTCATTTTTCTTGTGTTAACTTACTTAATCTAGGAATATATCTTGTCAGCATCTTGATAAGTCTTCTTTTTGGAACTAGACAGGATATGAGTAATTAATAAGCATTCAAATGCTTATTGTGCAAAGTAGTGGTAAAGACATCCCCAATTTAGCTAAGAAAGACCACTTCTATATATTATATCCAGCTTTGTCACTGGAAAACGTAGCTTTTGTTCTCTCTCTTACGTTTATTTCATCTTGTGCTTTCAGTCACTCTGTCTGTCTCTGTCTTTCTCTGTCCATGTCACTCTAGGGTATGATTTATAATTTGTAGATGTAAGTCAGAATACTTCCAGTTACATGAGGCAGAAAACCTCACTGAAACTAACTCACAGATGCGCACACACACAGACACACGCACATAATTTTAAAGGTAAGGATCTTGTGGTAGCTGTTGTAAAAAGCTAAGATTCAGCAATGGCTAACTCCACGGACTCAATGTCATAGGACTTGGTTTCTCTCCATCTCTCAGACTGACTTACTCCATTCTCAGACAGGACCTCCCTTCATGGGGGCAAGATGGCAGCCAGCAATTGAGAGAAGCAAAGTTTATTAGTGGTTGCCTGGACTGAGGATGGCACTGAAGATTAACTCTAAAGAGGCATAAGAGATCTTATTGGGGTGATGCAGATCGTAAGACTGAAGTCATGGTGATGACTGCACAACTCTGCAAAGTGACTAAATGTCACTGAATTGTACACTTAATGGGTGAATTTTACAGTACATAAATCATACTTCAATAAAGTTGTTTACATGACAAAAAGAGGCTGGGTGCAGTGGCTCATGTCTGTAATCCTGGTGCTTTGGGAGGCTGAGAAGTGAGGATAACCTGAGGCCAAGAGTTTGAGACCAACCTGGGCAACACAGCAAGACCCTGTCTCTATAAAAAAATTTTAAAAATATGTTAGCACAGCATGGTGACATGTGCCTTTAGTTTCAGCTACTCAGGAGGTTGAGACAGGAGGATTGCTTGGGCCCAGGAGGTTGAGTCTGCAGTGAGCTGCGATTGTGCCACTGCATTCCAGCCTAGGCAACAGTAAGGCCTAGTCTCAAAAATGAATAAATACATACATACACATATACATACATAAATAACAACAACAACAAAAAGATGACTTCCAGCAGTTGGAAGCCTCAACATTTCCAATGCAAAGAGTATGCTTCTCCCTCAACAGAGCCAACAGAAGCCCCAAGATGAGTCTGTTGGCTCTGATTGGTCTGATTTATGTTACATGCCCATCTTGGAACCAATCACTTTGGTGAGGAAGATGGATGCTTTGATTGGACAGGCGTGGGTCATATGCCTTCCTGGAGCCAAGATGGAAGTCAGTTGCACTTGACTTACATTGACAGAGAATTAAAAAGAAATAATTCCCCCAGAAAAATCCATGTGCTGCTATGAGAAAAAGGGAAAATAGATTTTAAGTAGGTCAGGCAACACTATCCACACACCAATGCACCTTCTGTTCACATGAGAACACAATCCTTGGCCCCCAGAAACCCCTTCCCTTTAAATCCCATCCTACTATGTTAGGATGTTAGATGCGGCTAACATCCCATCCATGTTAGACGAGGCTCCTGTGCATGCTGGTTAGACCTGCGATGATTCTAGAGCCAGGCACCTGGATTGAAAGCCCTGCTTCACCACTTCTATCGGCACAAGGGCAGTAATAAGACTTACCTCAAAGGGTGGTTCTGAGAATTAAATGAGTTAGTATATGAGTCCTTAGAACAATGTCTGGGGCATAGTGAGCTCCTCAGGGGTAGCTGCTATTATTCTGGTGCCGTGCAGGATAAGTTGAATTCTATGAATAAATGGGAAACTGTTTGCCAGTTTTAGGAGCTGTGCTGGAAATTCTTCACTGAGCCTCCCCACTCCACCTCGATCCACACTGCCTTTCTCTGAGCCTTGGGAAGATGACTCTTACAGATGCACCATCTGCACTCCCTCTCACACTGGCTTAGAGTCAAGTTAGGAGATCAGAAGGTTGGAGGAGAGAGGTCAGGGTGCCTTTCCAAGTTCCCCCTTTTCTTGGTGCTGTGCCTCTGGTGGTGGCCACTTCCCTCTGCATCTCTACCTCCGTCCTGCTTGACCCCTTTCCTGAGGCCCCACTCTCACTGGGCTCTAGAAACACTACTCTCCTTGCCTCTTCACCTTTGCTTTGCTGCTGGTCCCTGGGTACCTTGAAACGTCTTGTTTGTTCCTTTAACCCTGCCAATGACTCAGTCAATAGATCCTTCAATTGACCACCCTGGGTAAATTCTGTTTCTTGCTAGGATGTTGTCCCATACAGGAACATTTTCTGGTTATGCTTATGCTATGTTAAGGCATCTTTAGGTCACCTGCAATAGTCTAACACACCTATGACTGTTGCTCAGAGGAAACCAGGCAGCCCCGTGCATGTACCAGATTCTTACTGCAGGAAGGTGTGGATCTCCCTGCACACCTGAGCCCTAAGACTGGCAGGGGGCTTGCTGGCCAGGGCATCTGCCCATCTAAGCTCAGGCCCCCAGGAAGTCAACAGTGGATTTGTTCCATGAAATGGTGTACGATAAGCAGGTGCAGAGGACTCTGGCAGATATGGAAAGGCAGAAAAATTTAGTGCAAAAAGGGAAGACTTTCAAGAAATGCAAGATCCATCAGCAATAAACAAGGGCCTAGAGCCCAACTCTTGCTTTTAAACCCATACTAATGTTTGGGATGGATTTCTAGCCAGGGAAACGCTGTGGCAGATATATCATGATGCATATACTAATTTAGGCTCATATATGAGGGTCTCCAAAATAGGAACAAATGAGGAACCAAAACGTGTGCACAACAGGACTGAAGCTTCCATGGCAGCACGCCTCGATGAAACAAGCCACAGCTTCAAGGCGTTGTCAGTGGCAGCCTTAGGTTTTGGGTGAGAACAACCACTGAACAGGACACATGTCCATCCCAAGGCTGAAACTTGAGAAGAAAAACCATGACCCAGGCAATCATTTTGAGTGATAACTGTGGAGTCTTTTATTCAAATGAATTGGAAGTAATGATGGGTTACAATGCCTGGGTCTTTACTCTCTGCCAAATGCCTGTGTTACCTCCTGCTGTACCCAGTTAAACAGCCCTAGTTAAGCATGAATGCTGAAGCATGAATCATCTGCATCACCAAAACAAGATATGCAACCTGTAAAGCCTCAGTTTTCTCAGCTGTAAAATGGGAATGATCACAGAACTTCCTCTGATTTGGCATCAATGTTTTCATAGTAAACATTGTATCGATGTTTTCATAGTGAACATTGTATTAATGTTTACTAATAAAATGAGTTTTTAATAATAAAATGAGTTTCTAAAAAAACATTGTATTGAGTTTAATGCTCAGTCCAATAGTATTAAACTCATCATTTTAAGTATCAATGAGATAATCTGTGTAAAGTGAATGAGATAATCTGTGTAAAGTGCTTAAGACAGTGTCTGGAATTTAAGAAGGCTTAATAAACAAGAGTTACCAGCAACTTCATTATCACCATCCTCATCTCATTATCATATTTGTCACTGTCATAAAAAGTAAATGCCTTACTAGACTTACCAGTATTCCAATAAGTAAAATCAGCAAATAACCACCATCCACTCACACCTTCTCAGGACACTGAAATGCCCCCATAGAACCTGGAGGGAACAGGAGCTTGCAAAGCACATCCCTGGAGTATTTTTCTAAGTCATCCCTAGTGATCTCAGGGAATTCTCTAGAGTCTCAGGGGCGAGTTCAGTTCCCCAAAGCCTCTCTTCGTGCCTTTGGTGTGCCTTCCTCTAAGCTGCTGCACCAACCTTGAGAAAGGACTCCCTGACTCTCAGTCTCCCGCTTTGTGGAATGGGCTGGCAGTGCTTGTCTTGGATGTGAGATAAAAAACATAAAACAGTTACCTAAAAACAGTGAGCAGAAAACATGCTCTGTATTTCATACCTTGTGGAGAGACAAGATGCTTTCCAACCAATGGATGTTCCTCCAAGGCCAGAAGTGAAATTTCTTCTTCAAGGGCATCTGGGCATACCTTACACCTTCATGCCCACCCTCCTTTGCTAAATCAAGGATGGTCATCATTGTAATAACAGCAAACATTTCCAGAGTGATGACTATGTGTCAGGAACCGGAGCGATTAATTAACCCTTTCACTAAGCCCAGGAGGACCTTCTTATCATCTTCGCTACTTTAGGAAGGGAGAAACGAAGACCCAGAAAGTTTAAGTAGGTAAAGTGCCCAAGATTGACTGGACCTTTTCGGAGCTAGACTGGATTCAAGCATGTTTGTTTGGTCCCAGAGGTGGCAGTCATAACCACTGCGCTACCTTGCTTCAAATCTGGCTTCCCTGACACTCAAACCAAATGGACGTTGCTTCCGGCTGTAAAGCAGAGCAGCGGGGACAAATTAGTCCTGAGCTGCAAGCTGCTATGCAGACTGTGGCCTTCATAAAAGCTCCTAGCTAGTGGGGATGAACTATGCCCCATGTCCATTTGCCAAGTGGGGCACCCTGGCTGGTGGCTAGATCTTCCTGGAAGATGGGGTATTGTCTCCTTCTTGGTCTGCGCAGAAGCATCAGCTTTTTCTAATTCACGCAAAGTTGCCATGTATAAAGCCAGAGCTCTGATAATGTCCTTTATTATCTGACCTCTTTCATCTCCAAAGTCCGGCTGACAGCAGTTAGCACGGTCTAGACCAGCCGCCACTGTCTAATAGAAATAGAATGCAAGCCTCAAATATGGGCTAAATATAATAGTATATTTCCTAGTAACCACATTACAGAGGAAAACAGAAGCAGAAGAAATTAATTTTAATAACATTTTATTAAACCAAATAAAACAAAAATATTATCATTTGAACATGTAATCACTATGTAAATTATTCATGTGATTTTTTTTTTTTACTTTTTTTCATACTATGCTTTCAAAATCTGGTATTTCATACTTACAGCTCATCGCAGTTTGGACTAGCCTCATTTCAAGGGTTCACAAGTACACTTGGCTACTGCACTGGACAGGGAAGGTCTAGAATCACTGGGAAATGGCCACTCCAGTGGACTCCTGGTCTCTGTGCGCTTGCTAGGGGCAGTGCCAGAGCCCTTGGACTGTGCCAGGGAATCATTAACCCAAACTGGAGCCCATCAGATGGGACTGTTGACTATGCACACCTCACTATTGTTTTCCAACCCTCTGGGGTGGAGAGTAGCATTGTCACCTAGGTGAAGCTGCCAAAAACACCTCACCAGAAAAGCTATTTTTCTCTCCTGAAGGTGACCATTTTGCATAATGAGCACAGAACACAGAGCTCAAGTATTTAGCATCTGGAAGAAATGTGACTTCAGGACTGTGCTTCAAGAACAGACACATCTCTGGACGTGTTCTGGAAACTGATCAACCTCTTATCAAAACCCCTAGTGATCCAGACCTGGCCTTCCCCTCCAAGCTCCTGCCTTGAACAACTTCCTTTCCTTCCCTAAGCCCCTGTCACAATGGCTGCCTTTCCTTCTGGTCCAGGGCTTCATTTTCACCTACCTCAGGGCCTTTGCATGTTCTAGTTTCACATTCTAGAATGCTCTTCCCAAGTCTGGTTCCATCTTTTCATTCTGGCCCCAGCTCAGTCATCACCTCTGCAGAAAGCCCTTCAAGAATATCAAAGCCAAGTTCTTCCCCAGGTCCTCACTCCCATGTCACCCATGTGACTTACTTCTGCACACATTTCTGAATTCACGTGATTGCTTAAGCACTTGCTTATTTTTGGCCTCTGTCCACAGGAATGTCATGTAGGACCCTGTCTTTCCGACTCAGGACTCTCTTTCCCTAGTATGTAACTCTGCACGCAGCACATAAGACGTACTTAATACATGCATATTAATTAAGTAAATAAAGCTGGAAGGGGTCTTACAACACTTCCAGTGCCATCCCCAAATTTCATAGATGAGGCTTCTGAAACTCAGAAGGAGGAACTGGCTTGACCACTCAAGGGCACCAAAAGGGTTCTCCCACTATCTTCCCTGCTGCCTGTGTGAGGCTGGGGCACGTTTCCATCTCACAAGCCTCAAACTTACTGAACAGGGTGGGAGACAAGGGCCATTTCCATGCCCTGTTTCCTGAGAGGTCAGATGGCCACCGGAGATCCAGAGAACCATCAAAGAGTTCTGTGATCCGGGGCTATAAGAAGCCGCGTCCAGCTGAGGAGCCAGAAGGTCATTAAGGGTGGCTGCATGCTCTGGTGATGCATTGTTTTAAACCCCATTCTGCAGGAGCAGCTAAGGAAAGTCAGCAAGTTCGCACTGTGCAGTTGTCCACGCTGGGGGGAAATGGCACTAACAGTCTGAATCCAACAGTCTGAACAGTTCCCTCAAAGGCTAGAAAACCGGGTAGGGGACAGGGGAGGTAAAAAAGGAAAAGCAGACAGCATAGAGGTCTGGAGTCTGTCGCTGGGAGGAGAGCCGCGGGCGACACAGGCAGCGACGCACAGCACCTTCTCCCTTCCCGGCCCTGGGCTGGAGGCCGAGCAGGCGCCTCATCCTTGCAACACACATCTTGTCTGTGTGAGCCCCGCAAAGGGAAGTGCATTCACAGCGCCTTCCGAAACACCATCTCGGCAACAAAGCGGGCAATGTGTTTAATCACGGCCCGCGGATCCAGCTGAGTTTACAGCAGTGGGTGGCTTTCAAACCTAACATTGGATCAAAATGAAAAAGTGGCCCTTCCTTTCACCCCGTGACAAGCCTGCGCGTATAAATCACAGCCTTCCCGGGGAGGGCTCCTCGGCACACAATCAACGGGGCAGCCTGGCCACCTCCATCCCCATCTGGACAAAGGGGGCTGGGAGTTTTCAAGGGGCCCAGGAGTTTTTAAAGGCCCCTTGTAAAAATGAAACTCAGACACTATTCGGAGCACAACTGTGGGGGCAGGGAGAGGAGCCATCCTCGGAGATTTGCATTTTATTTGGTTTGAGAGCTCAATGGAAATCACAGCTCCTGCTGGAACCGGTACTCCAACAACCACGGCTAAAATCAGAGGCGAGGAGGCATTTTTAGTTTCCAGACATAATATGCTTTCCGGCTCTAAGAAAAGAGAATTCAGAAATGTGAATTTGGTCGGGAAAGAAGTAGGGGGAGGACAATTCTTACATTAGTAAAGTCACTTAATTAATAGTCAAAGTATGCTAATAATAGCAATAATAGCATATTAGAACTATAATAGAACTAATAATAGTAATAGTATAATAGTGTAAAATAATATCTAATAGTATAATGATAATGACAACAGCAGCAACGGGTAAGAGCTTCCCTGAGTACTCACACCAAGCTGGCTAGACGTTCAAGCACTTGAGCATTCCTATGTGTTTCATTGGTTTACAATTCTACATCATGAGCACTTGGACCGTTCCATTTTGCAGTCGGGGCAAAGGGAACCAAACAACTTGGCTTTGATCAGCCAATCAAGCAAGAGCAGAGTCAAGAGAGGATTACGACAGTGTGGCTCCAGACAGATTCCTGCCCCCAGTGTCGTGTCTCACTTCTCACAATTCAAACCCTCCTGGAGCTTGTTTCAACTCAGGATGCCCCAGTTCTCCAAGTCCCTCCATCACTGGTTGTTAAGGAACAGAGAGGGGTTGATCTGAAACCCGCAACATAAATGATCCAGGAAAAGCACTGGGGACACCTCCTTACCCGCAGATGGCTGACGCACTCTCTACTGACGTCCAAACCTGGGTTGTAGCTGAGGGACTCTCCAGATGGGAGCCAGGGATACTCAGTCCCTCCCAGCCCCCTTTCTGAGTGCAACACTCAGAATGCTGGGCATGGCTCTTTGTCAAATTAGTGGGAATCAGAAGCCCTCAGCACATCAGAGTGGGAGCCCCTTAGAGGCCACCACCACTGTGTCCCTCAGGCCATGGTAGCTTCAGATGGGGAGGGAACTCACTGAAGGTCCCGCAGACCCCCTCGGTGCAGGCAGAAGGTGACCTCCTTCCACAACTGCCACCCGGGTCTCTGTCTGTAAACACACAGCCTTGAAATGGCTTCTGAATGGAAATATTTAGGGACAGAGGAGAAAAAGGGAGAGTGAGAAGGATGGAGCCACTTTGGAAGAAAAGGACCCCTCTCTTGGACTCCATGAGAAACTTTGTCTGCAGGGTCCAGGCAGCGAATCTAAATGAGTGGAGCTTCGCCCAGCATGGGGCCCATCCATGTGCCCTGTGTGAGCGACGGGTCCCCCGAGGGACGGAAGAGCAAGAGACAGACAGTCGTCCAACAGAAAGACTCTGCGAGCTTAGCTAAGTGTGTGTGACTGAGTGAGAATGATGCGGGGGCGGGGAGGGGAGGAGGGGGAGAGAGAGAGAGAGAAAGATAGGGGGAGAGAGGGAGGGGTGAGAGGAAGAGAGGAGAAGGAGGAGGAGAAGGAGGAAGAAAACAGAGAGAGAGAGAATCTGATGTTTTAATGTTGCGAACTTGTTCTAACTCATAGTGCCCTAAATGTGGTTATGGGTCAGGTCAGATGCGGGATCCTGAACCTTTAACGGCAATTTCTGGTTTAAGATTTAGTTACTTCATTCCCTATCCTCCAGCCATGAGGAATCTAACTTAGCTCCTGCTTTCCCTTCAAGGCAGAGTTTGATGTCCCCTCCTCCATGAAGCACCACCAGAGCCTTCCAGGAAGGGCTGCTTCCTCCTCTCTGACCAAGATTCTCCTGGGTTGTAGTTATTGGAATATGCAAATATCCAGCTGCCCCACCACGCTGAGATGAAATCTTGAAGTAAGGGACCCCATCTTCTTTTTTTTTTTTTTTTTTCGAGACAGAGTCTCACTCTGTTGCTCAGGCTGCAGTGTAGTGATGTGATCTCGGCTCACTGCACCCTCCGCCTTCTGGGTTCGAGTTATTTTCTTGCCTCAGCCTCCTGAGTAGCTGGGACTACAGGCATGTGCCACCACGCCCAGCTAATTTTTTTATTTTTAGTAGAGACTGGGTTTCATTATGTTGGCCAGCCTGGTCTCGAACTCTTGACCTCGTGATCCGCCCCCTCAGCCTCCCAAAGTGCTGGGATTACAGGCATGAGCCACCGCACCTGGCCAGGAACCCCATCTTATTCTCCCCGTCTCCCCTGTGCAGGGCAGAGTGGCTGACACATGGTGGGTGCACCCACACTGACTCTGTTAGCTTTACTGTGATTGGGTCAAAGCCTGGAACAACACTGGCACCTTACTGAAGCCGGTTACATAGATTGTGCAGGAAGGCCTCATGTTCCAGTGATTATCCCTGGAAATTGAAAAGTAGGAAGAATCCACTTCAAACAGAAAGTAAAATGTCATTGTTAAGTCGTTGAAGTGGAGTGGGCAGAGCAGGCTTTGATTGGGACTTTCTTTTGAAAAGTGACAGTTATGAAAATAATTGCATTTGATCTGCCTTTTAACAATATATAAGTTTTAATTAAAACCATGTGCTCATTTTTAGAATAGAGTGAAAAAATTGTTACTTCCAGTGAAAAAATGGCAACTTGACTTTTTCCTACAAAACGGAGTGATGGTACTGTCAGTAAATCAATCTATTTATAGTTGACTTTTGTAGCTCAATCGTAAAGAAGGCCATCTTTTTTTCTTTTTCCTGGCAAAGGCTTAGAATGTTTCCTCAGTTTTGCTCAGGCCCTCTCTTCATCTTTTGATATTTAATTCATGCTCTTTTTATTTTCACTTCTTCATTTGAAAGCTGGTGGAAGCCCACTAGACGTTCACTTTGCCATATTTTCAGAGGCTTTGTGGTTGGAGCAGCTCACCAAAAAATCACTTTCATGAACTTCAGGAAATCCTATGTCTTTTGCAAGATTTGCAGACTCACTTCATAAAACACTGCACTGTTTTGCATTTTATGGGTTTAGCATTCCTAACCTGAAAAGTCTAAAATCTGAAATTCTCCAAAATCTAAAACTTTTTGAGCACTGATATGATATTCAAAGGTCACGTTCAAAGGAAATCCTCATTGGAGCACTTAGGATTTTGGATTTTCACATTGGGATGTTCAACTGATATTACATGCAGATATTCCAAAATGTGAAAAAAATCTGCAATCTGAAACACGTCTGGTGCCAGGCATTTTGGATAAGGTATACTCAACCTGTAGTGGCAGATACTTCTAGTCCCCCAAAGCAGAGAATGAACAAGACTCTCATCCTATGAAAGCTGCAACCACTAGCTAGCTTTTTAGCAACTCACACCATTAATGAATCTTCGCTTGAGATGAAAACATCTACCTTTTAACACAGTCTCACAATGGGTAATTAGATAACAGATATCTGGCTACTGAGAGACCTTCTAACAAGATGCAAGAACTCATGGGTGATGAGGCACCCGTCCCCCTGCAGCCCATCTCCAGATCATACTGACTCTCCTGCTTGGAGTTTCCAGCACCGTTTGCTCACTGTCTATTGTGAGGTTTTTATATTTTGCCTTTGGGAAAGGCACCAGGAGAGCTTTTGAGCTGAGGCCACAACTGATGCTCTCCAAACCAACCTGGTCATTTCACAAGTAAGAAAGTGGAGTCTGACTGGGGACAGCAGCTGCCCAGTGAGTGGCTGATGATATCTAAAAAGAATCTTCCTCTCCTGGAGAAATCCAGGGTGTCCTGAACTCCGAGTCCCCCAACCTGCTTGTTCCTGGCTCTCTCTAGCAGGCTGCTCATCTGCACTCCCGCTCTGATGAATGAATTCCACAAGCTTTACGCCTGCTGAAATGGCACAGTCTTGGAGTTGCAAGCCTTTCTGTGATTCACATTTGTTTCCTAATGGGGAATAGCAGCCTCCCTTCTTGAGGAAAATCCTTAGAAGAAAAAGCTTATCAACGGGGCCCCAAGTCCTCAGAAATGAACACACATCAAACATCCTTCACTGAAGTGTATTTTGGAAAGTTAAGAGCCCAGGAATTGAAAGCACATGGTCTCCATCTCCTCCCACAGGCACAGCAGTATTAAAAAAAAAAAAAATCAAAAGAAAGAGGAGTTTGGAGAAATATGTTTCAGTTTTCGTAGAGCCTCAAACGCTTGAAAACAGTTCAAGATGTTGCCCATGATCCCAGCAATCACTGTGTACTCTTTTCCCAATTACAAAGTATTTCAAGACCACCAATGGAGACATTTGTTATATGGGGAAGTCCTGACTTCAAAAGGTCTGTTCTTGCTGAGGCTAATGTGATGGCAAGGGTCAGGCAGGCACTTCTGATCTCGTTGGTGCCCGCAAATTTGAGATTCCCCACATAGACGAAAAGACATCCTTGGAGCTTCTGGCCAACATGTGGAAAACTGCACACAAGTCCTCAGAGCCTTTCAAGTATCCTCCCATCCTTCCCCTCCTGATAAACCCCAAAGAATTTCAGTTGCATCCACCCACAATCTCTCTGCTTTGTAGCAACACAGCTTTGAAGACAGATAGAAATTCTTGGGCCACCTAGGCCAATCCTCTGGGTTACAGACCAGGGAACTCAGGCACACAGAGTAGGTGAGTTCCTCGGAGCAACGAGCATCAAACTCAAGCATTATGATCTAACAGCGAGCATGATCCGCCTTCCCCTGCCCAACTCCTGCACCATGAGCTTCATAAACACAAACACTGTCTTACTTCTGGGTGTCCAATGCCTTAAGCAATGCTAAGCACATAGTAGGAGCTCATGACCTATGTGTTGAGTCAGTGAATGAGAAATATGGTCAGCATGGAGACACTCTATGAGACACAGTCTCAGCTTGCAAGCAAATAGAAACAACTTTAGCTCATGTATGTAGGAAAAGACCTCACTGGTACACTCCAGCTAGGCTAGAGGGCACCTGGAGAATTGGTGGGGAAGTTGGAGAAGCAGGTGTGGATGGACAGGGATCAAGGCGGCTCCTAAGGTCTAAAGCTTCCGTGATGGAAAATTCATTCATTCCAACAGCCTTGCTCAAAACTCAAACTCCAGGAAGAGAGTGTCTGATGGACTTTTCCCTTCACCATTCACCACGGTCAAGTTATTGCACTTCCTGATGATTCAGGCTGAGATACATCCCCTGTCTCGGAATGATGGGTAGGGTCAATTCCTCTCAACTCTAAGGAGCAAGGATGGGAGACAAGTGGTTCCCTGAGGAACTGGGGGTGCCCTTATCAGCAGGCACGAGGGGACATTTATGTTCAAATTAATTAAAACTATATAACGTTAAGCATTCGGTTCCTAAGTCAAACTAGCCACATTTCAGGGGTTCAATGTCCACATGTGACTCATGGCTTCCCTGTGGATTGCAAAGTCATAGGATATTTCTATCATCATCTAAATTCTGTTGGACAGAATCGCTCCAATCAAATCTAGATTCCTCCTATTGTTCTCTCTCTGTTATCCTGGGGTGTGTGTGTGTGTGTGTGTGTGTGTGTGTGTGTGTCGTCCTTTATCAATCTAACATTGTTACTGTATACTTACTCACTTCGCATTTGATTCTTCTATTAGACTATGAGACCTATTAGATGACAGAGCTGCAAGAGCAATCACAATGTTGGTTTCGTTATTGTTGCCTGTCTGGTGCTGGGCAAATCATCAGCATAGATCAGAAACAATAAATACCTGTGGAACAAAATGCAGGCACAACCTCCAAACCCACCACAGTGATTGTCATTCTACCTGCAATTTAACAGAATTTAAATTTAAAATTTTAAAAATTAAAACATCCTTCATCACCCGTCCTCCTGGATTCTAAATTAATATTTTGCCTTCCCTGCTATAAAACTTCACTCTCATTAGCATGCTTCAAATTAGTTTTATCCTGCTATAAAGACTAATTAGCCGCTATCTTTAAATTAGCGCCAATCAGGTTTCTGTTGAACGGCATCTACTTGATGAGTAACACCAACATGATCCCCCAAGAAAAGACACAAAGTGTTGTTTAGGTGTCTGAGTTTTATCTAGACGCCACACTCACAGTGTCTGAGGCTGTATGTCATCAAGGGATTTCACAGAATGAAAACACCCTCAGAGAATACAAACAGAAGTAATAATCTTGGTGTTTGTCTGATTTTAGAACAGGGTCAGGGAATAGAAGTGGCTGTTTTTTCTCATGTGACTATAGCAAATACCAAATAACAAGTGGAAAGTCTTAGAAACTCCTCAAAAAGGCAAATGACATGGTTTGGCTGTGTCGCCACCCAAATCTCACCTTGAATGGTAATAATCCCCACATGGCAAGGGTGGGGCCAGGTGGAGATAATTGAATCATGGAGGCAGTTTCCCCCATGCTGGTCTCATGGTAGTGAATAAGTCTTGCCAGATCTGATGGTTTTATAAAGGAGAGTTCCCCTGCACATGCTCTCTCTTGTCTTCCACCATGTAAGACGTCCCTTGCTCTTCCACCATGATTGTGAGGCCTCCCCAGCCATGAGGAACTGTGAGGCAATTAAACCTCTTTCCTTTATAAATTACTCAGTGTCAGGTATGTCTTTATTAGCAGCAGGAGAACACACTCATACAGCAAAGCAGGTACAATGACAAAGCGAGTAGTAGGTGAGTCCTGGGCTCCACTACTTCATGAGCTTTTGTGACCTTGAGCTAGTCCTGAAGCTGCTCAGAACCACCATTTTCTCATCTGTAAGATGGAATACTATTACCTCTCTTGCTGCTGGGAGCACTGGATGTGTTGATGTGCAGTAGAGTGTCTAGCATGGCCTCTGGCACATGCAAGCACTTTACACTGGTTTGCTATAATACTACCATTTGTGTGACTGGTACCAGGGTGAGCATTCTTCCTATTTTGGTTAGCAGAGCACAGAAAGCAAATTCAGTTAACATGAGTATATGGGCAGGGTTTCCTTCACATATCTTGGAAGCCTGTGTGCGCAATTCAAATTTTGTGCATTTTTTTCTTTTAAATGTTCTTTAGGCCTACATATTGCCTGGGTATGAGACATCGTCCCACTATAAGTGCCTCAATTAGTTTTGGGTATCACATGGAGCTCTCCAAGGTCTCACCTTAAGGCATACGCTCTTACCAGGGGACCCCATGGTTGGTTCAAGGCCCTATTCCTGTGTCCTGTGTGGCCAAGACACTTAGCTCCTAAAACTATCACGCCACGTACTGGTTCTTTAGGAAGTTCAGGCGCACATGCACTAGACACACACACACACACACACACACACACACACAATTTTAAAAGTGGTCATGGCATCTTCTGATAACTGCTTCATAGTATTTGCTACTGCTATTTTTAGTGAAAAATCAAACTCTAACATTAGAACACATAAAATACACTTAGCTTGGTTTTGCTTGACAGTTCATAAATTTAGAAAGCAGTCCAATCCGTGGGTTCTTACCAATTTTTGAGCAGGATAAGCAGGTATTAAAGATTTAAAGTGTCCCGCTGTGCATATGTAGGAATCTTTCTTTCTCAACAAAGGAGACTTTGTAAACCTACCTCTTCTGAGTAGCCACAGCCTGAGGCCACTCCTTTCCCTTCTCCACTCCCTGTGAAACTTCCAGAAAGTGGAGACTGTTCCACCCTGGGCCTCTCTGCCCAGGGCCGTGCAGCTCCAGCCCCAGAGGGGATTCAAACCTCGAATGGCTCACAGGGGTCTCTCCCCACAGATTGAATGACTCAATGCAGGGATGGGACTCTGAGAAGGAACAATGATGCCGACACAAAACCCCCGGGGACCAAGGACACTCCTGGCCCCTGAGCAGGGTGGGGCCGTGTGTTCCATTCATGGTGTCTGAAATTCTACAAGCAGAACTGGAGAGAAACCCAGTCCATGGTTGGGGATGTGTGTGTGATGTGCTGTGGACGGAGGGGAGGCCTCGGGTGGGTGTGGTGGGGTGGGACATTTCTCTGTCCCAAGAACAGAAGTAGAAACCAGAAGCCCAGGACTGCACTGGCCTTACCCTTGGCTGGGAGAAGGGGGAATATTTGCTTCTTTGGGCTCCTTCTTTTTCTTTTTTTTTTTTTTTTTTGAGACGGAGTCTCACTGTTGCCCAGGCTGGAGTGCAGTGGCATGATCTCGGCTCACTGCAACCTCCACCTCCCGGGTTCAAGCAATTCTCCTGCCTCAGCCTCCTGAGTAGCTGGGATTACAGGCACATGCCACCACACCTGGCTAATTTTTGTATTTTTAGTAGAGACAGGGTTTCACCATGTTCGTCAGGCTGGTCTCAAACTCCTGACCTTGTGATCCACCTGCCTCGGCCTCCCAAACTGCTGAGATTACAGGCATGAGCCACCGTGCCCGGCCTGGGCTCCCTCTTAATTTAGCAATCTGACTGCATTCGAACAGAAGCCACTTGTGGGTATTTTGGATGATGGAGCCGGGGGGGTCTCCTGGGGCGCCCTCCATGAATTCCCTTGGTCCTGTTGGTGAGAAAGTGGCAGGACAGAAGGGCTGCAAACCTAAGCCAGGGATAGGACGGGATGACAGCCAGGAGGACAGGAAGGTCTGAGTTTGGTGGGCCACAGGTCTGAACTTTTCTCCCCAAAGTAACCCGATACTTCTTCTTCATTTAAATATATTCAAATTGGACACGTGGGCTCCCGACCTGCTGTATTCAAGAGAGAAACAGACATGCTGTAATTCTGTATTTAACTTAATGGGTTTTTTAGTATAATGTTTGCAGACATTTAAGATGTAAGTGTGTGTCTCTCTGTGTGTGTATGTGTGTGAGAGAGCGAGAAATAGAAAACTACACATGACCTTAAATATAAATGAGATTTTCGTCTCCCATATTTATCTTGGGCAAGTTGTGGGATTCATCTCTATTTAAGGTAGAAATAAGCACATTTTTAGTGGGAAAACAAAAGCAGCTTTGCAAGAAAGTCCTGCCCCCATAACTGACAAGCACAAGACTCACTGCAAGGCCAGGCATGGCGTGAGGTCTCCAGAGCGGGCAGAAGGCTGCAACATTAATACACGGTTCATTACAACCGAATTAGAGGCTGGTTACTCAGTGCTCTAGAAGTACGGGTTGGTCAGCAGCAAACTGATTTTCCCATGAAAGCAGGAAGTGTCCTGTTCAACCCTAGAAAATCACTAATTACGGTTGCTGAACCTACTTAACATGCAGAGCCCCCTACTTCTTGCTTTCTGTTTTAACTCTAGTATCTGGGTGTAAAACATCCCTTCTGGGGAGCTATTGCTGCTCAGAGAGTCATTTATTTCCTCCTAACTGAGAAGACAATAAAATAACATGGTTTTAATATTATGTTTCTGCAGGTGGGTATACATGGAGTCGACGCGTTTTATTGATGCAAATTCAACTCTTTAGGAGACAGAGAATAGGTTAGGTTCGTGTGCCAGAGCCTGTGGATCCTGCCATCCTTCCCAGGGATTTGCAGCTGAAGGCTGAGGCACGGGGTCTGGGTTTTCACCCACTCAGTGGGGCTCCGATCCCTGGCTTCTTACAAAGTCAGCCTCCTGGATTGCTTGCTTATTCTAGTCTTTAAAGGTGCGTTTTCCATACAACCTGGCCCCGAAACACAAGCTAAATATTTCTCCTGGAGTTGAGAAAGAATCCGACCATCCAAACCCTAAGGGTGTTCAAGGGTAATTCATTTCTTCCATCATTCCTTGGACACATGTTTGGTGAGCTCCTGCTACATGCCTGGCTTTGCTCCAGATGCTCAAGATAAAGCAGAGATCAACAATGACAAGACACCTAACCACACAGAGATGACCTGCTTGCAGCAGGGAAAGATAAATAGTAAAATACACCGTGACAGGATGGTGACAAGGCAGGAAGGGGGTAAAGAGTGCCAGGGGGCTGCAATTTTATGTAGGGCACCCAGGGACACCCTCACTAAGCACGTGGCATTTAAGTAAAGCTCCAAAGGAGGCAGAGCTATAAACCATGCAGATGTGGGAGGGGAGCACTTTGCAGGCAAGGACAGGGATGTGCAAAGGCCCTGAGGTGGGAGCTTGCCTGAGCGTCTAAGGGACAGCAAGGAGGACAGTGTGGAGGAAAGGAGGGAATAAGGGAAGAGGGTCAGGGGAGGTGCCTGGGGGTTGGGGAGGTATGAAGAGAGAGTACATAGCATGCCTTATAGATGATTTGGGCTTTTAATCTGAATAAGATGGGAGCCATGGAGGGTGTCAAGCAGAGGGGTGACAATGACTGACAGGATTTAAGAGGATCTCTGTGGTTGAGGGCAGAGTTTACGGCAGCCAGTGAAACAGGAAAATCAGTGTGGAGGCTCTTGCACTGGTCCAGCTGAGAACACCTAGATGATTCTCCTGAGGCCCATGTGCCAGCTTTGAAACTCAGCTTCCTGTAAAAAGCAACTTCACTGTGCATCCTGTCAATACAGATGGCAGCCCCAGAGGGACCCTCCTCAGGCACAAACCCATGCATGCTGAACCCTGCAGAGAGATCCCTTCCCTCCTGAAGATCCCTCCATGGTCTGGGACCCTTCACCTATTCCTGCTCATCCTCTTGGTGTCCCCCAGTGCCCCTGTGAAAATGGAGGCCTCTCTATTTCAATCCTAGGGTTGTTTCTTCTTTGGGCTTCTGCGGGCTTAAAATGTAATATCTCAAAAGGGTTTTCTCTTCCTCCTATAAAGTTCATGTCTTTGAACTGCAGGGGGAGGGATTTAGAATCATCATAAAGAAAACATTTTCCCAAACCGGGATGGTTTCCCCACTGAAAGGTTTGCCCACATTCCCTCTAGAGGGGGTGTGCAGTGATTCTCTTAGGTAGTGGAAGTTGGAAGAGGCACTTGTCCCCTGACCTGGGTGATCCGTTTTCAGGTTTCAAGTAAGCTGGTTTTCAGGCTACCTGGTGATAATGTCTGTGGAACAGGGGGTGATGGTGTGAAGGGTGGGGATCTCACCCAGACCCATCAATCTCCAACTTGTATGAATGGCTCACCTCTTCCTCAAGCCTATAGCTCCGGTCTCAGTGTTCTGCAGACGCACAGATCACATAATGTCTGCAGGTAAAGTGTAAATCACGGAAAGACAAATGACTCCTGACAAACCCCTTAAATTGTCTAGGAAGGACAGGAAAGTTCCATTTCTTCCTGAGTCCTCCTTCTATTCTTGGTGGAATCCCAGAGAAAGCTGTGGTTTTGAATTTAGACACCCTGTTGTGGAAGAGAAGGAAGAGAGAGGTGGGGGAGGGAGTGGCAAAGAGAGAGAGAAGAAGGAGGGAAGCAAAGAAAGAAGGAAAAGACAGAAAAGGAAGGAAGGAAGAAAGAAAAGAAGGCAGGGAAGGAAGGAGAGAGGAAGAAAAAGAATTAAAGAAGGGAAGAAGAAAAAAATAAAGGAAAGAGAAAGAAAGGAAGGAAAAACAGAAAGAAGAAAGAGAGGAAGAAAGAGAAGAAAGGAAGTGAGGGAGGGAGACTTCACCCTATCTAATGCCCCTCCCTCCACTGAGTGGCCGGATCAGAGAGGGGAAGGGTACAGGGTCATCAGCTTCTCAGTCACTCTCCTTGGGGGACTCACACACCTAGGGGCTTCATGCGAGAAAGTCAGTCTGCTCTTCTGTCTGTCTCTTTCTGAGCCAAATAAATGCAATTTATTTGGCCCAATCTAACTGCGCAGTTTGCAGATAATGGTGATTCCAACTGGGTAACCTGGAGGTGAAGAGACTCAAGCCACCCTGGCAAGATCTGCTTCTCTTCTTCATCGACCCTTTACATTTATACAGAAACATCATTACAGCATCCAGCTTTTAAATTACCTGATGTGCAAATGTCTGACTCCAGGTAGCTCAAAATAACAGTATTCTTTTGAAAACAAAAACAAATGGAAAACAACAGCAACCCCGTGATACGAGGAAGCAGCACTCACAGAGCGCATCTTTGTGCTGGGTGCTGTTTTCAGCACTTGGTACCTTTCACCTCACTTAATTCTCACAGGAAGCCCACCAGGTTGCGGCCACTACTACCAGGAGGAAAGTGGGACCCGGGAGATTGAACAACCCACCCTTGGTTCCAGAGCCAAGGCAGAGACAGCACTTCCAGCCAGGCTGCCTCCTCCTGTGCTCTCTGCCAATGTGGGAAAACAAACAGCATCGTTATCCTGACACCATTCAGAGGAAGCAACACCCCAATAAAAAGCTGCAGGAGGGGAGGAGCTGCGCAAAGTAGGGGCAATAAATAAAACGGCTCTTCTGAGTCCTCCTTTGTTGACCTGTCCTCAGCTTTGCTAAGAAAACACCATGGGAGAACGCCCTTGTGAATGCTGCCACTGCATTTCCAGGAGCAGCCGGCCTTGGCAGAAATTGAAGGAGTCGCAGACTCCCGGGGTCTCAGATCGCAGCGTTAGCACCTCTGTTCTCTGTGAAAGTCCCGCGCCATCTTGCAAACCTAGATGGCAGGAAACCTTCACCACGACCACATCTCTGGTCTTTCTCCTCCAGACAGGGAGAAGCAGGTGTTTGCTCAAGTTTCCCTTTTCACTCATGCTGCCAGGAAGCCTCGGGAGTTGCATTTTTAGATTTTATTCACTGTTGATAAACATGGATGATTAGCAGTGTTTGAATTATTTCCTCCTGGTCTCAACCCCACTTCTGTTTTCTTTGGCCTTGATTTATATTTGTCTCTTGTATTTCTCTACTTTGTTATATGCTTTATGAGTGCTAGAGAAGATCTTTTAGAAAAAATGGACAGAATAGCCAAGTATGGGACAGAAATAGGATGCCTGGCTATGTTCTCTGGAGCACTTGGGGCCCCTGAGACCCTGCTTCCCTCCCACCTCGGACAGTTCCCTTGTGCTTTGCTTCCAGATGTCACACTTCCTCACTGAACTAAATTAGAAAAAGGTATTTCTTTCCTTTATGTAATTCCTCTCTCACCAGAAACATGAAAATCACAACTTTGCCCTGGCCCTGGCTTCCTGAGGGATCCTGCATAGGGTGCTATGAGGCAAACTCCTTGAACAATCAAAGCAAAGTAGCTACAGAGCTGTGAACTATTAGACTCCCTGTTTATAAAAGTTAAGGTTCTACAAATCAAATCTATATACCTGAAGTCAAAAGCATTTGAAAGGTGATTGCGTCCATCATCTCCCTCCCTTCCTCCTTCATCTGAGTAATTATGGGGATGGCTGATTTTATGTGTCAACCTGACTAGGTGTCCAGATATTTGGTCAAACATTATTTTGTTGTGTCTGGATGTTTTGGGATGAGATTAACTTTTGAATCAGTAGACTAAGTGAGATGATTTGGTTGTGTTCCCACCCAAATCTCATCTTGAATTGTAGTTCCCATAATCCCCATGTGTTGTGGGAAGGACCCAGTGGGAGGTAACTGAATCATGGTCATGGTTCCCCATGCCGTTCTTGTGACAGTGAGTAAGTTCTCACGAGATCTGATGGTTTTATGAGGGGCTTTCCCCAACTTCACTCGACACTTCTCCTTCCTGCCGCCATGTGAAGAAGGACATGTTTGCTCCCCCTTCTGCCATGATTGTAAGTTGCCTGAGGCCTCCCCAGCCCCGTGGAACTGTGAGTCAATTAAACCTCTTTCCTTTATAAATACCCAGTCTCAGGTATATCTTTATTAGCAGTGTGAGAACAGGCTAACACACTAAGTAAAACACATTGTCCTTCCTAAATGGGTAGGCCTTGTGCAATCAGTGAAGACCTGAATACAACAAAAGACTGACACTTCCCTGAGTAAGACATTTTTCCTGCCTGACAGCCTTCAGACAGGAACACTGGCTCTCCTGGGCCTACAGATCACTGACTCACCTTGCAGATCTTGGGACTTCTCAGCCTCCATAATTGCATGAGCCAATTCCTTATAATAAACCTACTCACATACATGTACACGTATGACATCGCTCTGCTTTCAACATGGTTTGTTTGTCCCTGCCAAATCTCATGTCGAAATTTCATCCCCAGTATTGGAGGTGGGGCCTGCTAGGAGGTGTTTGGATCCTGAGGGTGGATTCCCCATGGATAGCTTGATGAGATTCTCACGGGAGTGAGTCAGCCCTCCCCCTTAGTTCCCACAAGAACTGGTTGTTGAAAAGTCTCACTTCCTCTCTCTCACTATGTGATCTATACACACCTGCTCCAATTCACTTTCCACCATGAGTGGAAGCAGCCTGAGGGCCTCCCCAGATCCAGATGCTGGCACCATATTTCCTGTACAGCCTGCAGATCCATGAACCAAATAGATTTCTTGTCTTTATAAATTACCCAGCCTCAGGTACTTCTTTATAGCAATACAAATGGCATAAGACAGACATATTGTTAAGTAGCATACATTCATATATATCAATATATGCATGTGAATATATATGATATATTTGAATATATATGTCTTCCTATTGGTTCCGTTTCTCTAGAGAACCCTGACTAATATAATTACCTTCTACCTGGATGACTGCAATGGCCCCAACAGACCTTTCTATGTCCCTTCTCAGCCCCTAGGAGTCCAGTCTCCTTATAGTACACAGAGTGAGCCTTTAAAAAAATGAACCAGGTCATATCACTCCTTGGCCCCAGACTCTTCAACAGCTTCCCATTGAATTCAAATAAACTGTAAAGTCCTTACTATGGGGTATGAAAACGGCTTAGGGTCAGTGGTGAGTTACAGGACGACCCCACACAGCACAGGCTTAAATAAGAGAGCAGTTCATTTCTCTCTTGGGTTCTTGGACAGTTGGGGCATTTTATGGAGTAAGAGACTCAGGCTCTTTTCTTCCTTTTGTTTCTACTCCCAGGGCCACCTCATGATTCAGTACAGCTGCTGGGGTCCTGCCATTATATTCATATTCCAGCCATTAAGAAGTAGGCAATGCCCCTACCTTTAAGGTGACTTCCTGGAAGCTACTGGTGCCTCTAGTAATATATGTAACTGCCTTTATATAGCAAAATTTAGAGCACAATTACCAGGCCAAGCCTAGTTGCAAAGGAGGCTGGAAAGGGCAGTCGTTATTCTGGGTGGTCGAGCGCTCAGCTAACCATCAGGAGTTCTGTTCCTCAAGAAGTAAAGGGAGAGTGGATACTGGGAACAGCTCCAATCTGGGACACATGTGGCCTGCCTGGACCACATGAAGAGGACTCTGCCCATGTCCCTGATGCATCCCCCACCCCTTTCCCACACTCACTCTGCTCCAGCCACATGGCCATCTCACCGTTGCTCTTCCTCCAATGCACCCAGCTAATTCCACTCTGGGCTTTTGCACTATCTGTCCCCTCACCTGGACAGCTCCTCCCCAAATATTCACAGTGCCCCTTCTTCACTTCACTCAAGTCTCTGTGAGGTTCCAGGGAGAAGCCTTCTCTTTCACCCATCTAAGGGGTGGCCCCGTCACGCTCTGTCCTCTCTACAGCATTGCTTTGCCCCCTAGCCCTTCTCACTCCCAGCACCCAGCATGGTATTCACATCTCTAACTTGCCATCTAGTCCCGCACCCAAACTCCCACCTCAACGCAAAAGCAGCAGGGATTTCTGGCTACCCCTCTCTTGTACCCTCAGCCCCCAAACTGCTTAAGAAAAAAAATAGACGTTTCATCAACATTAGTTGAATAAACGAAAAAAGGAGTGATGATTTCATGTTATTTGCATCCAAAAAATTCTTCATTTTTGATAATTCATAGAAGACAATTTTGCCCAAATGGGAGTTTTTCTGAATGAAATAAAAATGTAATTGAAGATGAATTTCAACTCACAGGCGGCTATTTTAGAGACATCCTCTTTTGTATTAGATGTGCTTCTCAAAAGTAATTTTTAAGCTGAAATCACACATGTATGCTTGCACGTGTGTGTGTGTGTGTGTGTGTGTACGGTACGTGTTCATACATATTTAGAGAGCCAGAGGCACTCTGGAGGAGACAGAGAAAGAAAAAGAAGTAGAAATATTAATACAGAGAGAGAAAAGAGGAGAATTTACCTACAAGTAGACATTCTATTTTTTCCAATGGATCAGGTGGAAATTTTGCATTACTGCCACCAAAGAAATTACGTGAAAAAATCCCAACTGGGGCACACAAGCTTCATAAGGGCAAGAATCTTTGTCCAGCCTGCTTTGATGGTATGTACCTAGCATACCTGAAACACAAAAGGAGCCCAATAGGTATTGGTAGAAGAATAAATTTGGGGGCAATTTGACAAGAACCTATGAGTGGCAATTAGAAGGAGTGTATGTATGAATATTCATAGAATTTTAGGGAGGTGGGGAGTGCTTGTCTCAACTATCTCTTCCTTTGTAGTAGCATAAACCCCCAACCCCCGTGATCCAAGACATAACTTTAGAAAGAAAGCTTTAGGAATGTGGCACCAAGCTTGAAGGATTCAGTGGTGGCATGCCAAGGGCCACTCATGCTCACCTGGCAGGCAGCTCTGCCCTGCAGCATGGGTCATTTGATGGTGGTGACTCTGCCTTTTAAAAACAAGGGCTCAGCTGGGCACGGTAACTCACACCTGTAATCCTAGCACTTTGGGAGGCCAAGATGGGTGGATCACTGAGGTCAGGAGTTCAAGACCAGCCTGGCCAACATGGTGAAACCCCGTCTCTACCAAAAATACAAAAATCAGCTGGGTGCAACGGCACAACCTTGTAATCCCAGCTACTTGGGAGGCTGAGCCAGGAGAATCACTTGAACCTGGGAGGCACATGTTGCAGTGAGCCCAGGTTGTGCCACTGCACTCCAGCCTGGGTAACAGAGTGAGATTCCATCTCTAAGACCACCCAGAGTCCTCCCCACCCATACCACTTCAGGGTTACAAATAACAAACAAATAACTTCAAAACAAAGCATTTTTCAAATAGAAAACATGTCATAATTGGCAACTGGTATTTTCAGCCAATTCTCTCAGTGACACATCCTCTTCAGATCTCTAGTGACATTTCATTAAGGAGAAACAGATTCTCAGGGATGCAAAGAAACTGCGTGTTTGAGCTGCAAAGAAGCCCTAATGATGATTTACTTTTAGGAAATAAATAAGTAAACACTTTCACCTCACAGAAAGATGACAAAGCTCTAGGATTACCAGGTCTTCTTGGTTGGCTGGAAACCTTCCAGTTTTGGCATAAGCCTCAGGTTTTAGGAAATCCCTCAATTCCAGGAAAACTAGGTTGGTTGGACACCCAAGAAAGGGCCTGAAATGCCAGTCATTTTTACACAAAAGCACTCAGTGGACCACAGCTGCCATCATACTTCATAGTGAAAGATTTAATGTGTTCCTCCTAGGATCAATAGTAGAACAAAGATGTTTGCTCTCACCATGTCTACTTGATGTTGTACTGGAGTTTCTAGTTAGGGCATTTAGGTAACGAAAGAAAAGGAAAAGCATCTAGATTAGAAAGGAAGAAATAAAACCATTTCTCTTCTCAGGTGGCATGATCTGTATTCAGGAAATCCTAAGGAATCCATAAAGAAAAATTACAGCTTACACTTGAATTCAGTAGAGTTACAGGATACACAATATGCAGGCATCAATGGTATTTCTATATGATACAATGAACAATCCAAAATGAAATGAAGAAAATAATTCCATTTACCACAGCCTGAAGAATAATAAAATACTTAGGCATCAATTTAACAAAGGAAGTGCAAGACTTGTACTCAGAAAACTACAGACCATTGTATAAGAAAATTAAAGTCCTGAATGAATGAGAAAGACATCCCATGTTCATGGACTGGAAGATGCATATTGTTAAGATGGCAACACTCCCCAAATTGATTACATATTCATGCAATCCCTATCAAAATCCCAGCTGCCTTTTTGTAGAAAATGACAAGCTGATCCTATAACTCACATGGAATTGCAAGAGACCAAGAATAGCCAAAACAGTCTTGAATAAAAGGAAGACATTACACTGCTGGTGGGAATGTAAACTAGTACAACCACGATGGAAAACAGTATGAGGATTCCTTAAAGAACCAAAAGTAGAACTACCATTCAATCCAGCAATCCCATGAATGGGTATCTACCCAAAGGAAGAGAAGTCATTATATGAAAAAGACACATGCAGGCTGGGCGTGGTGGCTCACGCCTGTAATCCCAGCACTTTTGGAGACCAAGGCGGGTGGATCACCTGACCTCGGGAGTTCAAGACCAGCCTGACCAACATGGAGAAACCCTGTCTCTACTAAAAATACAAAATTAGCCATGTTTGGTGGTGCATGCCTGTTATCCCAGCTACTTGGGAGGCTGAGGCAGGAGAATCACTTGAACCTGGGAGGCAGAGGTTGTGGTGAGCCGAGATTGCACCAGTGCACTCCAGCCTGGGCAACAGAGCAAAACTCTGTCAGAAAGAAGGAGAGAGAGAGAGAGAGAGAGAGAGAGAGAGAGAGAGAGAGACATACATATGCATGCTTATGGCAGCATAATTCACAAATGCAAAGATATGGAACCAACCTAAGTGCCCATCAACCAACGAGTGGATAAAGAAAATGTGGTATATACACACCATGGAATACTACTCAGCTGTAAAACAGAACAAAATAATGGTCTTTGCAGCAACTTGGATGGAGTTGGAGTCCATTATTCTAAATGAAGTAACTCAAGAATGGAAAACTACATATAGTATGTTCTCATCTGTAAGTGAGAACTAAGCTATGAAGATGCCAGGACATAAGAAGGATATAACAGACTTTGGGGACTCAGGGGGAAGGATAAGAGGGAACTGAGGGATAAAAGACTACATATTGGGTACAGTATACACTGCTCGGGTGACCAGTGCACCACAATCTCAGAAATCACCACTAAAGAGCTTATCCATGTAACCAAAAACAACCTGTTTCCCAAAAACTAGAAATAAAATTTTAAAATAAAAAGAGTTCCTGATTTTGAGACTTATTACAAAGCCATATTGATCAAGACTTCATGGAACTAACATAGGGATAGACATACAGATCAGTAGAATAGAATTCAGAGTCCAGAAACAAACCCTCGCACTTACGGTCAATTTATTTTTGACGAGGGTGCCAAGATCATTCAATCAGGGAAATCATCAATGTGGAAAAATCACTAACATCCCTATACGCCATCGACAGTCAAGACAAGAGCCAAATCAGGAACCTATTCCCATTCACAACTCACAAAAAGAATAAAATATCTAGGAATACAGGTAACTAGGGATATGAAGGATCTCTATAAGAAGAACTACAAAACAGTCCTCAAAAAAATTAGAGATGACACAAATGTTAAAACATTCCATGCTCATGGATAGAAAGAACTAATATTGTTAAAATGGCCATACTGCCCAAAGCAATTTATAGATTCAATGGTATTCCTATTAAACTACCATTAAGATACTTCACAGAACTAGAAAAATCTATTTTTAAAATTCATATGGAACAAAAAAGGAACCCAAATAGCCAAGGCAATCCTAAGCAAAAAGAACAAAGCTGGAGGCATCACCATTACCCGACTTCAAAGTACATTACAGGGCTACATTAACCAAAACTGCATGGTACTGGTACAAAAACAGACATATAGACCAATGGAAGAGAATAAAAAAACAGAAATAAGATCACACACCTACAGCTATCTACTCTTTGACAAACCTTACAAAAACAAGCAATGGGGAAAGGATTCCCTATTCAATAATTAGTGCTAGGGTAAGTGGCTAGCCATATGCAGGGGTGTAAGGACCCCTTATAGAAAGGGTTCCTTATACAAAGGATACCATATACAAAAATTAACTCAAGATGGATTAAAGACTTAAATGTAAAACCCAAAACTTTAAAAACCATAGAAGACAACCTAGGCAATACCATTCAGAACACAGGCATGGGCAAAGATTCCATGATAAAGATGACAAAAGCAATTGCAACAAAATCAACAACTGACAAATGGGATCTAATTAAATTAAAAAGCTTCTGCACAACAAAAGAAACTATCAACAGAATAAACAGACAACATACAGAATAGGAGAAAATATTTGCAAACTATGCATCTGAACTTAAACAAATTTACAAGAAAAAAAAACAAACAACCCCATTAAAAAGTGAGCAAAGGACATAAACAGGAACTTCTCAAAAGAAGACATATATGCGGCCAACAATCATATGAAAAGAAGCTCAACATCACTGATCATTAGAAAAATGTAATTCAAAACTGCAATGGGACACCATCTCCCATCTGTCAGAATGGCTACTATTAAAAAGTCAAAAAATAACAGACGGAGGCGAGACTGTGGAGAAGAAAGAATGCTGATACACTGTTGGTGAGAGTGTAAATTATCTAATAGTTCAATCATTGTGGAAGACAGTGTGGCGATTCCTCAAAGACCTGAAGATAGAAATATCATTTGACCCAGTAATCCTATTACTAGGTATATACTCAAAGGAATATAAATCATTCTTTTTTAAAGACACACGTACACATACGTTCACTGCAGCACTATTCACAATAGCAAAGACATGGAATCAACCTAAGTGTCCATCAGTGATAGACTGGATAAAGAAAATGTGGTACATATACACCATGGAATACTACGCAGCCATAAAAAGGAATGAGATCATGTACTTCGCAGGGGCATGGATGGAGCTAGAGGCCATTATCCTTAGCAAGTTAATGCAGGAACAGACAAACAAATGCCACATGTTCTCAGTTATAGGTGGGAGCTAAATCATGAGAATACATGGGGGGAAAACAACACACACTGAGGCCTGTTAGAGGGTGGTGGGCGGGGAGGAGGGAGAGGATCAGGAAGAATAGCTAATGGATGCTGGACTTAATACCTGGGTGATGGGATGTTCTGTGCAGCAAACCACTAGAGCCCTGAACTTAAAATAAAAGCTGGAAATTTAAAAAAAAAAAAAAAAAGAAACTCATCTTTTTTAGGAAGGAAAGCATTAGGCTCAACAGAACCTGCATGTGTATGGTTTGTGTTTTGCTTTGAAATAAGAACAATTTGGATATCTAGATCTACCTATTTATATAGATATATAGAACCAATTCTTAATTGGCCTATAAGCACATAATTTCATGCACCTATAGGTGATAAGTTCATGAAAAGATGCTCAGCATCATTAGTGATTCAGGAAATGCAAATCGAAATTACAATGAGACACCACTGCAAACAGAACAAGATGACTGAGATAAAGACGGGCAATAGCAAGTGTTGATGAGGATGCAGAGAAATTGGACATCTCTTTCATTGCTCTTATGGCTCTATAGTGTAGCAACTTCAGAAAGCAGTTTGACAGTTCCCCAAAATGTTAAAGATGGAGTTACCTCACGACACAGCAATTCCACTTTTAGGACTATACCCAAAAGACATAAAAACATATACTGCCGGCACGGTGGCTCACACCTGTAATCCCAGCACTTTGGGAGGCCGAGGCGGGTGGATCACGAGGTGAGAAGATGGAGACTATCCTGGCTAACACGGTGAAACCCTGTCTCTACTAAAAATACAAAAAAATTAGCCGGATGTGGTGGCAGGCTCCTGTAGTCCCAGCTACTCTGGAGGCTGAGGCAGGAGAATGGCGTGAACCCGGGAGGCGGAGCTTGCCGTGAGCCTAGATTGCGCCACGGCACTCCAGCCTGGGCAACAGAGCAAGACTCCGTCTCAAAAAATAAAAAAATAAAAAGAAATAAAAACATATATCCACACGAAAACATGTACATGAATCATAAATGTTCACAGCAGCATTATTCGTAATAGCCAAAAGGTGGAAACAAGCCAAACGTCTATCAACGAATGAATGGATAAACTAAATGTGGAATATCCATATAATAGAAGATTACCCAGTCATAAAAGAATGAATTATTCATACATGCAATGACACAATGAACAACAAAACCTCACGCTAAATGAAATTAATTCACAAAGCACTGCATATTGTGTTGTATGAAGTTTTGTTCATATTACACAGAATTTTATTGTATGTATATTGTATGGTTTCATTTATATGAAATGTCCCAAATAGGCAAATCCATAGAGACAGAAATTGGATAATGGTGACCAGGGTGAGGAAATCAGGTCTGTGGAGTGACTGCTGAATGAATACAGGGTTTTTTTTCTGGGTGGAAAACATAATCTAAATTTAAATGATACCGTTGATTGTACAACTCTTAATATATTAAATGTCATTGGCTCGTAGACTTTAAAAGGGTTAATTTTATGCATGTAAATTATGTCTCAATAAAACTTATTAAAGAAAAAAATGATTTAGTGGAATATTGCAATCACTTCCTCAACAACAGGATAAGATACTCAGTAAGGGCCAACAGCTCTAACCTTATGAGAAACTGGTAACAGTATAGAGTTACTTTAGGGATATCTAAATAAGGAAGAAGACAGCTCCTTTTTTTTTTTTTTTTTAGACTGAGTCTCACTTTGTCACCAGGCTGGAGTGCAGTGGTGGGATCTCGGCTCACTGCAACCTCCGCCTCTCAGGTTCAGGTGATTCTCCTGCCTCAGCCTCCTGAGTAGCTGGGACTACAACCACGCGCTACCATGCCCAGCTAATTTTTGTATTTTTAGTAGAGACGGGGTTTCACCATGTTGGCCAGGATGGTCTCAATCTCTTGACCTCGTGATCCACCCGTCTCGGCCTCCCAAAGTGCTGGGATTACAGGCATGAGCCATCGCACCTGGCCACAGCTCGTTTTAACTCCCCGGATGCACCTGCACAGACTCAATTGCCTTAAACGTTCCCCAACTGCCACCTGGCAGCATCTGTCACCCTAAACTTCTCTTGGGCCACCTTGCTATCCCAGTTTGCTACATCTCCCTGGGGACATCTTGGGGATCCTGCTTACTTTGCACGATCAAAGGATGTTCAGAACCCCTGAAGATTGCAAAGAATGGACCTCCATCAGCAACCTCTGCACTGTGCAGTCAATGCAAATGCACCGCACAGGCAGCCAGGGCAGGTCCTCCCGGCTCCTAAGGAAATGAAGTTCAAAGGGCGGAGGGGAAGCTCTGCCCACTAATAGGAAACATCCCCAAGCATCCAGCAGGGGCCCAGGGGCCCACGGGCAGAGAAGGAGAGCAGCAGTTCCAGGCAGCAGAATTCCTTCTCTGCCCTCCCTGGGAAGGATCAAAGCAGGATGAAAAGAAAACCCACCTGGTCTGAAGAGGAGCCTTGGCTTGTGGAGCAAAATCAGATGTAAAGGCTTCTCAACACTCTTCAAAGAATCCCACAGAACAGAAGAAAAGGAGGGAGGAAATGATGTCCTGAGATCAAACTGTGAGAGTGATGAGTGACACCTCGGCCAGGGGCATCCACTGGGGGCTATGTCTCAGCTCCTTTCTTCTGTTCAAACAGGTTTGGAAGATTTTCTAGCTTATGTAATCAAGATAACTGGACTCCTTGACTAATACTTTTGTACAGTGGTATTAGAAAGGTGTTCTCAAAATGCATCTAGCACAAAAGGACACTTTCTTCTCTTCCTGTTTCTTGCTGAACAATTTCAAAGAAGCGTGGCCAGGCTGGCTGGGCGTGGTGGCTCACATCTGTAATCCCAGCACTTTGGGAGGCAGAGGCGGGCAGATCACGAGGTCAGGAGTTCGAGACCACCTTGGCCAATATGGTGACACCCCAACTCTACTAAAAATACAAAAATTAGCCGGGCGTGGTGTTGTGCACCTGTAGTCCCAGCTACTCTGGAGGCTGAGGCAGGAGAATCTTTTGAACCCAGGAGGCAGAGGTTGCAGTGAGCTGAGATCATGCCACTGCACTCCAGCATAGGCGACAGAGCGAGACTCCATCTCAAAGAAAAAAAAAAAAAGAAGTGTGGCCAGGTGAACTTTTAGCCTGGAAGGTGGAGTTGACTGTGGTAGTGGAAAGAGAGAGAAGACAGCAGGAAGCAGGGGGTGGGTGGTGGACTGTAATATATAGATATTAGTTGGAATAACTCAAATCACCAGTGGTTTATCGAGTAGTTAAGATATTTCTTTCCTTCTCATTTAAAATACAAAGTAGTGAAATGGTGCAGGGGCTGAGTTAACAGTTCCATGGCATGAGAGGCCCCGAATCTGCATGCCATTCTCTACTTCTACCTCATCCCCCAAAATGGCTGCACCAGTTCAAGCCATCATGTCTACATTCTAATCAGCAGCAAGAAGAAGTAGGAAGAAGCCTACCTTCATTCCTTTCAAGTTCACTGTCTAAAAGCTGCACACTCATGCCCATTTATGTTTATTGTATAGAGTAGTTAGCTCCATTGTGTTTCAGGAGAGCTTGCGTAATATATTTTTTTCCGATAAACTACATAATGTTGACTGAGTCCTGACTTCCCCCAAAAGTGTGGTTGACATTGAGCTAAACTATTTTTAAATCCATTCGAGTAAAATAAAACACCTTGGGAGATAAATGATTAGCAATGACAGTAATTACTTTTTTACATCAACAGACTACTTTTATCTTCCTTTACTACTCCAAATTAAAATACTTACTGAGAATTCCAACAATTGGTAAAAATAACAAATGTATTCCCATTGCCTTTCCATCCTAGACATCCTGAGAATAAATGAAAAGCAACACAGAAGCTGGTTAGTCTTCACCAGCAGATACCCAAAGAAAGAGCACAGAGTTTTTGGGAGGCCGAGGTGGTTGGATCTCCAGAGGTCAGGAGTTCGAGACCAGCCCGGCCAAGATGGTGAAACCCCGTCTCTACCAAAAATACAAAAACTAGCCGGTCCTGGTAGTGGGTACCTGTAATCCCAGCTACTCAGGAGGCTGAGGCAGGAGAATCATTTGAACCTGGGAGGCGGAGGCTGCAGTGAGTTGAGATTACTCCAGACTAGGTGACAGAGTGAGACTCTGTCAAAAAAGAAAGAAAGAAAGAAAGAAAGAGAGAGAGAGAGAGAGAGAGAGAGAGAAAGAGAGAGAGAAAGAGAGAAAGAAAGAAAAAGAAAAAAGAAAGGAAGGAAGGAAGGAAGAAAGAAAGAGAGAAAGAGAGAGAGAGAAAGACAGAAAGAAAGAGAGAAAGAAAGAAAGAGAGAGAGAGAGAGAGAAAGAAAGAAAAATAGAAAGAAAGAAAGAAAAAGAAAAAAAGAAAGGAAGGAAGGAAGGAAGGAAGAAAGAGAAAGAAAGAGAAAGAAAGAAAGAGCATAGAATATCAGGATGGTGAGCAGTATCATTCCCCAAATGGTGTACATTTCATCTTGTCCTTGCAGAACCCCATTTTAGTATTTGGGCTATAGCTTAGATCAATGAAGACTGCTGATGACCAAATAATTAGGCTAATCTATTAATGCCATTAATATACTGGGTCTTTGCTCTATGTATCACCCTGGTCTTACTTTTTTCCCTACTAGTCTATTTATATTTCCTTATGAATTTGTAACAGCTCTTTATTTATTAAAAATAAAATATCTTTGTCATTTTGTTGCAACTAAAATAAGCTTTACTGTAATAAGACAATAGGTCTTTAAAAAAACAACTCAGAAGAAAGAAGCACCGATAGAGTATTCAAGCAGATAAGCAAAATTAGGCAGAAGACTTTTTGAACCTAGAGATATCAGGTGTTAATGTTAGACAGGGGAAAAAAACATTTTCAATGTGAACACTACTCATTTTCAAGGTCTCCAAATTGTTAAGACTACCATGTTCCCAAGCTTTGAAGGCCTTCGGCACATCCCCATACTTTCCACAGAGCGTGTCCTTGCCAAGGAAAAGCAAAAAAGAAACAACAGCTAAAAGTCATTTTAAGACGCCCCTAGTGCCTTATGTAAATATGGGAAGGGACATAGAAGCCCCCTGTAAACTCAAAAGAACCATCCAAATGTTACTGTTCTTTTTTAAAAAATGTCTGTACAAACAGTTGCATTGATGACCAAGTTTGTATTAGAGAAACACAGAAAGGTGGCCAGGAATGGTGGCCAGGAATTGTCCTCACATCTGTGTGGACACAGTTCTGCCAAGATTCTTGGGTGTGTGAGCCCCTGGTTGATATCCCGGAGGTGTGGCCTGAAGCTGCCCACAAGTTGCCTGGAATGAGAAGAAGACTTTACATCTTTCCTCTTCCCTGGCTCCAGGTCTATGTGCAGCAGGATCAGCTCCTCAAATGCATGGAGAGCTGCAGGCTGCACTGCTGCCAAGAGCTTTTTTTTTTTTTTAGTACTGGTGTTTGGGACTTGGGGAGTGATGGGGACCTTCCAGGGGTGAATGAGATGAAGACCCCCTCAACGCAGCTGTGGAAAGACAACAAAGAGCACCAAGACAGCAGTCCCCAGAGCCAGAGACAACCACCCAAGGCTACTTCCTAAGTGGCCTCTAAATCAGTGGGAGAGGAGGGGAGACTTGCAGCTTGAACCGAACAGAACAGGCACATCCTAGGAACACGCTGTGCTGAACCGCAGGCCTTGATATGCAAGCGGGATGAAATCGGCAGACACCCTCCTTTCTCTGAACTTCCTGACTCCTCTGGATAAACCAGCACAGACAAGATTAGAGCAGAAGACAGACAGACCTCCAACCCCCTGGGCTCCCATGGCTGCCCTCCCAGATGAACTTAAAAAAAAAAGCCCTCTGTAACTTGATCCCCTTTGCCTCTAAGAGCTGGAAGCCCTTGGAGGTCCCTGGCACGTCTCCCTGAACACAGACCACATGCTGGCAGTGGGGGCTGACCTCCAGTGCTTTGAAGGAGGGAACCCCCAGCCCCCAACACAGACGCCCACTCTAACAAGGCTCAGAAAATCAGCAGAGGGGAAGAGAGGCTAGAAAACCCTTTCTAAATTTGCCTGCCAGATGTGAAAATCCAGGCAACCCAGGAGGGGCACTCAGAGAGACACAGAAGAACCTTAAATGCTTAAGTTAAGTCCTCCTTAAGGATCTCCTGCTAATCATTTAAGCCAACCCAACGTCTTTACAAAATCGAGGGAATTACCCAAAGCCCTCTGTGTAGGGAACTTCTAAGGGGAGCCTGGGCTTGCCTCCTCCCCTGACATCATGTGAAACAACTCAGGCAACAGTTAATAAATCTTAAGACCCTAGGACGGATTTCATCTTTGTGCAAAATATATATATATATATATATTTCTGCAGAAGGAAAACAAGAAAGGAGCCCAGGATCTGAGTGTAATCAGTTAGCTGATCAGACAGCTGTATAGTCACAGACAGCCAAAAGCTTAGAAAGGAGTGGGAGGGGGCCCGCTGAGAACTCTTGCTTTGGAGAACTTTTTCCAGCTCTTTACCCGTCTATTCAGCAACAGTGATGGGAGCACCCAGCATGTGCTCAGCTCTGTCCTTGGCATGCGACACGCTGGTGAGCAGAATGGCAAAGATCCCACCCCATGAGGCTTCGATAAACAACACACATACTCAATAAGGGCATTTTATAAATGGGTCACATGTGCCAAGGGAAAATAAGGGAGAGCCAAGGAAGGAGCACATGCCCAGAGATAAGGTCTTCCCTGGATGATTAAGCTGTGACAGCACTCGCAATTGATTAAACTTCCACTAATCGGAAGGCACGCTTTTTGGTATGCAGTGATTCCACCTGCAGGAGTCTCGGCTCTACCTGAGTGGACTAGTAATTTCCCACTCTCTGTGATCTAAAAGATGCTGTGTGCAAACCTAACCAGTGCTTCACGACATTGGTCTACCTATTAAAGAGACAACTTTACGTCTGGTCCTTATAGGAATCTGAATATTGCTTTGAGAGGTTCTCCAGATAGCCAGTAAAAATCAAGGTTAAAAAAAAAAAAAGCCAGATGTAAAACGCTACCTCGGAGTGCAAGGACTTCAAGGCAGAGACAAGGAGTGTGAAGTTGGGGATATGTAGGCTTTCTTTCCCTGGTTCCTGTTTCAGGAACATCACACAGCTGGTGTTCCCTGGGGTGTTGGAATCCTCACTGTTACTATAACATCAAGAGTCTCACGTGTTTGTGAACTGGGATAAAAACAAAAAATCTACCTTCAAGTTAGTACATCCATTTCCAGAGCTCCACAAGGAAGGAATTAAGCGGACAGGAAATCATCCAAACATGAGGATAAAAAGGTCTGACAGAGAGTGTTTGAAATATGAGAAGGAGTGCTATGAACTCTCCCAAAGAAAAGAAACAGCAAGGAGACTGATAGAATTGCAAAGGTCTGCAGGGAACAAAAGAATGCTAGGAGCAAGGGGACGAACCTCCCAGACCTGAGACCTCCCCGGGTTTGCAACTTTATTTGTACTTTCAGAACTGGTCCTGGGCAGTTTGGAGGTTCATTTGGATTCCAAGAACCTAAGTGATTCTCAGATTTGTTGTTCTACCCAAGTCAGAAAGTGACTTCAAAACATTTCGTATTGGTGGAATTCCAACCTGCGAAATCAGAAAAAGGTAGGAATGCGATCACAAGTCCTCCTTGGAAAAATCCACACACATTTCCAAAGCCTTTTCTTTATTTAGCATTGCCTAAGCAGCAAAGCATAGCTAATGATGAGGCTGAACTGCGAACACAACACGAGTCCCCGCGAACAATAGAAAAATATCATCAAGGAGTCAAACCCCAGCATAGTGATAATTATTCTTATCGAGTCATTCCCCCATTGAATATAATAAGCCAGACACTATAATCTTCAGGCAAAATGTTGCAGAAACAGCTGTAGTAATGAAAGAACATGCTAACGAGATCAGAGACCATGAAAAAAAAAGGGAAGAAGAAAACAAGAAACTCCCACACCATCTCTTCCAGTTCTCTCTCTTTAAGCCTAATTTCTCTGTGGCTTATTTCTCTTGTTCTCTTTAAAGCAGTCTCTTCAAAGCTGACTGGTTTCTGATTTCCATGGCATTAGACTTAAGTTTGTCATGCCAACTTGGAAGGAGGCCAAAATGTAGATAAAATAAAAACATTCCACATAAAAGCAATGGAGTCTCAACCCAAGCTGGCACAAATGCGGGATATGAAGTGAACACACTCCTTGTTCTGAAACACTGCCTCCAGGAAGCCTCTCTTGCCTTGCACCCAGATGAGCTCTCTCCTGACTCCTGGAAAAGACAGGAAGAAGATGGCAGGGATGCAGGGTTCTGAAAGCTGTTCTCAGTGAGCTGGGTCTTGGGGACTTTTGCATTAAAAACTGGCACTTCAACTAGTGTGTCTCCTGCTGCCAGGGAGCGGAAATGTCACCTCAGCTTAGGGACAGACAGATGGCTAACCAAGATGGTTTCTCATCACTATTGGCTTAGTTCATTCCTGTGCATAGTAGCAGTAGACTCTTTGGATAAATGACTGTGTATTTGAGAAAAAAATGATACATATTTGATATTTAACTTATAAAATAAAAGGAATGACTTCTCAACCTTTCAAAAGAATAGTCTTGCTAGAAATAGTAACTTGGCTTAAATATAGAGTCCCAGCTGGGATGTCTTCATCATATGATTACTTAACTAGAGACATTCTGTTAGGAAATGGGCATACAGTGTCAGCAAATAACCCCTCCCAGAGTACAGATTGCACAGAGAAAATTCTATTTCTCACAAAGCTCTATAATGACCATGTATATAAATAAGAAAGCATCTCTTTATATACGCACATATTTAAATGTAGTATTATAGGCATGCATATATTTTTTAAAAATGCAGCCTCTTCCCATCTAATGAACAAACTCAAGAAGAATTCTATTTTATGCACTGTAATAGTATGACTGTAATAGTAATTAAACCAAAATCACTTAAACATTTACTGCCCAATATTAGACAAATATTTTCACAATAAAGCCTGTTGTATTTATTTAAAACACAAAATGATAATGGAAAATTACCGTGATCACTTAAACCCCAATACTACAGAGGCAAAATAAAACTTTTCTTTCCATTGGTCTAATTTAATGAGCTGGGATAAAGGACTGTGAATAATTAAGGATTAGATCTTTAAGAATATCTACACTCTGTGTTTCCAACAAAATAATTATGAGAGAGAAAGAGATTAGAGTAACGGAAAGAACACCTGGGGGGCAAGGATACATTTCTCCATTTGTCCTGGGTTCTCCTCTCACTAACTGGGTGATCTTGGGCAAGTAACTTACCCTCTCTTTGTCTCAATACTCTCATCTGTGGAATGGGGATAATGCAGGTATCTACCCCATGGGGCTGCTATGGGGACTCACAAACTAATACTGGCTTCATCACGTAGTTACTGAAAGAACCTGACATGTTATTGTACTTGTTTTAGTTTAACTTTCCTCTCTTTTAAAATGAGGATAACTACCAGCCCTTCTTCATGAGCTACAATGATAATCAAAAGAGGTTATTCAGGCAGGAGTGCTGTCATGCACAGCAAGCATTTTAACAAATGCTGGTGATTACTGATCTTCCTTGGCCCCATTCAATATAATGACGGGCAGTTAGAATACAACAGCGATGGTTAATCTTTCTGAAAAATTTGATCTCTCTTTTGAAAATCCAAATGCCAATATGTAAAACATTCAAAAGGCCAATACACAAATGTACCTTTATTGCATAAACGCAAATTTACAGTTATTTATTACGAGGTTGATAAGATGAGGATGCTTTCGTGAATAACAAATTCCTTTGCAAAAGCTAAAAATTCAGATATTACCCAAAAATCATAAATCTATCCCCTATCGCAATATTATCACAAAGCATATTAATTTTTCACCAAGCAGCATCATCTGAGGTTTGAACAATATTTCACAGATAACACAATGAAGAGAACTCAGATGCCAAGTTATACATGAATTCACATATGCAAATCTAAATTTTAAAACGAAATGTGGCATAATCCTGTAACTTTTGCAATCTATGATACATGTAAGACTCTCAGCTTAAAAAAAATCAACATGGAAATCTCCAACTATTTAGAACTAATAAAGTATGAGTGCACTGAGAGATTCAGCCAAAGTAACATTGAAAGGAAAATTTATAGCCTTAGCTATGTGCACTACAAAATTGAAAAAGGGCTGGGCATGGTGGCTCATGCCTGTAATCCCAGCACTTTGAGAGGCTGAAGCGGGCAGATCACAAGGTCAGGAGATCGAGACCCTCCTGGCTAACACAGTGAAATCCCGTCTCTACTAAAACTACAAAAAAATTAGCCAGGCATGGTGGCGGGCACCTGTAGTCCCAGCTACTCGGGAGGCTGAGGCCGGAGAATGGCATGAACCCAGGAGGCAGAGCTTGCAGTGAGCTGAGATTGGGCTACTGCACTCCAGCCTGGGTGACAGAGCAAGACACCGTCTCAAAAAAAAAAAAAAGGAAAGTGAAAAAGAACAAATAACGTTTTATTTCAAGAAACTAGTGGGGGAAACTCAAGTAGGTTAAGATTTTAAGAGATAAAAAAGATTTTTGATAATGACATTAGAAGTAAATGTTAAACGTCTTCTAAAGAGGGTTGATGATGGCCTACATGTCTATGGAACACAGTTGGAAACCATCAGGCTCAATAGGGAGACACTGGCACTGAGGAATGAGAATGCACACGGGCCCCGGAGCTGGCTCCTCTGCCAAGGCTGGGGACTAACACCTTGAATCTCGAGGACATGGTGGGTGGGCGGTGGCGGTCTGTGGAGATGGGCTGGGCTGACACTGAGGTGCAGCCTGGGTATTTCAATATTTTAGTACTTATGTAACTGCTGCCACCTTTCCAGGTCATCTGAGCTGAATGTTGGCACTAAAACTAGACAGCCTTTTTGATGCTTTCCAGCTCTTCTCAAATCTAGAAGTTTTCAGTGTTTGTTAAGGTGGGGTGAGGTGGAGAGATTCCTGAGAACCAGAGAAGGGAGAGCATCCGCGGCCTTCTCCCGTGCCTTCCTCCCTCGCTCCCACACAGCACACACCTGGTCACACAGTCACATGCATGCACACACACACCACACAGGCCACACACTCTCACACTTACACACAACACCACACACTCTCATACATACACACACAACAAACTCTCACACATACAACACACACCACACAAGGCACACACTCTCACACATAAACACGAGCCACACATTCTCACACATACACACACCACAAACTCTCACACATACAACACACACCACAAACAAGCCACACATATATACACCATACATACCACAAACTCTCAAATATACAGCACACACACCACACACAAACCACACACTCTCATACATACAGACAACAAACAAACACCACACACTCTCACACATACACACCACACACACCATAAACTCTCACACATACAACACATACACACCACGCACAAACCACACACTCTAACAAATACACACAACATCACACATTCTCACATATACACACAACCAACACTCACACATACATGCTACACTCACAAACATAAACACAAAGCCCTCTCAAATACACACAACACACACACAACAGACACAGCACACCACTCTCAAATACAAGCAATGCTCACACACATAAACAAAACACTCACACACACTCTCATCCATACAGGCATTTACATGCATATACATACTCTCAAATACATATGTACTCTCAAATACAAGTAACACTTACACACATACACACAACACTCGCACACACATACATACACACAGCACCACATACATACAACACTCAAACCCATGTAAACACAACACATGCAACACGCATATGGTCACAGTCACATGCATAAACACATCACACACTCTCACACATACACACATCTACACACACACACTCCCACACACAACACACACACAACACACATACATGCACACACATACACATAAAAACAGCACTCACATAAACACACAGCGTTCATACAACACACATGCACATACAACACCCATACATATACACACAATACTCACACACACAACACATACACACAAATAATCAGTAAGGCATCTAAACCTTACTTTTCAAAACATGACACTATGTGCCCATGTCATATTTTCTAGCCCTGGACTCCAAAATTCACATTTTCTTTAGCAAATTCTGAGCTGTCTGGAGGGTGGAGGTCTCTACAGGGCCACTAGGCAGATGTCCAAGACCCCAGGGCACTTGGCAAGAGCCACTGCAACTCCTTGAAGAATAAAGATAATCTCAGAGATGATTGGGAACATGCCGATTCCCTTTCTAGAGGAAAAGAAGGGAGAGCCAGGGCTCTGGGACACCCACTCAGGTCCACAGTGGACACACCAGGGGAGGCCCATCCATGAAGGCCAGCACCTTCCCACAGCATGGACTCAGAGCCTCCTCCCAGGTATCAGGGTGACAGGTGCACCAAAGAGTTGCTGCAGGAGCCTACGGCTGTGAGGGTTGCAACCTTTTATTTTTGATCCTTCAAGAAAATCAGAAGTGGTGCCTGAGGGCTTTGGCTTAAAACCTTGACATGTGAGAATTATATGGTCTATCACTTCCAAGAAAACCACTGTGGCTCACAGCAGAGAGAGAAAGAGAGAGAAAGAGAATACATCTTCAAGGAAGAGCTGTTAACAATTTTGAAACAGAAGACAGAAAACTGATGTGGCTCTTAACATTAATATTTCTAGACGATAGTTCTGGGGCTGGCTGGAAAAACAGCTTTTCTAACAACAGAAAAAGGACTGCAGAAGAACAGGGAGGCATACCTTCTTCAAACAAATCACCTTTCTCCATCTTCCCAGAAGTGAAAGAAATGCTTAGATGTCTTAAGACATTAAGAAACCATTTTAAATCATCTCCCCGAAAAGCCCTTTCATATGTGCAAACACTACTTGAAGCATGTTTGTGTGTAATAATGAAAAACAAAATACCATACATGCCCATCACCCAAGAAATGTTTGCAAACATGTGGCATCATCATATGTCCCATAAAATGTAGGAGTTGAAATGCATAAGCTAGACCTACAGGCGTCATCAGGGCTTGAGCTTGAAACTATCATGTTGGGTGAAAAAAATAAACTGGAGAAAGATACAGTATGATACTCTGTATGCCTAGTTTCAAAATGTTTGAAGCAACTTTGTTGCTTGTGGTTAATGGATTCAACCACAACTTCTATGAATGAGTACAACTTCTACGAAAAACAGTATGGAGATTTCTCAAAGAACTAAAAATAGAACTACCATTGGATCCAGCAGTCCCACTACTGGGTATCTGCCCAAAGGAAAAGCAATCATTATATCAGAAAGATACCTACACTGGTATGTTTATTGCAGCACTATTCACAACAGCAACTTAGGATTCAACCTAACTACCCATGAATGAATGATTGGATTCTCAAAATGTGGTATACATAAATATATACAATGGAATACTACTCAGCCATTAAAAAGAATGAAATCATGCTTTATGTAGCAACATGGATGGAACTGGAGGACATTATCCTAAGTGAAACAAGCCAGGCACAGACAGTCAAATATCACATCTTCTACTCATAAGTGGGTGCCAAAAAAATGTGTACATGTGATGTAGAGAGTGGAATCATAGACAAGGAAGACTCAGAAGTATTGAGAAATTAGTTAATGGGTACAATGTACATTATTCGCATGTTGGATGTTCTAAAAGCCCTGATTTGGCCACCATGCAAGAAACAAAATTGCACATGTACCCATAAAGTTGTACATTAAAACAATTAGAATAGATAAAACTCGATTGCTTATTGATGTGCATATATTACAAAAAGTTCAAAGATATGGACTGGAAAAATTAGCACCACATTCACGTTAGTGAATGATAAAGGGGTAGAGATGGGGATGGAGGGAGGACTGTTGGAAGGAGTAGAGAAAACAGGATTGGGGAGCAGAGGAAGGGGCCAAAGTAACAAGGGACTGGGGGGCAGGGGGAAAGAGGGAGTATCCTCTGGGGAGGGTGCAAAGGATTTCAACTTTATCAGTGATGTTTGCTTTCTTTCATTCTTTTATTGTTGGATAAAAATCTGACACAAACAGGATGAAATTCTAGCATCTGTCATTTTGTGGCGGATGTTAGTTATCTCATTCACTATGCTATTCTCTCTTTTTAAGTATATATATATGTATACATTTAAAGGTCTTTTCATTTTTATAACAGGGAAATGTTAACAGTCATGTATATAAAAATCTGATGTTTCTAACAGCTTCTTTTCATAGTCTACCTTCCTAACTGAAAACTCATGGATTCTATTTTTGGTTAAAACTAGAATTTTTCTACTAGGAATTCAGAGTGGGGACATGAGATATAAGTGATGACAGGCATTCCAGAAGATGATTTTCAAAATGAAGGGAAAAGAGTTTAGAGGCATTCTGACTAAATGGAGCAGTCAGAAGATGATCTATAAAATGAATAAAATGAGTTTTTTTCAAATCAATCTATTAAATGATATACACTTTAAAAACATTTTTTAGAGATGGGGTCTCGCTCTGTTGCCCAGGCTGGAGTGCAGCGGTGCACTCACAGCTCATTGCAGCCTTGGACTCCTGGGCTCATGTGATCCTCCTGCCTCAGCCTCCTCAGTAGCAGGGACTACAGGTGCACACCACTATGCCGGCCCTAGAAATACACTTTTAAAAAATGTTGCTTGTATAACATATTCGAGGTTGGTTATGGGGATCACACAGCAGAGAGGAATCACCACCAGATTTTCAAATCACATTAGTTTACTCAATCAAATTGTTGGCCATGGCAACAGAAGTGTAAAGAGAACATGATGTGGGCTGTTGTGACTGGGGCTTTATGTGCACATGCTGGGGGTGTTCAAATATCACGTGCATAGGTGTGTACTTGTTGGCATTGTGCCTGTATACTTGTGCACTTGCAGAGACACCTGTGGGCGGTGGCAGTGATGCTATCTTCTACTCACTGGCTTCATCAGACCCCTGATTTCCCGGGATTTGGTATTGTGCAGACATAACCAGAATGAAAAAGGCCCTCGCCTACAGGCAAATAGAGCGCTTCGTGCCATAGGGACAGCAAGGAAATACACATGTACACATGGACACAGGCATCTAGCACCGAGGCTGTCACGAACTTCCTCGCAGCCGTATTTTACAAGTTTCCATTCAACGGGACAAATCGAACCTCAGCACCTTTAATGAAGACAATCTTGAGTAAATATTTGGCTTTATAAATTTGAGGAACATATCTTCTCAGTAATGTTTAGCCACCCAGACATCTTGGGACCAGCTTAATGGTCTCCACATGCCTTCTCCATGGGGTCCAGCTCTGGGAGCCTCCTCCGCCCCCAACAAAGCTGACTAGCCAAGGCAGAAACTGCAGGGGGTCTCCGAGGTGCAGCACGGCCAGACCTCCGCATACCATCTTCTGATCAAGGGGCATCCATCTGTGGGACGATAATTTAAACCATCTCCTTGTCCACAAACACAGAGAATAAAAAGAACAGTGGGACTCTGCCCCCCAGTAGATCCTGGGCTGGGAAAACACAACTTTGTTCTTCCCTAAGAACCTATATTTTCACAAACCAATAAAAGTTAATCCTCTTTCCGCCAAACCACCTTTACCACACGCCTTCAGCCTTGTACAAATGGCCAGAAGGCTTTGCAGTCCTCGGTCCTCAAAGGATTAATCTTCAGCCTTCCAACTGCTTTTCCTTCTTCCCCACTCCCGGACAGAGTTTACTTAGATCAGAGTCATAAAAGTATATATATATATTTTAAACAGAAAGAAAAAAAATCCAACTATGCTAATACTAGGGTTTTCATCTCCGAAATAATCCGAAGGTTCAACCGTATTGCGGTCTTTAAGAATGAAATACTGAATTCCTGAGATGAAACAAATAGAAATGCTTTGCAAATCCCCGGGTTACCAAAACCTTGCCTTGGCCAATGATGTCTGCGCTGGATTTGTCACTCAAAGAGCAGGCCTGCTCCTTCCCCTGATAAGTCCTGGGGCCTAGGGTAGAAATCTCCGACTCAAGACAATAGCAATGGAAGTTCTCATGGAAACCAAGGGTAAGGAAAACATGGAAAAAACAAAACAAAACCCAAAGCACACAGAGGATAGGCAGGGATGCATCACAACAGTTATCCAAATCTTAAGCCAGAGTCCGACAACCTTAGCTACTTTATAACTGGCTCAAATCACAACGGTGTTTTACAGGTTGGTGCAAAAGTAATTGCGGCTTTAGCCTTTTTTTTTTTTTTTTTTTTTTTTAAGACAGAATCTTGCTCTGTCACCCAGGCTGGAGTGCAGTGGTGCGATCTCAGCTCACTGCAACCTCCACCTCCCGGGTTCAAGCGAGTCTCCTACCTCAGCCTCCTGAGTAGCTGGGATTATGGGTGCCTGCCACCACACTCAGCTAATTTTTGTATTTTTGGTAGAGACAGGGTTTCACCATGTTGGTCAGGCTGGTCTCAAACTCCTGACCTCGTGATCTACCCACCTCAGCCTCCCAAAGTGCTGGGATTACAGGCGTGAGCCACTGAGCCTGAGCCTGCCATTATTTTTAATGGTAAAAACCACAGTTAATTTCGCATCAAACTAAATACCACTGGGCCCCATCCCTAGACAGCAGCATCCTGCCCTCTGTTTGATGTAAGCCGGGGGGTCAGTGTTAGTTCTACCACAACAGTTCCTTCCCCACAGTCAGTGTCATCCCCTCATCCCAATTTGGTCTTATCCATAGATGATGGATATTTTTCATTTAATAATTACTCTTTTTTACCAGCTCATCTAGATATTAGCCTTGTTTTAAGCAACCATGTCTATGATATTAAAGTTTGATGGGCTAGTTATTTTGAAATAGCTCAGCCTAAAAATAGCCCCAAAGCTTTCCAATCACCCGCTTTCTCACTCTGTAAAACACAAAATAAAATTCTAAGCTCCACTCCCCATGCCCCCACACATCTGACTGGGCTTTCTCCTTGGCTAGGGCACTCTAAAATTTAACCTGAAAGACTGGTTCTGACCATAACGGGAAGTGGGGGGTCAAGCAGACCTCATTCTACCCTCCAGCATTAACATGGACACAGACTTTAAGTCTAATAAGAAACATTCACATCTATTCTCTCTGAAGCCTGCACCCAGAGGCTTCATCTGCATAAAACTTGGTGTCCACAACCTCTATCACAACCCAGACACTCCCTTCTGTTGACAAAAACTCAACCAATGATCAGTCAGAACATTTTTAAATCTACCTATAACCTGGAAGCCCCCTGCCCCTCAAGCTGTTGTGCCTTTCTGGACCGAACCAATGTATTTCTTAAATGTATTTGATTGATGCCTTCTATCTCTCTAAAATGTATAAAACCAAGCTGCAGCCGGGCGCAGTGGCTCACGCCTGTAATCCCAGCACTTTGGGAGCCTGAGGTGGGCAGATCACGAGGTCAGGAGATCGAGACCATCCTGGCTAACACGGTGAAACCCCGTCTCTACTAAAAATATAAAAAAATTAGCCGGGCATGGTGGTGGGCACCTGTAGTCCCAGCTACTCGGGAGGTTGAGGCAGGAGAATGGTGAGAAGCCAGGAGGCGGAGGTTGCAGTGAGCCGGGATCGCGCCACTACACTCCAGCCTGGGTGAAAGTGTGAGACTCCATCTCAAAAAACAAACAAACAAACAAACAAACAAACAAACAAACCAAGCTGCGCCCCGGGCACCTGGGGCACACGTTCTCAGGATCTCCTGTGGGCTGTGTCTCGGGCCATGGTCACTCATGTTTGGCTCAGAATAAGTCTCTTCAAATATTTTACAGGGTCTCTTTTTGTCGACAACTCCTTGTTTAATTTTCATCACAACTGATATTTTCTTGTTTGTTTCTACCTGTCTTCCTTATTAAGCAATCTGCTAATGAGGAAGACAGGGGCTGCCTGCCCCATTAAAATCACTCCATCTGGGTCTGGTAAATGATTAAGTGAATAAATGGTGTGATATGACACTGACTCCACTTGCCTTATGATGTAATCTGCACACAGACAAAAAGGTTGGGGATAAAAGAAAACCTAAAAGGAAAAATTACACCACTAAAAGTAAATTTTACTTAAATAGTCGTTCTAACATTTTCCCCCTACGACACGGCTAATCTTGAGCTTCCCAGAATTAAGGAAGTTCAATGTTAACAACAACAACAAAAGCCTCTGCTTTATTAAAAATACAATTAATTCCTGAGTGCTGTTTTACTACGTTGTTAAGAAAGAAAAAAAAAATATTGTGAAGTCGGTAACGAGATGTGGGAGCCATAAAGACATCTGATGAATCTCGAAACTTCTCTGCCTCTTACCTTCCAGCCTGCTCCGTCTTAGGGGCACAAAGGCTAATAGAGATCCTGCTTCAGTGTTCCCTTCCTCGAGAGTGACAGTCTAATTACCCACGCTGTAATCCTGGGGCTTTGCAGGAGCTGTCTCCAAGCACATTTTCTTTTCCTGGGGCTACTGTTCCAATTCTAGATATTGTGGAAGCCTGGGCTGCTCCACCTCACACTAGGCTCAGGGCAGGATGGAAAACCAAGACCCCTCTGGAGAACCAGGATGATTTGTACATCTGCCTTTGCAAAGATATCTGAACCAGAGGGGGATAAGCGTCAGCCAAAGGCTCAGAAGTATTCATCTTTATAATTTTCTCCAGCAGATCTGGCAGCTCGAAAAGTGAAACCCTGCTACACTTGGAAAACAACACTCTCATATCCAGAGAATCGGACACGGAGAAGAGCCCAGGGAGGCTGGGGGGTTCATGGAGTGATGGTGGTGGGGAGGAATGGAGGTGCTCAAACCAAGACAGATTTTTGTCTTACTGCCTCTTTTGCAATTTGATAAATAATTGTACAGTTCCCTCACCCTCATAAAAACAATAAAATGTGACAAATGGTATTTATTCACCTGACAGAAGTGATATTTATCTTTGAAGAAACATGAATGCATGCATTCATTCATTTACTCGTTCATTCCAATACTGTGTGAATACTGGCCATGTCCTGAGTATGGCGTCAGGACCCAGGAATACCACCAAGTACAACCTCCGCACGTGTGCAACGAGGGACCACATATGTCCTGCTCACTGTGGGGCTGCAGACCGAGGAGCAAGAAGCTACCACCGCAGAACCTGCACTCAAGGAAACTGCTAGCTGTCCAACAACCGCACTGCGATGACCTCAGGTCACTGAAATCCTCTTACTGGGAGGGCAGCCTGACAGCCGGGTTGCTGGTGATCCTTCCAGGTCACCAAATGGGGGAACAGCAGGATCCAACTGGGGGAGCACCAGATGCCCACTGGTGAAAGCCCCGAACTGGAAACAGCCACGATATCCTTCAGCAAGTCATGGCCAAGCGATGTAAAAGCATACAGGGAGGTCCATGCTACCATGAAAACATCTCCAAGACACTGAAAAACTTCACAGGAAAGACAAGTATGTATAAACTGCACATTTTAAGTAACTTTCATGAAGAATATACACTCTGTATATACATATATACATACATGTGCATGTATATACATGCATGTATACACATATACAGATATTTAGATACATTTATACAGGCATATAATGCACACACAGAGACACCCATGTATTTTTGTTTTCTGGAAGGATCACAGCAAACGGCGAATGGTGATCCTATGGAAGGTAATCTGTACTGGGGCTGGCAGATTCAATGTTCATGTTTACCTTTCTGTCATGGCCCAATTTTTTAACTAGATACAGTCACTAATGTTTTCCTTGTTTGAAACTTCCAAGAGGATTCTGGGCATTGAATTTAGGGATCTGCTATTAGTTTCTTTCTTTCTGTTTTCCTATACAAAATTAACAGCAGCAGCACTAGCACTTACTGTGACAATAAATAAGAACATGCACTAAAGCAGGACTTATTTGAGACGAACACACTCCCAGCTGGTGTGTGGGCAGCCGCTGCCCTTCTGCAGAGTATCAGGCCTTCAAGTAGTACCTCTCCTCCCCTCTAGCTCAGGAATTCCTCTACTTTTAGGAATTTATATAGATCTACTTAAAATGTTTTCCATGACTTATATGTAAGATTGTTTATAAAATTTTATAACAGTAAAAAATTGGAAATGAAGATATTCATTAATGTAATTGAATGTAGAACATAATCACTAATGTCTCGTTCTTGAAGATCATGTTCTGAAGTCAGAAAATGCTCACAACATTTTTTTTAAAATTTTTTTGAGGTAGGGTCTCACTCTGTCACCCAGGCTGGGCTGCAGTGGTACAATCATGGTTCACTGCAGCCTCAACCTCCTGGGCTCTGGGAATATAGCTGCAAGCCACCATGCCTGGCTAATTTTTGTATATTTTTGTAGAGACAGGGTCTCACCATGTTGCCCTGGCTGGTCTTGAGCTTCTGAGCTCAGGTGATCGTCCCGCCTCGGCCTCCCAAGGTGCTGGGATTACAGACGTGAGCCACCGCCCTTGGCCCACAACATGATTGTTGATGACCAAAAAGGAACCTGTAAAAACCGACTGGTTTTAACTTTGTAAACAAACATGATTTATAAGCCTATACACACATCTATGCTATGACAGACATACACGGATGTGATACCCACACACATGCACTCATGGACGTGGAGAGTCAGCAAGTAAGTACTAGATTAAGAAAAATTGGCAGAAAGTACAAAAAATTACTGACAGTTGATATGGCTGATCAACCTCTCCTTTTAGGCCGGTGGAGACTACTAGTGGTTTGCATGTCATACTTTACATGTTATGTTGGTTTTATAAGCTGAAAATTTGACCATAAGCATTCCCCTGTTTAATTTCAACCACCACCACATCTGGTAAGCAACCCTCTATTTGCACTTCCACTCCTGATCATAAGGAAGGTGGATTGTAGACAGGCTGCTTGCCACGTGACTCTGTGGACACTGAATAAAGACTGGCCCACAGCGACTCTCTAAGCAGATCACACGTCCACAAATTAGTTTCCATGTAGCACAGAGCATATCTGGGGAAATGCTCTTTACTGAGATCTGTCCCTTTATTGAAACGACTGCATTTTAAGCAAAGACCCTTCTGGGAAGTTTTCTCAAAGAGCTGCTTACAGGCCTGGCTGTCTTCTGGACTTCCCTCCCTCTCTTTCCCCTCCTTGCCTTTCCTTGTTCTTCTTTCCTCCTCTCTTCCTCTCTTAATCGATGCCGCCTCCCCAGCGTGCAGTGTTTCAGCTGCACACAGGTACCCAAGCGTCCCCTCAAAGACTCCAGCCTGAGCGCAGCTGAGCATACGCAATCAGGCAAGCTGCTTCCCGGCTCCCTCCAGGACGGTGTCTTGCAAGGGAATTACATTTTCTCCACTGCCATTGGCCACCCGCTGGTTCCTGATCCACACTCTGTTACCGTGCTTATTGGCAAAGCCCATAGATTCTATCTGGAGCCTGGGGAGGCGACAGAGGTGCATCTATCAGTAATCTAATTCCACACGCCTGGTGAAAGGAGCCAATGTTATCACAGCAAAGATTCGCCTCTTGCTATATTGATTTTTCTATTAACAATAAAGGACAGCTGGTCCCCCAACGAGCAAGGCTATGAAGAGAAGACGAACGTCCCCACTTCCCTCTTGGCCTGTAATTTGTGAATATTCTTCGGCTAAAATTCCTGCTTCGTCACGCCTGACAATCTCTCCTTTTAGGCCAGTGGGCTCTCCATTCTGTGTACAGTGGCTCAAGGCCAATCTTCCACTGATGGACCTGACACTTTGTCTTCCACGTCCCCCATCAGTCCAGGCTCAGGAAACTAAGCTGCTTTTAACTGATAGAATTCTTGGCTCTGGTTCCATATCCTTGCACCAAGCCAGGACCTCACTGAAATATTTCTCCTGGAGTTGGCATATAAATTCTTCATTTTTCTGGAAGTTTTCTTCTGTAATGCTCTCAGTACTTCACCCACAACGATGAATATTAGCTGGTTTGCTTGTTTGTCTGTTTAATTCAGTCCTGCTCCACCAGAATATGACACACACAGGAGCAGAGACCTTCTCCACCTTGTTTATGGCTGTATCTGCAGTCCTAGAACAGGGCAGGCACTTGAAAATATATGCTGAATGAATGCATGGGTTCTGCCTTCTTTTACATAATAATATTGCATATTTAATCTTCCCTGGGCCTATTCCTCCTGTTTGTCATTTCAATGGATATCTCTCCTCCAATATGGACAGAAGAGCATGGTTAAAGAGTTAATCTATGTAAAACTCAAGAAACCTTAAAGAAAACAGAGCTGTTTTGGCTAGAGATTATTCCATGCTTACATATAATTGGTGCACAAAATATTAAATAAAGTAGCACCCACTAGATGCTTCACAAGGGTCTTTTGGGGCAGTTTCTCAGACCTATTTCTGTTGGTTACTGATGTCCTTTGAACTCCCCAGAGTCTCTGAAGTGAGCTCTTAGGAGTGACGGGCGTGCGAAAAGATGAAATTGACTCAGACCCCCATGGCGTAGCCATATGTTGTTTTTTGCTGTCCAGCATCCTCCTAACAGGGAATTTCCTCTTTCCCACTGTGTGTAGTGTTTGGAAAGAAGGTAGTCCAGTAACTTATTGCTGTGTCAAAACCATTCCAAAAATTTCTGTCTTAAAGCAACATTTATTTCACTCATGAATCTGTCATTTGGGCAGGGCTCTGCCAGGACGTCTTGCCTCAGCTCCACATGGTATTACTCAAGGCGGTTCAAATGCTGGGGTTAGAACCATGGAGAAGCTCAGTCACTCACATCTAGCAGCAGAGTTGTCTTTCAGCTGGACTGTCAGCGGGAACACTTACAGGCAGCCTCTCTACATGGCTTGAGCTTCCTCACAACATGGTGGCTGGGTTCCAAGGGCAAGCAACCCAAGAGAGACAGATGGAGGCTGGCAGAAGCCACATCAACTTTTATACCCAGCAAATTTGATTCATCAGATAAGTCACAAAACATCTCAGGTTCGAGAGGACGGAAAATAGTTTCTATCTCTTATTGAGAAGTAGTAAGATTCTGGGAGAGTGTGTGGGTCTGGTAATATCACTATGGTCATTCTGGGGAGATACATTCTGGCACTTCAGGTGGGCCAAAGTCCTGGCTTTCCACCACACAAGCCTTAGGGTCTCTGCTGGACCTTCCACCACATCCTGTCTTCAGTCTCATTGGAGTTAGGCAATAGGCCAAAGAGGTGATCTCCGAGAATGTCTTTCTTGAACTGAAAGTTTTTATTGAGATGATTAGAGGTGTACATGTATTTGTAAGAAATAATACAAAGAGATCTCATGGACTCTCTACCCAGTTTCTCCCAATAATGACATCTTACAAAATAATAGTACACTACCACAATCAGGATATGGACACTGATGCAATTCTCTGATCTTTTCTGAGATGTCCACAGTTTTACTTGCACATGTACATGTGGTTGTGTCTTTAGTTGTAACAATGTTTTCCCATGTGTAGGTTGTATGTCCACCCCCACCAGGTAAGGATACAGAGATTTCTATCTACACAAGGAGCCCTCCTTTCTCCCTTTATAGCCAGAGCTGCATCCCTCCACCACCCTCTCCATCTCTAACACCTGGAACTCACTAATCTCTTCTCCATTTCTGACATTTTGTCTTTTCAAAAATGTTATTTGGGTGGGATCATATGATATGCAGCCTTCTGACGTTGGCTTCTTGTCACTCAGCATACTTCCTTGGAGGTTCCTCCAAGTTGCTGTGAGTATCGACAGTTTCCTCCTTTTAATTGCTAAGTGGTATTCCATGGTACACGGTTTGTTTAACCATTTCCCCACTGAAAGACAGTTTCTCCAAGATGTTTAATCTTAAGCAGTGTCATCATAAGGGCAAAAGAAATGTTGGCATTATTATTATTATTATTATTATTATTATTATTATTATTATTTTTCAAAAATGGCAGCCTGGACAGGGACCTCAGCTCCTCCTACAAATCATGGCTGGGCTCCTCTTTAGTGTTAATGGTTTACAAGCCAGGTTTTGTGAGTCCCTGATAGGGCTCTGACAGGTCTGCTTTTGCTTAAATTATCCCAAATCAATTTCTATTGCAGGCAAACAATTGTGTGCCTAATTGACACACCCCTAGAGCATGGGCCTCACATCAACAATCCGAAAATGGACATTGGTGATGGCATCTCATTTCTTGGAGGCCTATTTTAAAATCCTTTATTATTAAATGTTGATATCTTCACCTTTTTCTTTCTTTTTTTTTTTGTATTTATCTTCACCTTTTTTTGTTTCATTTTTGAGACAGGGTCTTGCTGTGTCGCCCAGGCTGGAGTACACTGGTGTGATCTCAGCTCACTGCAGCCTTGACCTCTTATCTCCCAGGTGCAAGTGATCCTTCCACCTCAGCCTCCCAAGTAGCTAGCTGGAACTAAAGGCATGAGCCAACACTCCTGACTAATATTTTTTAATTTTTTTGTAGAGATGAGGTCTTACCATATTTCCCAGGCTGTTCTCAAACTCCTGGGCTTAAGCGATCCTCCTGCCTTGGCCTACCTAAGTGTTGGGATTACAGGCATGAGCCCTTGCACCTGGCCATCTTCACCTTTTGAATATGTTATTGTCAACTAGACTTTAAAAGGTAAATAAAAAATCAGCAAAATAATAGAAATGAAAGGGATACAAATCCTAAATATTTTGGCACAACAAATAATTCAAGAAACAGCTATGCTCACTAATCAATGGAAGTCAACAATAACAAAATTGTCTCACACAATTCCACAAAATGGAGATTTGTAGACATTCAAAATGCAAAAAAAAAGAAAAAGAAAGTTTACAGGCAGTCTCACTTGATCTCACACTTCACTGAAGCTTGAATAGTGAAATAAAAGGAATTAATTTTATGACAAGGGCAATTCATCCGAGAAAAATATACTTAGAAAAAAACCACCTACAGAAACAAAAACAGGAGCGTTCCTAACTAACAACTTTTGGCGACTTGGGTTGTGCCTTATTGGACTATAGGGCTGATTCAACAGGTTTTTTTTCTTTCTTTCTTTTTCAATATCCTTGAGATGATAATCTTTACATTGACAATTTTTTCTAAACACTGCCGCCAACAATTTCATCACCTGGAAATGTCCAAGATCTCACACAGAGCAGGACTTTCTTAGATCATCCCGCGTCTGTTCAAGAAGATGCAAGATGGGAAGGTCAGTGAAGACTGTTCACTTTGGTGGCCCTTTTTTTTTTTTTGAGATGGAGTCTCACTCTGTCACCCAGGCTGGAGTGCAGTGGCGCAATCTCGGCTCACTGCAACCTCCACCTCCCAAGTTCAAGCAATTCTCCTGCCTCAGCCTCCCGAGCAGCTGGGACTACAGGTACCCACCACCACGCCTGGGTAATTTTTGTATTTTTAGTAGAGATGGGGTTTCACCATATTGGCCAGGCTGGTCTCGAACTCCTAACCCTGTGATCCGCCCATCTCGGCCTCCCAAAGTGCTGGGATTACAGGCATGAGCCACCGTGCCTGGCCTGGTGGCCCATTTTTTAATATCCCTTCCTTTGGTGACAGCACTCCAATTGCTTCTCATGGTAACAGCCTCTCCAAGACTAAGGCAAGGGGTCCTGTACTCCCTCAGTCAAAACAGAACACGTGAACCGCACTTGGCCCAACAGACAGACACACACACACACACTGTCTCTCTGTCTCTCTCTCTCTCTCTCGGGACTGCAAATCTTGAGTGGAGGGAGTCAGAGAAAAAAAGATGCAGGAGTTAGCATTCCATTAGCAACCCTCTGACAAGGTCATTGTGTTCTTGTTAACTGATAAGTGTGATATTACTGATCTTGATCATCCTAATGTCTTTCTTGTAATTCCTTCTCTATTAGGGCAACCACAGGGCTTCTGTGGCTGACCACAAAGGAGGCCTGCTCTACAAAGACGAGCAGAGAGTCCAGATCCTAAGCAGTTTGCCTTATGGCCAACATTGTATTTACCCTCCCTCACTGGAACATCTCAGTCTAAGTCACAAAAGTAGGATATGAGTTAACAGGGATTTTTAAGATCCACCCAACTGTCATGATGGAGATGGAGATGCGTAAGCTCTAGGGGAAGTAAGGTCTGGGGGGAAGTGTTTTTGCCATGATAAGAAAGGATCCCCTGCAAGGTGAGGGCCCACAACTTCTGACTCCTGCTGGAGTACTCTTTTCTTGGAGCAACAAATTACTTCTACTCAGGTTTCTTTCCTAACTGTCATGAAAGCATATGCCAGTTCAATATTTTAAGGCTGCTATGCTAGAATGCAACACATCTCTCCGTGATCACTTTAACGTATCCAATCTATTGATAAAACCCCAATTAAGTGTCTCCTGTCAATTAATTAAAGCTGAGGCAAATGAAATACTGGTTTTTATTTAAAGTTTAGTAAAAAATGGCATGCAATTAGCTGGCAACAGACGCGATCTCAGCAGGGTTTCAATTACGTTATGGATGATAGTTTTCCTAATTCAATACAAAGCTGTAATTAAGAATGTAATTAACTCTTGAAGCTGTAGTGATGTCATGCACCACAAGAACACATAATGACCCCTGTTGTTCTCGTGCAAAAGCCTTTAGCAAGTCAAATTAGTCCTCTAGGGGAGTGTGTGTTTCTACTTATCATTTAAGTACACAAAATGATTTCTAATGGGCCTTTAGCCAGTAGGTTGGTTACATGTACGATGCCAGGAAAATGCAAGTAACATCACTTTTCCAGCACCTGCTCTCCAGAGATTTGGAGAACTAGAAATTTGGAGTTGTTTTTCATTACTGATAAAGAGCCATTTGTGGTCCAGCAAAAAAGAAAAGGAAACTCAAAACTGGTCCTCTAGGAATTTATCTTCAAACACAAGTCAAGTTCAGTATTTTTTCCAAACTTCTGTTTTTGATTCATTCCTCAGTAAGAGTTAGGGTGAGATCCGTGTCTGTTTTTTTCACCACCATGTCCTCAAAGCCGAGCCCCAGCCTGACATCCAACAGGTCCTCAATAAACACTTCTTGTCTAAACTAACTCACATACACTGTCCTCTTTCCAAACTGTCTATATTTTTGATGTCTTCTCTGAGACCATAGCACAAATGGCAGAGCCAAAATTTACTTGTTTCTGAGATCTTTACAATTTCCACTAATTTATAACTTTTTTGAGACAGAATCTCACTCTATCACCCAGGATGGAGTACAGTGGAGTGATCCCACTGCAACCTCACTGCTCACTGAAACCTCTGCCTCCCAGGTTCAAGCCGTCCTCCTGCCTCAGCCTCCCTAGTAGCTAGGACTACAGGTGGGTGTCACCAAGACTGGCTAATTTTTGTATTTTTAGTAGAGACGAGGTTTTGCCATGTTGGCCAGACTGGGCTCGAACTGCTGACCTCAAGAGATCCGCCCACCTTGGCTTCCCAAAGTGCTGGGATTACAGGCATGAGCCAATGTGACTGGCCTAATTTATAACCTTTATTCTCCTCTAAAGTGCTCCTTTAAGAAAAAAAGTTCCTAAGGGAATTATGTAAAAGGAAACAGAAAAGAAATGTAGACTATATCAAACTTTCTTTTCAGCTTGACTCATCTTGTTTGTGGGCGGGTTTGTTTCTCCATAGATGTGAGTTTGCCCAGTTTTCTTCCTTCATGTTTCATCATCTGGTATTTGAACATCCAGTACCAAGATCCGGACCCCTAAACAATTGATAAACATTTCTGGCTTGAACAGATAAACGTGTTATCAGCTGAGTTTACTGAACGTCTGTTCTTACTTCTTTTTATTGTATAACCACATGGCAACCCAGTTGCTCTTGGCTTTGTTCCTCAAAGAAATCAGTTAAGAAAGGAGAAAGTTTTGCTTAGGAAAAAAAAAATGAGTACAGAACTGCATTTGGTGCAGGTCAGTAGAGAAGATAAGAGTCTTCTCAGAAGATTATGATGGAATATGTGGTTTTGAGCAGCCAAAAAGTCCCACATGGGAATTAAACACATGCCTGAAACAGATTTGGTTACTGAGCAACAGAAAAGATCAAGCCCTCAGGATATTTATGTAACTGCATTCTAAAGTACATAAGGGTGATAGCTATTCAAAAAATTGAGGTCACATGGATATATTGTTAAGGTCCCAGCTTTAGTTGCGGGTGGTGGGTTCCCAGGTACTCATTACACTATTTAAAAATAAACAAATAACTATGTAAATATGAGTGAGTCACAGATGGCCCCAGGAAAGGAGTGTATCTTGGAACAAGGGTTATGATTAAGCCAATTCTGTACCTGTGGTCAAAATAATAACAATAATATTAATAATGAGACAAAAAAATTAACTTGAGGTGATATAACATTAAAATTGTTTAAATAAAAAGCTGTTAAAAATAATGGGACAGAGACAGTCTCTTCCTCCCCACCCCTTGACACCAGAGGTCCATGAATAGGCGTAATTTTAAGTTGTATTGTGGTCTTTGCATGTCTGTGACACAGAGCTTCAGAGCCTGTTTCCCCAACATTCTACAGCTGCATTTTCTATTGCAAAGCCTGGTTTCCACCAAAGATTTCACAGTGGGCCCTCACTCAGTTCCTTTCTAAATGGGATGCCTGCTGAACTCCCATCCCTTCCCAGGAATGGAAACGTCCTGTCTCCAAAATCAACTACAAATCCTCAGTGAAGTCCGTTGGGTCTATCTTACTGCTGTGGAGGTGGTGGGGAAGGAAACTGAGGAAGGAAGAGGAAGGGAACCTCGCCCCAGTGGTTTTGCCAGCAATGCTAAGATGTGTAGCCCATGTGGGACCCCACACACTTGGAGCCGCCTGACTGTGGGAACCAGCAAGGTCCCTGGGGGTTCCTGTTAGAACAGAGAGTCTAATAGAATTAGTGACAAAGCGTGGTAATATGCTCAGGTGACTGTGCCTTCTTACGCTATGTAAGAAACCAAAACAAAATAAACCTACAAAAGTACTCCTTTCTCCTGCTTGGGGGATTTATTTGATTCTCTAAATGCACTTCAATCTGTCTCTTGGAGCTGCTCTTACAAAGTGTCACAAACTGGGTGACTTAGAACAACAGGAATTTATTCTCTCACTATTCTGGGGGCCAAAGGCTGAAATCACGGTGTCGGCAGGTCCACACTCGCTCTTAGGGCCCTCGAGATAATCTGTTCCATGCCGTTCTCCTGGCTTCGGATGGCTCCGGCTGTGCTTGTCACCCGTGGGCTTGTGGATGCGTCACTCCAGCCTCTGTTTTCTTCACTGCGTGGCCTTCTCCTCCTGTCTCTCTTGGGGTCTGCACATGGCCTTCTCATAAGGACCCCAGTCACTGGATTAGGGGCCCACCTACTCCAGCATGACCTCATCTTCACTAACTACATCTGCAATGACCCTGTTTCCAAATAAGGTCACATGAGATCCTACATGGATAAACATTTTGGGGGGCCACTATTCAATCCAGTGCACTGAGACACACATCTCTCTGTCCTGCCACCATAGGCTCCCGACCCTTCCTGCAAGAGAGTCAACCTGAAAATGCAAGTTTTTTTTTTCCAAAAAGTTGGGTGGATTTGGTGAGTAGAAAAGGCTATCGTTACCCTGGCAGGACTGGCAGCAAATCTCATCTGAAATGGCGCGGTTTTCTTCCTTATTTTAAAACTCAGCTAGCCTCTAATTTTACCCTTTCCCTAGACAAATCCAACTGTGTGGCCCTGACACTTGGTTTCTATTCTTTTATGTAAATATTATGCGCATTTAGCAATACCTGGAAGGCAGCTCCCTACCCCTGCAGCCTCATCCCGTTCCTCTCCACACACTGACGCTGGGGCAGGCACACACTGGCTTCTTTCTGTTTGTGAAAGCTCCAAGCTCTCTTGTACCTCGGACTTTCACATGCCTGTCTGCCTGAGCATGTCCCCTCCAAGGGTTGTGTGCCTGGTCCTTCAAACTGTCCCCGTCCCTGATCAGATGCCTCCTCATTGAAGAACCTTCCGAGACCATCCATCCTATTCAAAATAGACTTCCCATCGCAACCTGCCTCTGGGTAACATATTGCCTGCTTTAATGTTTTTCAATAATCCTTTTGAAATTCACATTTATTTACTTGTTTCCTTGTTTACTGTCTCCCTCCCATTTTACAGGCTGGACAGCTGGAATGTGAGCTCTGTGAATCATCTCACAACCATTTGATTTCATTCCCTGTAGCTGCCTAACAAAGGGCCCACACTGAGTGGCTTAAAACAATGGAAATTTATTCTCAGACAGTTCTGGAGGCCAGAAGTCCAAAATCAGGGTGTCAGCAGGGCTGGTTCTGCTAGAAGCCACGAGGGAGCATCTGTGCCTGTCTCTCCCAGCTTCTGGTGGCCGCCGGCAGTCCTGAGCTCCAATCTCTGCCCCTTTCTTCACAAGGTCCCTTTTCTGTGTGTCTCTGTCTCCTCTCCTCTCCTTATAAACATACCAGTTACTGGATTTAGAGCCCACCTGAATCCAGTATGTCCTCATTGAAACTCAACTAATTATATCTGCAATGACTCTATTTCCAGCTAAAGTGACACTCTGGGGTTCTGGGTGGATGTGAATTTGGAGGGACACTGTCCATTCATGATACCACTGAATTCCTACTATCCGGATGCCAGATGGTAGGCTCTTAATCAAAAATTGAGGAATACATGAGTATGGGAGCTTTCTGTCAATGACACATTCAACTGCAATTTTGAACAGCCTCGAATAGAAGGCCTGATGGGCAGCTAGGAATTCATGCCTTCCCCAATTAAAGATTGTTCCTTATAAAGCTCAGAAATCACCTGAAAACCAATTACCCCGATCTGCAATAAAGACAGAAATGGACAACACATTTCTTCCTTCTTTTCTCACTCCAGGGATATTTTTGGCTCCAACAATAAGTGACTGAAGTAACAGATTTCTCCACTGAGTAAGATAAAAGTCCTTTGATCTCCGAGAGACTCTTGTTTGCTTTTGTGCCAAGAGCTATTAAAGAGATTCCAAATTCAAGTGTCTCCCAGGGACCCTAACCATTTCTAGGGTTTCCCACCCTTTCTTCTCAGCTGTGAGTGATGGATTTAATCAACTTCTCAGACAACTTGCAGGAGGAAGGGAATATCTAGCCTCAAACAAGGGGCAGGTTTTTCTTTTGAGGGAACTCAAAGACTCTCTTAGGGGAAAAATATAATAAAATAAATTAATCCCCACATGCTTGGCCATTTCTTTTGTCCTCCTAGTTATAACGGACTTGATCCCCACACTGTTTTCACTGTAATTCTGCCCACAGCGTCTGTGCTATGCAATCACCTCATGGAGCAGAAATCCTCACTGCCAGTGCCAGCTCTCTCTCGTCCTTCCTAACAGGATCCCAGTTTGACCATTTATTTATGCTCCTCTGCTGGCCCCGTCCACCATCCCAGGGGCTAGATCCTAATTGGTCTAAGCTAATCATGGTGAAAAGAAACCCTTGTCCTGCAGGACCTTGGAGAAAAGAAAGTTCTGCTGCTGTTTGGGCCAGCAAGTCCTTAATCCCCCTATCACACGTGTTCTCAGCTCACTGTTAATAAAGATGGAGAAAAGCCAGTCCCGATAACTGGATAATTCTCGCCTTTGGGAAAAGAATTCTGAGTGCTGCGGGGCCTCCGGTCTGCCTCAGGGTGGTGGCGTGTAGGATGGCAGACTGGGTAGGAATTCCTTGAATGAAGATAGAGACTGGGGGTGCCAAGGCTGATTCTGCCATTTCACATCACTGAGTGGCCTCAGACGAGTGACTTAGCTTCTGGGAACTCTCTTTATGAGCAGTTATGAGGTGATGTCCTATCATATGTGCAGGAGATAGACAGCAGAGATTAAAACATCTGCTCTGACACTGACAAAGTGGATCCCTGGAGATTTGGCTTCATAATGGTGAGTCCAGAGGGCCTGGCTCTGTGCTGCCCCGAGCCTGCCTTCCCAACCCAGAGCAGATGAGAAGACACCCCCTTGCAGGCCGGAGGCTGCCAGAGGAAGCAGCAGCTTGGGCTAAGCTTGTTATGTTGCCTCTCTGTGCACTAAGCTCCTCTTCCTTCCATGAGGAGAGGGAGGATGGAGCAGGCTGAGGAATGGGCTTGCCCTGCAGCCTAGGTAGTCCCTCCACTGGGGAAACACAAAAACAAGGCAAGAAAGCATTCCTCCTCCAGAGCCCATGTGCGGGAGGCAAGCTGAGTGCAGCTGGAAACCATCATTGATTTCACTGAGTGTGCATCAGCCTGTGAATGAAGGTGCATTACTTTCCCAGAGCTGCCATAATAAATTAGCACAAACTGGGAGAGAACTTTATCCTCTCACAGTTCTAGAGGCCAGAAGTCTGAAATCAAGGTGTTGGCAGGGTTGGACTCTCCTGGATGCTCTCAGGGCGAGTCTGTTTCATGAGTCTCCCAGTTCCTGATGGCTGTTGGAAATTCTTGGTGCTCCTTAGTGTGTAACTGTGTCCCTCCAATGTCTGCCTCCATTGCTACATCGCCTTCTATGCCATGTGCCTCTGTATCCAAGTCTCCCTCTCCCTTCCCGTAAAAGACACCAGTCAGCCTGGGCAATATGGTGAAACCCCATCTCCATAAAATGTACAAAAATCAGTCAGGTGTGTTGGTGGGCGGTTGTAGACCCAGCTACACAGGAGGCTGAGGTGGGAGGATCACCTGAGCCTGGGAAGTTGGGGCTGCAGTGAACCAATTGTGCCACTGCACTCCAGCCTGGGCAACAGAGCAAGACCTTGTCTCAAAAAACGAACAAACAAACAAAAACCCCACCAGTCACTGGATTTGGATTTGGGAGGTACCCTAATCCAGTATGATTTCATCATAACTGATTCCATCTACAAAGACCCTATTTCCAAATGAGGTCACATTCTGTGGTTCAGGGTGGACATGAGATTTGGGGGGAACAATATTCACACCCACAGAAGGCACCCCAGAAGAAAGCAGAACTGAGAGAGGGAGGGAAGGTTCTCAATGGTATCCTTAGGGCACCTCCAGCCGGCTGCCCTGAAGAGTCTCCACCGCCCGACTTTGCAAACCGAGTCAGCCCCGCTCCGGGGTCCCTTTCAGCACAGCTGGAAGTTGGGTTTCTGTCGCCACTCAGCATCCTGATGAACCCAATCTGAGATAAGCAGAGGATATGACTCAGCTTCTGAATTTGAGTGGTCTCTTGCCATCACCCCTGCACCGTCAACGGCGGCCTGGAAAAACACTGCGTAGAGGTGGTCAGGAGAGGCTGAGGGCATGATGTGGACAGTGGACGTGGGGAAGAGGTGGGGCCTCGCTGGCCTGCGCTTGATAAAAAGGTTTGAGCAGGCAGCGTGAGGAGCCAGGACCGACGTGAAGTGAGTCGCCATTTGCGGATGGCCACACCGCAGCCTGCGGGGCACCAGGTTCCGGCGGGGGTGCCACGTTTCTTGCACGAAGGAGAGAGGGAACAAAGAACTGTTCTGAAAGTACTGTGGGTGAGCTAAGCGCACCTCTGGGCAAATCTAATGGACTTGATCAACATTTGGTGCTGTCACTATGGCAACATTTTCGGACTTTTACCTTTAAACAACAAAAGTAGAGAATAGAGGCAGAGAAGCGGGTCCCCTCCCAACAAGAGCCTGCTGTGTCCCTCTCATCTAGGGCCACAGCATCAGTCCCCTGTGGCGTACACTCAACGAGAAAAAGGCTTCTGGCTTCCTGAGTGGGTGACACTTCACAATTCCATAATTACAGTGAGTACCAGGAGTACGGTCACAGAAGTGAGGCGAGGCTGCGTGCAACCTTCGGATCCAGCTTAGCTGAGTTAATAAGGGGTGGCTAGAAAGAAGTACGGATCTTATCTTGTCAGAGTGTTGGAGACTGTCAGTGAGAGCTCCCGGAAGATGTGGAGAGGGTAAAGGACTGTGCAGATTTCTGCGGTCTAGGTCTGACTAATTAGCTCTGTGGCAAGCCACACGCTTATTATTAGAACTAGTATTCGTAAGAATAATAGTGTTAACAGTTAATAGTATTTGATAATATAATTTGTATTTTTAATTTTTTCATTTATTTTTTATATTGATAGATGATAGATATACATAGTTGAAGGGTACATGTGATTATTTAATACACCCATATAATTTGTAAAGATCAAATCAGTGTACTTGAGATCTCCATCATCTGAAATAGTCATCTTCTCTTTATTCTGGGAACATTTAAATTCTTCTCTTCTCCATATTTTGAAACACACGGTACTGTAAACTACAATCACCTTGCTAATCTATCTAACACAAGGTCTTATTTTCTCTATCCCACCATATGCTCGTACCCATTAATCAACTTCTCTCCATCCCCACTGGTAGATATAGCTTGCATGTCTGTCCCCACCCAAATCTCATGTTGAAATGTGATCCCCAGTATTGGAGGTGGGGTCTGGTGGGAGGTGTCTGGATTACGGGGGTGGATCCCTCATGAATGGCTTGTTCATCTCCTTGGTGATGAACAGGTTCTCACTCTGAGTTCATGGAAGGTGGTGTAATAGCGTGTGGCAAACCCCCGACCCCACTCTCTCTTGCTTGCTCCCTTGTGTGTGGCAAACCCCCCCACCCAACTCTCTCTTTCACTTTCTGCCACGATTGGAAGCTCCATGAGGCTTTACCAGAAGTCAAGCAGATGCCAGTGCCATGTTTCCTGTACAGCCTGCAGAACCATGAGCCAATTAAGCCTCTCTTCTTATAAATTACCCAGCCTCAGGTATCTCTTTGTAGCAATGCAAGAACAGACTAATACACCCATTATCCTTCTTGGCCTCTGGTAGCCACCAATCCACTCTCTAGCTTCATCCTTTGTATTTAATGGTATTTAACTAATAAAAATAATCATTGTGTTTATCATCACTATTCTCAAAATGTAAATACTTATACATGAAGGTTCATGGCAGCATTATTCACAATAGTCAAAGGGTAGAATCAACCTCTTGATTAGTCAAAGGTTTGCATAGTCAAAAGGTAGTGATCTGTCTGTACAATGAAATATTATCCAGCCCTGAAAAGGAATGAAGAGAGGCTGGGTGCGGTGGCTCACACCTGTAATCCCAGCACTTTGGGAGGCCAAGGTGGGAGGATCACGTGAGGTCAGGAGTTTGAGACCAGCCTGGCAAACATGGTGAAACCCCGTCTCTACTAAAAATACAAAAATTAGCCAGGCATGGTGGCGGGCACCTGTAATCCCAGCTACTCAGGAGGCTGAGGCAGGGGAATCGCTTGAAGCCATGAGGCGGAGGAGGCTACAGTGAGTCGAGACTGCACCACTGCACTCCAGCCTGGGTGACGCAGCGAGACTCCATCTCAGGAAAAAAAAGAAAAAAAAAAAAGAAAAAAAGGAATGAAGAGCTGATATATTTTACAGCACAGATGAAACTAAAGAAGTGATGCCGAGTGAGAGAAGCCAGACACAGAGGTCACATATTGTAGGATTCCATTTATGTGAATTTCCAGAACAGGCAAACTCACAGAGACTGACGGTGGGGTCCTGGTTGCCAGGGGCTGGAGGAAAACGGAATGGAGAGTGACGGATTAAATGGGTATGGGGGGTTCTTCTGGGGTGATGGAAAAGTTTTGAAACTAGAGAGATGTGATGGTTGCACACCATTGTGAATGCGCTGAATACCACTGAATTGTACACTTCAAAATGCTTATTGGTAGTATGTGATGAGAATTTCACCTCAGTTTTTTAAAAATGCAAGTGTTGGTGCTTATTGTGTGCTAAACATTTGAAGTTCACAAAGAAGGTCCTGAGGATCCGTAAGAATAGCTGATTTGCCAAGTGTCATAGAGCTAAGAAGAGAAAAAGCAAGATTTAAATCTTTCTGCTTTATTTTGGCTTCTCATTCCTGAAACAAAACGATACGGCTTCATTCTGAAGCTGCCTCCTTTCCATCCACCCCTGCCTCACCAGGTCTTGGCTGGAGGTCAGCAGTCCCGTCACGGGAGATCACTGAAAGGTCCTTTTTTCTGCTTAAGTGAGGACCTTGATCCCCACCCCTCCCCCAAATTGTCTCCTCTACTTTCTGTCATCACAGACACCCCAAATATCCCCAAAAACTCCCCTCATCCCAGCAGAGCAATGACAATTATCCCTGTTACCACCACTGGAAGAAAACGCTTTCCATCACATTTTTAAAATCCATTTCCCTCTATGGAAACCAAGGGAGAGAAGGTAACTGAACCGGAGAGCTAATTAGTTCACAGGAAAGAAGAGCCTCAGCACCAGGTGATGGGACCAGAAGATTTCTCACGTCTCCTGCTGTGGAGCTGACCAGCAGAGCAAACCCCCGGCCTTGTGCACGGTGCTCAGCTGATGCTTCATGAAGGTCAGCTCCCCCCAGAAGATGACAATGGCTGGCCAAAAACAGGTTGTCCCTGCCCCAGCCCTAGTGAACCCGCAGCTCATCCCTGCCTGGAAGAGCTTCTCCAGCCTAAGGAATTGCTCCTGAACAGAGTGCAGCCCTGTCCCAAGGAAGCACTAAGGGAGATTTACAAACATTCCTCCATTCACTCAGCAAAAGTTTCTTGAGTGTCTGCAACGTGCCGGACACAGTTCTAATTTCTCTGCTGTGCACTGGTCCCTGTGGTAGGGTTAACTCCCTTCCTAAATACCATCGGCTGTGCAATGCAATGTGTTTCCAGAATGTGGAACAAGAAATGCATTTCTAGAATCTGAATCCCTAGAAATAAAAGAAAAAAAAAACTGGCCAAGGGTGATATGTTTGATAAGATTCAGTAACAAATAATAATAATTTTAAAAACCTCGTTGAGGCTTAAGTATAAAACAGACTATTATGGACTCCTGCAAGGGGGAAGTCCAGGGAAAGATCTGGGTCCCAAAGAGACTGGATTTAGGAGCTGAGATGATGCCACTAGAACCATAGGCTGCTTCCATCAGCATGGGCTTTATGCTTAGGAAAGACGGCCACCTGCAGCTCCAGGACTCACAACCCAGGTGTAAAGAGAAGCACTGTTTCCTAACTGTTGCAGATAAAGTCCAAGGACAGACATTCCTTGCCTCTGAATGGCCCCACTTTGAATACCTGCCCAGCCCTGTGCCTCTCATTCCCATGGAATGTACCACGCTCATTGGACAGGCCTAGGGAAGGAATCCCACCCTAAGGGACTGACAGTCAGGGAGGGGCAGCTCCCCTAAAGTAAAGCAGGGTGTTGGCCCATTGCAAGGAGGGCAATGACTTCTTGGGGTGAAGAGACTGGTGGGAGTGGGGGACCCATTGCCATTTGATAGCAGGACTCATAAACTGAGGGCATAAGAGTCATGCAATACGATGACTTGAAGTTCTTAAGAATCCTGACATAACAAGAAATGCACTGGGAACATCTATTACAAAAAGAAAGTAAAAAGTCAAAATGCTATTAAAGAGATAATACAGTTTTTGCTTTCCTTAATTATTAATAGACATCGAGGAATAATTTAGAGTTATATTAAAACTGGATGAAGGAATTCATAATACATTTGGGTCACAAGAGATTATGAAAATATCTGGCCTCATTTTCATGTCACCTGATAGAAATTTATCCTGCAAAACAATTGTGAAATGTAATAATGCATATTAAAATACGGGTCCTTAATAGCTTTGCTGTTTTTTCCTATTTTTTTTTTTTTCAAATCTGGAGAGCTGGAGCTTACAGTTTTATGTGCAGACAATTCTGAGTGTCTTTACTTAGACATTGCTGAATTTCTAAGACACATTTTGACTTCCAGTTGAGATATTTGTATATTTTGATAACTCAACATCCTTTCTCCCTTCATGATAACACCCCACTTTGGGGACAGAAGAAGCTATTACTTCTCCCCCAATTATGTCCAGTCTAAGAGGGAGGGTAAGTCTATGAAACCAGGCGATAAGGTTTCTAGAAGCTCCTTGCCTCTTATGGTGCCATATAACCAAGGGTGGGTGTGTGAACCAACCCTGGGAAACTGAACTCTTGCCAAAGACTCAGAACCTTAAGGATGCCAGAAAGAAGGAGGTTATTCCTTCCAGCAATGGTGGAAGGCTTCATGTAGCTCCTCTCTTTGATTCCTTCAATAATAGTTGAGGGGTTTCAACCACCCTCTTAACCTAAAGGACCAGTCCATATCCTCTTTAGTAGGGCTCACTCTTTGCTTACAGCTAAAGAACATGGGTTCACTCAGTGGCTAACCATGCTAACATATGCCCAGGCTTTTCCCAACATGCCAACGAGAGGACAAAAACCTATCTCACATTTCAGCAATAATTTACTTTGGGGAATCATCACTGATTCTTTCATTTTTCATTTTCTCCAAAACCCTAGCAGTAATCCAATTGATAGATGGGAAATTGAGCTACAGTGGAAGTGGACAAAGGTCTCTTCCTTTTATATGTTCTTCTTGAAGTCTTCAAAAAACAGGACACTAAAAATAACTAAATAGATACCTGCCACAGAAATCCTGCTGTCCCATAAACATTACACCTCAATCATTCATTAGCCTTTAGCTTTCTAAAAATAACATTACAAAAGAGAAAGCAGAAACCCCCAAATTACAAGTTAGAATTTCTTCACAGGGTGGCCAGGTGCGGTGGCTCACGCCTGTAATCCCAGCACTTTGGGAGGCCGAGGTGGGCAGATCACGAGGTCAGGAGATCGAGACCATCCTGGCTAACACGATGAAACCCCATCTCTACTAAAAAATACAAAAAATTAGCCAGGCGTGGTGGCGGGCACCTGTAGTCCCAGCTACTCGGGAGGCTGAGGCAGGAGTATGGCAGAACCCGGGGGGCAGAGCTTGCAGTGAGCTGAGATCGCCACTGTACTCAAGCCTGGGCAACGGAGCAAGGCTCAGTCTCAAAAAAAAAAAAAAAAGAATTTCTTCACAGGGTAAAGAGGTGTTTTCCATGCTGAAATGTTCACATCTAAATGTTTCAACCTGAAGTCACTAGAATGGAAGTCTTTCTTGGGAAGAAAAATCTGCATACCTATTTGGAAAATAAAATCTAGTGTCATTGGTGTCAAACTCAGCACTATCGGGATGAATATAGACTCAGACTGACTTCATTAACTGCACACAATCAGAGATTTTAAAAGCCTAAATTAAGTCTCAAGCCCTGAAAATGGATTACTGACTCCTTGAGATAATCTCTAAAATAAGAATCCATTTGTAATTGTAAATATCACCAGGCTACCGTCAGTTCTAGGCATCGTCTATACAGGCAGGCACCAAACCATTAGGATCATGCTGGAAAGGTCTGCCAGCAATCAGCACCATCTTCAAACATCCAGACGCAGATAAAGCTAGTGTTCCATTTTCTCTGAAAATACCAATAGATTCAGGGTTCTTCTTAAAATAGGCGATTTGCAAATGGCAGTTCTTCAGATTGCTGCTGCCGGGAGGTCTCATTTTTAATCACGAGCCAATTCTTCCATTAGAGCATAAGATAATGATGTTTAAATGTCATCTAATGCCCACTGTTTAACAGCTGTGGTTTTGTCATTCCAGATAATTTAATTTCAAATGGAAAAAAAAAAAAAAGCCACAAAACCACAACACAAAGCCGCAGAATCATCTAAAGTTCGGCGGAAACTTAACGTTTAGAGAATGGATTGAGTTCTCAGGCTTGGTACTAAGGTCAGGATTCAGGCCTTCCAGCTCTTGAGCAATTTGGGGGAAACAGAGTAACTGCCAAGATGGGAGTAGTATCAAGATAATTAAAATGTTAAGGCTCTTTCTCCTTACAAATAAAACTCTCCCTCTTCAGACTGAGGTATCACATGCAATCCTTTCTGTTTAAAGTCGGGGTCTAGCCACCATGCCTAATTTTTTATTATTATGACAGTTATTATAATAATAATTATTATTATTGTAGAGATGGAGTCCTACTGTGTTGCCGAGGCCGAACTCCTGGCCTCAAGTGATCCTCCCACTTCTGCCTCCCAAAGCACTGGGATTACAGGTGTGAGCCACCACGCCCAGCCTAATACGCAACGCTTTTAAAGAAAGGTGGATGGAAAGAAGGGATGAGAGTAGCCCCATTTTCTATCTCTCCCCAACAGGAATCTATTGGCAATCAACCCTTTCCTCGCCCCTCCTCTCAGCCACAGCCAATGGCAACTCCAGCCTCTGTATATTGGTTCATGTCATTGCCAGGTCAGAATCTACCCTTCCAACTCCCCATGGCATCCAAACCAATCTTTCTTTCCACCCAACTTGTCCCATCAAAAAAGCCTTTCCTAACTGAAGTGGCCAGATGCACCTTTATCCACCTCTGAACCTACAAAGCTATGGGCTCTTTGAGTGGACACAGTTCTAAATGACCACTGAGGCAGGGCTACTGAACTTGGCACTTACATCTTCCCAGATTTTTTCACATATGTGGATGCCGTCTCCCCAAATAGATTACAGCCAGTGATTCTGAAAGGCTCTTTCTTTTTTTTCTTTCTTTCTTTCTTTCTTTCTTTTTTTTGAGACGGAGGCTTGCTCTGTCACCCAGGCTGGAGTGCAGTGGTGCAATCTTGGCTCATTGAAACCTCCACCTCCTGGGTTCGAGCGATTCTCCTGCCTCAGCCTCCTGAGTAGCTGGAATTACAGGTGCCCGCCACCATGCCCAGCTAATTTTTTGTATTTTTAGTGGAGACGGGGTTTCACCACGTTGGCCAGGCTGGTCTTGAATTCCTGACCTCAAATGATCTACCCACCCAAAATGCTGGGATTACAGGCATGAGCCACCACGCCCAGCCTGAAAGGCTGTTTCTAAAGCTGAGCATGCACTTACACGCACACACACATTTTCTATCTGATGCACACACAAATGCCATTTTTGAATGTGTAGGGAAGCTCGATTCTCAGGTAAAGAAAAAAATAAGATGTCTCAATAAAAGATAAATTAAAAGGATGTGTTTATCTCTTCAAAAATACTTAGTGACAATCTACTTTTTTGTTACTCACGAACTTGTGTAACATGAAGGGTATCAGTCAGCTGTTACGTAACAAATCATCCCCAAACTTGGTTGGGTTAAAACAATAGCCATCGATTTAGCTCATAATTCTGGGTTCTGCTGGGATCACACATCTGTCCCAACTACCAGGTTAGTTGGGTCTCGTTGGTCAAGAATGGCCTTCACTGGGAAGACCTCCCTGGTAATTTCTCATATTTCATACTTTCACCCATGCTTGTTCACATGGTAACGTGGAAGGTTCCAAGAGAAAGACAGAAGTGTGCAGAAACCTCCTGAGGTCTGAGCTCAGAAATGACTTCCACAATGCCACTTCTAACTCATCCTACTGGCCAACACAATCAGAAGGCCTGCTGCATGCAAGAGGTAGAAAAATAAGACTCTACCTTTTGATGGTAAGAGCTGAAAAATGTCAAGCCTAGCAGCAGCGAGGAAAACAGCCACCATTTCTGCAATCTACCGTAGCAAGCAACGTTGAGAACAGCAGTTCCACGTGCAAACTTCTCCTGATGCCTAAGGCTCAGGATGTATTTTACCACCCCTTTTTGCTCTTTGTTAATTGGACAAACACAAATATTATTTGCTTGAGTTGACCAGTGAATAAGTGGTCAGGAGTTATTTTAAGAGACAGGTCTGAAGTTCTGCAGAAACAGTAAATTAAAATCATTGTTCCCTCATCACGAATAAAGAAAACTTTGGAATCAGGCTCAGTCACGATGGATCCCTACATTGCTTTACTATCAGAATATCTGCTTCTGAACTTGCCCCATAAAAGATCAAAGGGAAGAAGGGAAATGCAAGGCACAACCTGAGACAGTGCTGAAGACACTAAAATTTGGACTCATTTTTACTGATAAATTTTGTATTCCTGCTGTCATAGTATCCTTTCTTTTAAAGAATAATAAATTTCCATTTGCTTCAACACAAGTAGATAGAATAATTCCTTTTGTTTTAACACCCATAAGGAGAAACCTGAACCCACATGGCATCATTAATGCTCTGGCACCCAAGTAATAAATGAACACATATCCTAAGGTCTTGGAAGGCAAAGCTGTGTCGTCCTCTTTGATTTTCCCCATCACTGATTTATTGATTCTTGCTCAGGTTGGAGAATACCATCTGGAGGTCAGGTGGGGGCACACATTGCCCTAGGGTGCAAAGATGCTTCCCAAGTTGTTGGCTGTGAACCTTATTTGAGGTATCTGAAAACTGATACAAGAAGAAGATCAAAATATCTGCAAATGATGGTTTAAAAAGACCCTCTTGAAACAGTTCACCAGGGTTAATCCATTCAACTCTGAACCATCATTCAGCCCGTGGATCTTCAATTTATATAAATCATTTCATATGTATTAAGATGAAGGCTTTGAAGTTTTGCTATTGTGTCATGTAGATATGTTTTATTAACCCTCCCTTACAAGCTGCTCCAAAGAAGTATCTGTGTCTCTTAATACTTGCCACATTCTCTTAAAGCCCTGTTTTCCCTTAGTAGCTCATAGTAATCTATAAACAATAAAAACTTGCTACCAAATTTGTGACACGAAAGAGCTACATGATCTCTTTTAACTTGGCTTGATTTGAATAACAACTGTGTCTTCTGGACAAAGCTAGTGCCCTATGCAAATTATATTTTGGCATCTGAGTCCATTTAGTGGCATTTCAGAGAGGAATGAAAAGCTAATCAGAGGAATCAACATGAGGAGTAGGAATCAGGGCTGAAAATTGGTCAAGTAATCTGATTTTGCATGTTTTGCTACTGCTGCCTATAGAATATATTTACCCATATTTGATTTGTGAGACAGATAATAATAAGATCAGCCAGCACTGTGATGACAGTGGTCAGCTCCTTCCAAGACCCAAAAATT